>NC_000011.10:125354242-125657273 GCF_000001405.40 Homo sapiens | reverse complement strand
CACATATTTTTATATAATTATGCTTATCTCAACAACCACACACACTGTACACATTACACACACACACACACACACACACACACACAAGCATAGGTTGATTTTTCCATCAAAATTTGAACTGTTATCTTCAGGTAGTAAATTTTACACATTTTTATTTTTAATAATAGGAGTAAATACCTTCCCACAACAATATAATGAACATTACAGGAAAATTAAGGCAACTTATTATTTACAGAATGCCTTTCTGTGCAAAACAGGACACTATACTCTTCCTACACATTAAAGCATTAAAGATTAAAATAACTCTAAAAGGTACTTATTATCAGTGTCTTTACTGAGGCAATTACCAGTGTTCAGATAAATAAATGTCAGAGCTAATCCAAATATGAAACTTGAAATTTTCCCACCATTCTATACAAATTCCCACAGCAAACAGAGGAGGTTATTATTTTAGATAAGTCAGGGAAAGACTTTGCAGAGGAAGTAACATTTCTGAGATGGAGAAAACTAGGAGAGGAACAGGTTGGAGAACAGGAATCAAAAGCTGTTTTTGGTCAAGAGATGCCTACTAGACATTCAAGTGGAAATGTAAAGCAGGTAAAAGGTTAGAGCTTACAGAAGAGGTTCAAGTCAGTGAGAGCTGTTTTTGAAAAATATTAATGACTCAGATAATTCTCAAGAACAAAATTTCTCCCATATTTGAGAATTTATACTGATTCAATTCTTAAGCATACCGTAAATAGGTTCAAATAAATAAAACAGGTTTGAATTTATTCCTCCTATGGGTATACTCCAGTAACACAATTTGCCAGTATACATTAATATGTGATAAACTCTAATCATAACATTCTACATGTTCTTGGCTTCAGATTAAAATAACTGATTAATTTTATAATGTTTTACAATTTTAAAAATTTTTATTAGAGGTAGGGTCTTACTCTGTCATCCAAGCTGGAGTGCACTGGTGCAATCATAGCTCACTACAGCCTCAAACTTCCAGGTTCACGCGATCCTCCTCTCTCAGCCTCCTAAGTAGCTGGGACTACAGGCAGGAGCCAAGGCCTCAACCTAATATGCCCCAAAGTTGATACAAATTTTATTAGAAAAACAAACTTTTTGTAAGTCTAACAGGTAAAGGAACAAAGAATCAGATCTATTTTTCTTATAGCTTCCTTACTCTTCCCTTCCCTCTTTTATTCTTTATCACCTAAAAGCTTGGTCACCAGTAAGTTGAAAAGGTTAAAATATGGCTATGAAAGTAGAAAATATAGAAAAATATTTAAGATGTTCAACAGTAATTTTTAGAGTAAAGTTAGTTAAGCACTAGAGTTTATGCAACACTGTAAAATACAAGTATTTTACTAACTACACTGGAAAAAACACCTACTTGCAATTTTAATTAATCATTATAATTCAAAAACAGGTTTATATAACTGGCCAGGCCCTTTTGAAAATATAAGTACAAATCTTGGGGATATGTTTTGAAGCTGGCTTCGCTTCACAGACTGATAAATCTACTGTCCAAAAGTCACAAGAATTATGTCTTTATTGGTTCATCTTAGAATTAAATCAACATGGAATATGTACTTTTTGAATTAAACAAAATGTTTTGATAAAAATGAGATACGTGTGTATAAAAGCTGGAAAACTCATGTCCCCTGAAACTTGGTTTCCACCAGATGAGTTTCAAATTCAGATACTAAACACACATGAAGAAATAATCAAATGAATTCTATTCATCCTTTCCCCAAAGTTTTGCTTACAATTAAGATATAGGTATTATTTGTATGCCGAACAAACAAAATAAATTGGAAGATGTTTGGATAAACAGGGAAGTGAACACTTCAGGAACTACTATTTGCAGTTTGCAGGACAGGATAATCTTCTCTAGGAAGAATAATGTCAACATAGCAGCACTATATTCACCAGGATTCCCCAGAGCCGATGGTCCGATCATGTGGCAGGAAGCCAAATCTTCTGGCTGCTCACAATATCAATCAGCTTCCCTTTAATCTTCAGGAAGTGTCTCTTGAACTCCAATCCATCACCCTATATTAGAAATAGTATTAAAAAATTATGTCAAAACAAAAACAAAAACAAAATTCTGTCCTAAAATCAATCTCTTTGTAGTGGTAACAAGAGACAAACATCTTTAGGTATGTCTAGCTACCATTTTCTTTTCGGTCTGTTTATGAAGACCAAATATCCTGGAAGAGAAAATTGTTACACAAATAATTCTGATGTGGTTTCATGCCCATCACTGTTCCTACTGCACTGAGCTCAGAGAGCAGATAAACATGGCATCCTATCTGTTTCAGGTGTTGGTATATCTGGACCTAAGTCATTACATTCCATAGGCAGTGAGGGTTTGGAAACTAACAATAAACTATACAACTAAACTGAAGTCTTGTTGTCATAACACTACTGACCAAAATCAATAGATTTAGTTATGAGAAGAATTTCATTATACTACGATCTTAATTTAATTCTGTAGCAAGCATCTGAAAAACAGTATTGCAGCAAATCTCTAATACAAAGAGTACTGCGGCAAATGCTCTAACACAGCAGCTACCCCTCCAACCCTCTTTAGAGCCACATACAATCTCTCAGAAAATAGAGAAAAATGTTATTTTGGTTTTATATATCAAGGGCTGTAATACTATCATCTTAGAATCAATGATTTCTAAAGAAATCATCAGAAATATGAACAAAAAAATCTATGCATAAAATAGCAATCACAGAATTATTATAACTGGTAAAGGTTCATTAAATTATAATGAAATATTTGTAACAAATCATAATTTTTATTAAAAGACATAAATTAAGAAAAATATTAAAATGCTTCGAAATATTAATGTGATCACTGAAAATTTAGAATTATTTTTATTTTCTCATTTTTTGCTTATCTACATTTTTCACAAAAGCAGAAATTTCTTTTTTTTGAGACAGAGTCTCTTGTATTGTCACCCAGACTGGAGTGCAGTGGCGTCATCTCGGCTCACTGCAACCTCCGCCTCCCAGGTTCAAATGATTCTCCTGCTTCAGCCTCCCAAGTAGCTGGGATTACAGGCACCCGCCACCACGCCTGGCTAATTTTTTGTATTTTTAGTAAAGATGGGGTTTCACTATGTTGGCCAGGCTGGTCTCAAACTCCTGACCTCGAGATCCACCCGTCTCGGACTCCCAAAGTGCTGGGATTACAGGCATGAGCCACCACGCCTGGCAAAAACTTTTATAATAAGGAAAATGTCATTTGAAAAAAACAATGTTCGGGAAAAATAGATAACGAAAACACATGCTCATAATATTAAACGAAAAAAGCAAGTAACCTATTTACAAATGCCACATATATACAAACATAATGCCATTAAAAAAATTCATATAGAAATATTTCCATAGAAAGAATACAATAAAACATAAAAATACCTTAGAAAGCCGGAAGTCAACCAATATTTTATCATCCATTTCTAACAAATTCACTTTGAAAATGAGTTTATTGTTTCTCCTATCAGTTGTTGATATAGTAACCTAAGGCAACAAAAATAAGGTTAAGCCACATGGGTGAGTAGATAATAAACTAGTAAACCCACTATGAAGAACAGAATAGAAGTTTCTCAAAAAACTACAAATAAAACTACCTATATGTTCCAGCAATCCCACTACTGATCCAAAGGAAAGGAAATTATATGGAAGAGAAATTTGCAACCCTACAGCATTATTCACAATAGCCAAGATATGGAATCAACCTAGGTATCCAACAACAGATGAGTGTAGGCCAGGCACTGTGGCTCACGCCTGTAATCCAGCACTTTGGGAGGCCAAAGCAGAAGGATCGCTTCAGACCAGGCTGGGCAACATATCGATACCTCATCTCTACTAAAATTCCCAAAAAATTAGCGGGCATGGTGGTGCATGCCTACAGGCCCAGCTACTCAGGGGGCTGAGGCAGAAGGGTCACTTGAGCCCAGGAGGTTGAAGCTGCAGTGAGCTATGATTGCGCCACTGCACTCTAGCATGGGCGACAGAGCGAGACCCTGTCTCAAAAAAACAAAACAAAAAGCCAAGCAAACAGATGAGGATAATATGATATATATACACAATGAAATACTACTCAGCCATATAAAGGAATGAAATCCTGTCATTTGCAGCAACATGGGTGGAACTGGAGGACATTATGTAAAGTGAAATAAGCCAGGAACAGAAAATTAAACATCACATGTTCTCACTCATATGTGGAAACAAAAAAACTGTTAATTTCATAGAAGTAGAAGGCAGAACAGAGGATACTAGAGTCCAGGAAGGGGAGAGGGAAGGGAAAGATAGAGATTCATGAAAGAATACAAAATTACAGCTAGATAGGAGTAAGTTCTAGACCACTGTAGGATGACTATACTTAACAATAATAGAGTTTCAAATTGCTAGAAGGATACTGAACATTCCCATCACTGAACATTCCCATTCCCACAATGTTTGAAATTATGAATATGCTAATTATCCTGATCTGATCATTATACATTATATGAATCAAAACATCACTACATACCCCATGAATACATTACAATTATTGTATCAATTAAAAAAAATTTGCTGGCTACCTCCATAACAGGAGTAATATTAAGTATGCTGATAATCTCACTCATTCCAGAGTCTCTCTTCTCCCAGTGGGTATGTGTGTCCCCAACCCAATCTATCAACAGGGGTGCAGCTCCTAGGGATTGAGTGTATATGAACTCATAGCAACAAAACTTACTGTCTTTTACCAAAATACCACTGAAAGAAGAAACAATCAAAGATGAAAACATAATGGGAGGAAAAACAAGATTATTAAAATGTGAGAAAGAAAAAGGCCTGACTTGTGGCTGAAAAGCTAGAGCGGCAATTAGAAGATGGCAAAGGTCTTGAGAGGCCTTCAACTTCCACTTTCAGTCTTTTAGAACGTTCCTATGGCATGGAAAGACGCTCAGCCTAGCTGAATGATGCAGAAAGAAAAGACTCAGCTAACAGACAGTGCCAAGACTCCAAATATGGGAGTAAGGATGTTTTAGACCACCAGCCACAGTAAAGACATCAAATGACTACAGCTGGATGAGTTAAGCCCGAGCGAGATCAGCAGATTTGCCCAAAAAACACAGCCCAAATTACAAAAGTTTTTGTAATAATTCTTACTTCAAGAAACTATGAAAACACACAACCATACCACGACTGTGCAGCACTGAAATAACCCACTATGTTCTGGGAAAATTAATACAAGATATTCAACTCAACACATCTGAATTAAGCTCTTAAACTTCAAAGACAAAGAAAATACTTCAAGAACTGAGAGAGAGTGAATCAAGGAGTGATGTCAGTGAAAATGGCAGAGAAAAGAACTCCAGAAGTCCATTACTCCACAAAAGCAATTTTAAAAACCTGCCAAAGCCTGTCAGAATCAACTTTTTCAGAACATTGTAAACTAGCTAAAAGCTTGCAGCAACTTATTCAAAACAAGTGAAACGCAGTAAGAACAGTGAGCTTTCTGGCATTTTAACTTACCCTGTTTATCCCCTGCTCCTCACTCAGTAGCAGCCTTGAAAATAACAGTTCATATTTAAGGCATAGGTCCAGGTGGGAGCAGAATAAACCTCATTTACAAACTATCTTAAGCCGATCTGACCCTCTAAAATGACCTGATCAAAAGGCTTGTCCTGGCCAGGCACAGTGGCTCATGCCTGTAATCCCAACACTTGGGGAGGCCGAGGTGGGTGGATCACCTGAGGTCAGGAGTTCAAGACCAGCCTGACCAACATGGTGAAACCCTGTCTGTACTAAAAATACAAAAATTAGTAGGGTGTGGTGGCAGGCGCCTGTAATCCCAGCTACTTGGGAGGCTGAGGCAGGAGAATCGCTTGAACCCGGGATGCAGAGGTTGCAGTGGGCTGAGATCACACCATTGCACTCCAGACTGGGCAACAGTGCGAGACTCCATCTCAAAAAAAAAAAAAAAAAAAGAGGCTTGTCTTTATTTCACCTTTGTAACTCTAACTCACCTTGTGCTAAAGCTACTCCTGAGTAGCGTTTGCTGAAAACACTTACAGGAAAATGCTTTAGTCTCTGTTGCCTGAAGCAATGAAAGCAACTGGTGCAAACAGACTACCCAAGAAGTTTGGAAGAAGAGGTTAGGGAGTGAGATGTTTCTGGGGAATAGGACTCTGAAAAGGTCCAACATATACCTGGGAATCTAAAAAGACACACCCATGACCAGGGCAGTACATATGCTTAGGAAAGAGCTGAGAAGGCCCCTAAGCTCTACATGTGCCCTAACTTTGCATTTTGCACAAGCAGATAGCGAAGGCTGAAGCAACGTTGTAAACTTCTTGGTTGAGTATTGCAGGTGTGCCCCAACACAAATACAGAACACTCTGCAGATTTTTTGTTTTTGGTATACAGAATTTAAGGAAATCTCTGTCCAATCATTAGCTGACCACTAAAACTAATGGGACAGAAATTGTACAGCCATGCATGACAAACAATACCAACTTTAAAAAATTATATAAGAAAAATCACTAGGGCCGGGCATGGTGCCTCACACCTGTAATCCCAGCCACCTGAGGTCAGGAGTTCGAGACCAGCCTGGCCAACATGATGAAACCCCATCTCTAATAAAAATACAAAAAGCCAGGCACAGTGGCAGGTGCCTGTAGTCCCAGATACTTGGAAGGCTGAGGCAGGAGACTCACTTGAAGCCAGGAGGTGGAGGCTGCAGTGAGCCAAGATCACGCCACTGCACTCCAGCCTGGGCAACAAGAGCAAAGCTCCGTCTCAAAAAAAAAAAAAAACAAACACCACTAAAAAAAACAAACAACTACATCAAGCGGTAACAAACACTGGCAAGAGGGGAAAATCTGACTTTCTAGAGTTGCCACATATTGCCACAATATGTCCAGTTTTCAACAAAAAATTACAAAGCATGTAAGGAAACAAAGTATGGCCCTTATAAAGGAAAAACAGCAACCAAAACTGTCCCTGAGAAACATAAAGAAAGAAGAATAAAGAAAAATGAACAGAGTCTAAGAACTGTGGCACATCAAGTATACCAACAATAAACATAATGAGTCCAAGAGGGAGAGGAGAGTTAGATATAAAAAAAAAAATCTGAAGAAATTGTGGCCAAAAACTTCCCAAGTGTGATTAAAAACATTAATTTACATATCCAAGAAGCTCAACGAACTCCGAACAGAATGAAAAAAGAAATCCACACCAAGATACACCATAGTCAAACTGTGGTCAACAGAGAAACATAAAAGCAGCAAGAGAGCAGCAACGTCTCACATAAAAGAGATCCTCAGTAAGATTAACAGCTGATTTCTCATCAGAAACCACAAAGGCTAGAAGGCAGTAGTGGCATAATCAAAGTGCTGAAAGACAAAAGCTAATAAGAATTCTATATCCAGCAAAACTACCTGTCCAAAAAGTGGAAGAGAAATTAAGGCACTTAAACTGATAGGAATAGATACTACACTTGATCTTAGCCAAAAGGCTAAGAAGCGATTTTTTTTTTTTTTTGAGACAGTCTTGCTCTGTCACCCAGGCTGGAGAGCAGTCATGCAATCAGATCACGACTCACTGCAGCCTTGATCTCCAATGGCTCAGACTATCCTCCCACCTAAAGCCTCCCCAATAGCTGGCATTACAGGTGCACACCACAACGCCCAACTAATTTTTAAAATATTTTTAGTAGAGATGGGGTTTCACCATGTTGGCCAGGCTGGTCTCAAACTCCTGGCCTCAAGTGATCTACCCACCTCAGCCTCCTAAAGTGCTGGAATTACAGGTGTCAGCCATGACACCTGGCTAAGGCACTTTAGATTCAAAGACACAAATAGGTTAAAAGGAAAAGGAAAAAAAAAATAGACCATGGAAACAATAACCAAAAGAGAGCTGGTAGCTGGGTATGGTGGTACATGCCTGCAGTCCCACCTACTTGGGAGGCCAAGGCAGGAGGGTCACTTGAGCCCAGGAATTTGAGGCTGCATTGCACTATGATCGTGCCTTTAAGTAGCCACTACAGTCTAGCCTAGGCAACATAGTGAGACTCCATCTAAAAAAAGGAAAATACACAAGATAGCTGGTGAGCTGATGTGGATATACTAACATTAGACAAAATAAACAGACTGATGAAAACTGTCAATTTAGCTGGGCATGGTGGTGCACACCTGTAGTACCCACTACTCAGGAGGATCACTTGAGCCCAGAAGGTCAAGGCCAGCCTGGTAAACACAGAGACTGCATCTCTACAAAAACATTTTTAAAAAGTTAGCTGGGTATGATAGTGTACACCTGTAGTCCCAGCTACTTAGGAGGCTGAGATGAGAGGATCACTTGGGCACAGGAGGTCAAGCTATATTAATAAAGGGAAAAAAAATCCACATGATTATCTCAATAGACGGAGAAAACATTTGACAAAATCCAATACTCTTTCACCATAAAAACAAAAACCCCACAGCTAACATCATACTTAATGCTGAAAGACTCGAAACTTAACCCTAAGATCAAGAACAAGACAAAGACTCTATTTCTGTTCAACATAATGTTGGAAGTCCTAGCCAGGACAACTAAACAAAAAGAATTAAAAGGCATCTGGGTTAAAAAAAAAAAAAAAAGTAAAACAATTTCCTGTATCTCTATTGATAAACAATGTAATTTTTTTTTTTTTGAGACGGAGTCTTGATCTGTCGCCCAGGCTGGAGTGCAGTGGCGTCATCTCGGCTCACTGCAACCTCCGCCTCCCAGGTTCAAGTGATTCTCCGGCCTCAGCCTCCCGAGTAGCTGGGATTACCGGTGCCCGCAACCACGCCCAGCTAATTTTTTGTATTTTTAGTAGAGACGGGGTTTCACTATGTGGGCCAGGCAGGTCTCAAACGCTTGACCTCATGATCCACCCGCAACGGCCTCCCAAAGTGCTGGGATTACAGGCGTGAGCCACCACGCCCTGC
This sequence comes from Homo sapiens, assembly GCF_000001405.40. Lineage (NCBI taxonomy): Eukaryota > Metazoa > Chordata > Mammalia > Primates > Hominidae > Homo > Homo sapiens. The sequence goes on along the minus strand of NC_000011.10, from coordinate 125,648,301 downwards.
CAAATAATGTAATCTTAATATATTAAAAAACCTAAAGAATTTGTCAAAAAAACTACTGGAGTTAATGAATTCAGCAAATTTTCAGGATACAAGATCAATATACAAAATTCATTTGCATATAGCAATGAACAATTTGAAAATAAAATTTTAAAAAATTCCATTTACATCAGCATCAGGATAAAAAAAAAAAGAATAAACAGGATTACATTTAACCTAGGAAGTGCAAGACTTGAACACTGAAAACTACAAAATATTCTTGAAAGAAATTAAAGACCCTAAAAAAATGGGAAAAAAAAGGCCCCATGTTATTGGATTAGAAGAGTTACTATTAGAGGTTTAGCATCCTTAATCTCAAATCTGAAATCCAAAATGTTCCAAACTCCAAAACTTTTCAGGTGCTGACATCATGTGACAAACTGAAAATTTCATACCTGACAGGTTTGCTTTCTGATAGTTCAATGTACAAACTTTGTTTCATGCACAAAATTATTTAAAACATTGTATAAAATTACCTTCAGGCTATCTGTATCAGGTATATATGAAGCATAAATAAAATTATTCATGTTTCAACTTGAGTCCCATCTGTAAGTTATCTCAATATGCATATGCAAATATTCCAAAATCCAAACAAATGTAAAATCCACAAAACTTTTGGTCCCAAGCACCTTGAATAAAGAATACTCAATATATACTAAAATGGAAATACTCCCCAATGTAATCTCTTTTAAAATTCCAAATTTTTTTCTTGCAGAAATAAGATAATCCTAAAAGACAGAAAAACAAGGGGCCACAAATAACCAAAATACCTTGAAAAAAAGAACAAACTTGGACAACTCATATTTTCTAATGTCAAAATTCACTATAAAGCTACAGTAATCAACATAGTGTGGTAACGGCATAGCACAGACATATAGATCCATGAAATAAAAGAATTGAGTCCACAGGGGAAGAAAAAAAAAAGGAAAAAAAAAGAATTGAGATTCCAGAAATAAACCCATACATCTATGACCTATTTATTTTCAACAAAGGTGCCAAGACCATCTAATAGTAAAACATATCTTCAACAAATGGTGCTGGAATCTGAATATTCACATACAAACATTTGAATTTGCACCCTACATCATACTATATACAAATATTAACTCAAAATGGACAAAGACCTAAATATAAGAGCTAAACTTTAAGACTGTAGTCCCCGCTACTTAGGAGGCTGGGACTCCTAAAAGAAAGCATAAAGTATAAATCTTTACAATCTTACATCAGGCAACAGTTTCTTAAATTTGACACTAAAAGCATAGGCAACAAAAGAGAAATTATAGATCCACTGGAATTCATCAAAATCTAAAACTTGAGTACATCAAACGACACTAACAAGAAAACAAAAGAATGGGGGAATTTTCTCCCACAGAATGGGATAAAATATTTGCAAATCAGGTACCTGACAAGGTTCTAGTGTCCAGAATGTAAAAGAACTCTAACAACTCAACAATAAAAACAAGCCAGTTAAAGCATGGACAAAATATCCGGATACTGTTATAAAGAAATGGCCAATAAGCATATAAGAATATGCTCAAGATCATTAGTCTTTAGAGAGATGAAAATCAAAAGCAAAATGAGATAAGACTTCATACACACTAGGATGGCCATAGCAAAAAGGGGAGGCAGTAAGTGTTGGCAAGGTTGTAGAGAAATTGGAACCCTCTTACATTACTGATGGGAACGTAAAATGGTACAGGTGCTTTGGAAAAATCATTTCACAGTTTCTCAAAAAGTTAAATGAAGAGTTACCATATGCTCCAACAATTCTATTCCTCCATATATATCTAAGAAATTGAAAACATATGGTCACACAAAAACTGGTACAAGATTGTTCACAGCAGTATTATTCATAATGATGAAAAAGTAGAAACAACCCAAATGTCCATGAGTGGATGAATGGATAAACGAAATGTAATACATACACACAACAGAATATTATTCAGCCATAAAAAGGAATAAAGTACTGATAGATGCTATGAACCTTGAAAACGTGCTAAATGAAAGCAGACAGACCCAAAGGACTACATGTTATATGATTCCATTTATATAAAATGTCCAAAAAGGCAATCCCTAAAGACAGAAAGTAGATTCGAGGTTGTCTGGGAATGGAGCAAGAAAGGAATAAAGAGTGATTCTAGGTGGTACAGAGGTGTTTTGTTTTTTTTTCCCCGTGGTGATGCAATGTTCTGGAATTAGGGGCGATGGTTGCACAACCTTGTGAATATACTAAAAAGCACTGCATTTTACATTTTAAAATGGTTAAAGTGATGATTCTTATGTTATGCAAATTTTATCTCTGAGTCTACCTGAAAGAAAGTGAATCACCTATGTGAGTGAGAAGACTATCAGGCTGACCTCAGATTTCTACACAGTAACAGTTCCCCCAATTTTTAATTTTGAAAACTCGAATCTACAGAAAAACTGAAAAAAGAGTATAATAAATAACCATATACTCTTCATTGGCCTTATCTACCAGATATGTGTGTGTTTATTGGCCTTTATGTAGTTGTTTGCCCTTTATTTTTTTAAATTTTAAGCTGAATGAAAATATCACTTCACTTCAACTTTGCTTTGACACTTGTTCTCCTTTGAACAAGGGCATTCTCCTACAAACCACAGTATTATCACACCCAAGAAATCTGACGCTGATACAAAAACATTACCTAATTAATATACAGTCCATATTCAAATTTCCCCAATTGTTCCAATAATGTCCGTTATAGTTTTTTTCAAATACATGATCTAGTGAAAGATCATGCATTGCACTTGCACTTAGTTATCAGGCCTCTTTAGTCTCCTTGAGTAAAAAACAGCTACCCTATTTGTCTTTCATTGACATTAACATTTTTTTTGAAAAGCCTTAAAGACAGTTTAGAATACCAATGTTATAACTATGCTCTAATAATATAAACAATAAAAATTGACGGGTGCAATCAAGGGAGATGGGAGAAAGTGTGGGATTGCTAATGTATTCGTCTTTCATAGTAGGCAGTCAACTGTTATTGTCTACAGTTTAAGTATACATAGTTTTTACAAAGATAATGATTCCAGCTCCCTACTATTTTTAATAACAATAAAAAGGTCTTTTAAGAAATATTATTTCTTAGGCCAGGCACAGTGGCTAAAAATTAAAAATTAAAAAATAAAACAAAATAAAAAAAAGTATTATTTCTTAAAGTAAAGAACATTTTACTTAAATAGTTTCTTTTTCAAATTAACTAATTACTTTGTATTTTTATGTTTGTTTGGTTTTCTTTGAGACAGTCTCACTCTGTTGGCCACGCAGGAGTGCACTGGCAGGATCTCGGCTCACTGCAACTTCCGTCTTCCAGGTTCAAGCAATTCTCGTGCCTCAGCCTCCCGAGAAGCTGGGATTACAGCCATGCACCACCAGGCCGGCTAATTTTTGTGCTTTTAGTAGAGACAGGGTCTTACCATGTTGGCCAGGCTGGTCTCGAACCCCTGACCTCAGGTGATCCGCCCACCCCAGCCTCCCAAAAAGCTGGGATTACAGGTGTGAGCCACAGCCTATATTTAAAAAATATACTAATGATAGCTTTTACTCAAATATTTAAATTCTTCTTCAGGAAAAGGTATAATGAAAATCAATGAAACACACCTGATTCATACAACTTTTCTTCCATTGATAGCCCAACTTCTCACAAGTCTCTTTCAGGCATTGATAAGATTTGTCTGCATCCAATTTGGTAAAGAATCGTGTCATTCTTTTGACCAACCGCTGCCAGGGGTTCTACATGTCAAACAGAAGACAAATGAATAAATCCATTAGGACTAAAGACAGTAATATCATAGCTATTTAGTCTGACTTAAAATTATTTTGCATGAAGGCCTCCCTCCTCTCTTTCTTCCTTGACCAAAAAAGAATACATGTGATTTAAAAGTTATATATCTAAGATTTACACATTAAAAAAGGACTTTAAGACAATAAAAAATAAAGAGCTGCCATTACTTTTAAAAAATTAAATTCCCTCACCTGTGAGGATCCTGGGGTGCCAAGTAACTGACTATTCAAAAGCATATGATCAGGACATGTGGGCTGGGAAAAGCTGATCCCTTGTACCAATTTATCAATGTATGAGGGGCTGGTATCCCATAAGGAAAGACCTGTGCGGGGTTCTGGCTGAGAACTGGAGTACTTCACATTTTCTTCACTGAGGCATTAAGACAGAAAGAAACATACATTTAATAAAATAAAATCTATCAGGCCTTTCTTATATCACACACAAGTTCTCATGCTTACAGTATTATGTTAATGTCGATTATTATGAAAAAACACATACATGTATTATTCTTCATGGGGAATACTACAATCAAAAACTACTCAATCTTTATCAGTCTTACCTAGAAGCACTGTTTACTGGAGAGAAGTCCAAATTGGATTGAATGTGCTTAGAAAATCCACTGGGAGACTCTGACACACCACCTGAAGTGACTCGGGGCCTTTTTGCCCCTAAAAAAGAAAACAAATACAAATGCTTTCAAGTCTTCTATGCAAGTATGTTTTTAAATTAACCCAACTGGCAACTTGAAGAAGTAAAACTATGTCTAAATCTATTTATTTAACACAAAATTTTTGTAAGATATAAAACAAAGTCTTCCTATATGATTTTATAAAAAATATGGCCAAGTTATAAAATTACTAAAACTCATTTGTCAAATTAGGTATTTTACAATACCTAAGTATGATCTGTAGACATGTTCAAAGTGTGGAGTATGCTCAGACCACAATCTTTTTTTTTTTCTTTTTTTGAGACGGAGTCTCGCTCTGTCACCCAGGCTGGAGTGCAGTGGCGCGATCTTGGCTCACTACAAGCTCTGTCTCCAGGGTTCACGCCATTCTCCTGCCTCAGCCCCCTGAGTAGCTGGGACTACAGGCACCCGCCACCACGCCCAGCTAATTTTTTTTTTTTTTTTTTTTGTATTTTTAGGAGAGATGGGGTTTCACCATGTTAGCCAGGATGGTGTTGATCTCCTGACCTCGTGATCCACCCGCCTCGGCCTCCCAAAGTGCTGGGATTACAGGCGTGAGCCACTGCGCCCGGCCCAGGCCACAGTCTTAATGGCATCTTTTATGGGTAACAGAACAATGTTCTATGAAGACAACAGACCTGGCTAAAGGACTAGAACTTTTTAAAATAAAAAATAATTTATGATAATAGCAATAAACATTATGAATCTGCTATAGCCAACATTCTTTGATTCCTTGGAAAAGCTTTATAAAGAAGAATATTATATGGAAAATGACGCCACTGTAAATTTATGGTTACAATCCCTAGCTAAACCTCAATATTGCCAGATAATATTTGTTTCTCTAGTTTCCTTTCCTTTTCTCCACAAGGATCATTTCAAAACTACACTTTTCTGTAATTCCCAAGACTACCATCCAGTACCTATACTACCACCTCCCATTTCAGAGAAAAAATAAAGCCATTAGACAGAAACTACATCAACTTATCCCTACCAAAGCTAAGTTATTTGTATTATTATACATCTTTTCATCCCTTCCATTCTCCCATCAAATGTTCATCTCTCTACTTGTGCTCTGGAGCCCATACCCTTCTACCTCCTTAGGGATCTTGATCCTCTGTTATTTATTTCCTTTCTCTTAGACTGTCAGCCTCTTCCTCTCTACAGGATCCGTACCCAAACCACTTAAACATGCTTAAGTTTGTTTCTTTTTAAACATGCTCAAGTTTTTTTTTAAACCTGCTTTTTATTTATTAATCCATTCATTCAGATATTTTATTAGGTCTACTCTGTGCCAGGCATTATTCTAGGTATCAGGTATTCAGCAGTGAGCAAAATAGAAAAAAAACTCTTGACCTTTTAAATCCTACATTCTACTGAGGAGAGACAAAATAACATAAAATAAATACAAATACAGTTAAAAATCAGTAAGCTAAATGGTGGTAAGTACACTGAAGGAAAATAAAATGAAGAAACGTGTTGGATTGCGTATGTCCACAAGAGAGTAAAAATTTTAAAAATTTAAGAAATGTGTTAGAGGGAAGAGGATACCATTTTAAATAGCATGGCCAGGAAAGGCTTATTGGAAAGATGACACTGAAGTCAATATCCAAAGAAAGTAAGAGAATAAGACATGCAAATAAGTCCCATGGGAAAAAGCATTTTCAGACATAGGAACAGTCACTACAAAAACAGTGAGGTAGAAGTGTGCCTAGAGCACTTGGAGAACAATAAGAAGAACAACAATATGACCAAGGGGGAGCAAAGCAGAACTGAGGTTGGAGAGGTAATGTAAGGAACAAAATTGTGTAAGAACTCACAGGTCATGAACTGATTTTAGCTTACACTACACGTGAGAACTAAAGCATTGGAGGATTTGGGTAGAATAGTGATATATTCTAATTCACTTTTAAATCAGAACATTTTGGAAAGATATCATGGTAATTTGGAATGATAGGGTAACAGTAGAGGTAAAAAAAAAAAAGGTAATCAGATTCTAAGATTTTTTTAAAGATAGAGGTTAACAGAATTAGCTGGTGTACTGGATGTGAAGTAAAAGAGAATGAGAAAAATGAAGGATGATTCCAAAGTTTCTGATCTGCATAATAAGAATAATGCAGTTGCCATTAACCAACATGGGAAAGACTTTGAAAAGGAATGGGTTTGAAAGGAAAAGATCAGTAACTCAGTTTGGAATTCATCAAGTGTGAGATGCCTCTTAACATTCAAGTGAAATTTCAGAAGGCAGTTAAGACATGTAAGTTTGGAATTCAGAGGAAAGGTCTAGGTTGATATAAATGTGACTATCAACATATAGTTTTATTTAGAGCCATGAAACCAAGTAATATCACTAATGGAGTGAGTGTGGAGAAGAAAACAAAGGAGATCCATAGATTCAGCCCTGGAGAACTCCAATAGTAGGAGGCTGAGCAGATGAAAAAAAACCATCAAGAGACTGAAAAGAGCGACCAGTGAGAAGGACGAAAATCAGAAGAGTGTAACGCCTGGAAGCCAAATGAAGAAAGTGTTTAAAGGAGGAGGGCATGATCAACTGTATAAAATATTGATGAGATAAAACAAGAGGTCTGAGAACTGACTACAGTAGTACCCCCCTTATCCACAGAGGGATATGTTCAAGTGGATGCCTGAAAGTACAAATGGTACCAAACCCTATATATGTTCTTTCGATCTAATAACCAAAACAGCTACTAAGGGAGTTACAAGCAGGTAGCACATGGAACGTGAATACACTGGAAAAAGGAGTGATTCACATCCCAAGTGAGATGAAGTAGGACAGCACAAGATTTTATTATGCTACTCAGAACAGCACACAATTTAAAACCTATGGCAGGGCATTGTGGCTCATGCCTATAATCCCAGTACTTTGGGAGGCCGGGGTGGGTGGATTGCTTAAGCCCAGCAGTTTGAGAACAGCTGGGATTACAGGCGTGAACCACCACACCTGGCTAATTTTTGTATTTTTGGTAGAAAAGCATAGGCAACATGGCGAAACCTCATCTCTACCAAAAATACAAAAATTAGCCGGGCATAGTGGCTCACACCTGTAGTCCCAGCTACTCGGGAAGCTGAGATGGGAGGATCATTTAAGCTCAGGAGGTAGAGGTTTCAGTAAGTGGAGACCACGCCACTGCACTCCAGTCTGGGCGACAGAGCGAGATCCCGTCTCGAATTAAATAAATAAATAAAACCCATGAATTTCTTTTTTTTTTTTTTTGAGACGGAGTCTCGCTGTTGCCCAGGCTGGAGTGCAGTGGTGCGATCTCGGCTCACTGCAAGCTCCGCCCCCCGGGGTTCACGCCATTCTCTTGCCTCAGCCTCCCGAGTAGCTGGGACTACAGGCGACCGCCACCTCGCCCGGCTAATTTTTTGTATTTTTAGTAGAGACGGGGTGACACCGTGTTAGCCAGGATGGTCTCGATCTCCTGACCTCGTGATCCGCCCGCCTTGGCCTCCCAAAGTGCTGGGATTACAGGCGTGAGCCACCGCGCCCGGCCAAAACCCATGAATTGATGAATTGTTTACTTCTGGTACTTTCCATTTAATCTTTTCAGACCTCGGTTGACCACAGTGGACTATTACATTGAACTTGGCAACACGTTCCAAAAATCACTGTGACTCTTGGCAACAAAATAGATGAAATTGAAAACTAGTTTTGAGGTGTTAGAGATGAGAAGCAATTTTAGGAATATTCAATTGTGAAGAAGATGGAATGGTAGGGAAAAGTGGAGTTAAGAGAAATTTTATTACCATTATGATTTGATTTTAAAATGGGAGAAAAAGCATGTAGATATGCTGATGAGAAAGATCCGGTAGAGAAGGAAAAATTAATAATGTAGGAGAGGGAGAAAAATTGCTAGACAAAGTCATTGAGTGGGTAAGAGAAAGACCTGGCTTACATCCAGAGCAATTTATCTACAGCAATACAGGATGAAAGAGAATACATGAGCATAGAGGCAGTTAGTATGGAGGAGATGGTGGTGGGAGCTTGCCTAAGTTCTCTTGTGGCTTTCATTTCCCAGTGACACAGGAAGCAAAGTGAACAACTGAGAGTGAGGATGGAGAGAAGATAATAAAAGTTAAGGGACCAGACACAGTAGCTCACACCTATAAACCCAGCACTTTGGGAGGCTGAGGCAGGGGGATCACTTGAGGCTAGGAGTTTGAGACCAGCCTGGCCAGCATGGCAAAACCTCTACTAAAAATATAAAAATTAGCCAGGTGTGGTGGTTCACACCTGTAATCCCAGCTACTCGGGTGGCTAAGGCACGAGAATCGAATCGCTTGAACCTGAGAGGCAGAGGTTGAAGTGAGTGGAGATGGCGCCACTGCACTCCAGCCTAGACCCTGTCTCAAAAAAAAAAAAAAAAAAAAGAGAAAAGTATTATAAAAACGTGATTTAGGAGAACAGGACAGAGAAAGATGTGGGGAAACGAAGGCCAAATGCCAGGAAGCATTAAGGGCCCACTTGAGATTAGTAATCCTGAATTTAAAGTGAACATTTTTGGGTATTTTTCTCCTGCTGCAATCTGTTGTGCAGGTACAAGTGTGCAGTACGTAGAAAACTACTAGATTAAACCCAGAAACTACTTACTGGGTTTTACCCACTAAGTATGATGAAGAGAGAAGGGGACAAGGAAATTGAAGATGATGAACGCAAAGCAGTCATTTATAATGACTAACCTAAAGATTTAAGATAGGTAAAGATGAAATCAAGGACCTAGAGAGGGAGCAGGTAAGAGACTGAAGAGATAGAATTAATTAATTGCAAGTCCAGATACAAAGGACTGTTTAAGTTAGAATATTAAGGGAGGAAGTCAGAAAAAATTATACTGGTGATCAGTGCAGCGTGTTCAAAGACAACATCACTATAGGAGAGAGGGTCAAGAAACAGTGAAGTCAGGATATCAGGAGGATGATCCAAATAAATATTTAAATCACCAAGAATCATGACGAAAATAACATCAAGAGTCATTTTGCAGACTGTGATAGTACGGCAGAAATTTTAATTTGGGGTTCAAAAGTTAGAGGGGAGAGACATAAAGGAAGATGGGAGAAAGTGACAATGAAGAATAAGGAGGACACCTGTACCATGTCCAGATCAAAGGACATGAGGGTATGGGAAAGAAAACACCTACCGCTTCAGAGGAAGCAGTGTCCTCAGGGGAGAATTGGACTTTAAGTTAGGACAAGGAGGAAGAAACATGCAGAGAGGTATTAAAGAAGAGTGAATGTTTAAACATTAACTCTTTTCTATCCATGAGGACAGAGTTAAACATTAATAACTCTCTGAATGTTTTTCATTCATCATCTCTAGTCATTGTCCTCTCTCCTTCCATTCACAGCCTAACAGTCCTATCAATACTAGTTCTTAAATTTCTTTGGAATCATCTCATTTCTCCAATACCATTGCCCTAACCTATTCCAAGCCACCAGCCTCCCACTTCTAGACAACTAGCAGAAAAACCTACAGCACCCTGAATCTTTCCCTATTCATAAAAAACAATGGAAAAAAAATAAGGAAGTCAGAGAAATATTTTTAAACCGAAGATATGACTATGTCATAGTCTTGCTTAAAATCTCTCAGAGGTCTCCCCAGTGGTCTTAAGTTAAAGCCCAAAATCCTTAACATGGCTTACAAGGTCTTCTTCCACAAATTGGCCACTAGCGACCTCTCTGGCCTCATCTCAAACCTGTCTTCCTCTCCCACTTCCCTGTTCACTCACTCAACAAATATTTAATGAGTGCCTATGGTGCACCATATACTGTGCTAAAGCACTGATGATACAATGATGAACACAACAGACACGGCTTGTGCCATACTGATCTTTCAAGTTTCTCAAAAGCATCAGACTTTCTAAAATCTAAGATTTTTCAAATACTGCTTCCCCTGTTCAGAATCAAATCTGCCACTTACTTTGCCTGCCTAGCTTCCCTTTAATCTTCAAATCTTAGATTTAATGTAATTTCTTCAGGAAGAAAAGTCTTCCCTGTCCCTTAGACTTGGTCAAACACTTAGCTATAGTACCCTGACTTTCCCCTTTATAATTATTAATAAACAAAATTATTTCTGTATTTTTTTCTACTGGACATTATAATCTCCATGAGGACAGAGATCATAGCTATCATGTGTTGTTGACTTGTGATAATAACTTTGCAATTACCTTTTCTTCCACAGAAAAACAAACAAACTTGTAGTTTAAGGATATTACCTTTCTTGAGGGGTTTGTTGTACCATCTATCTTTTTTGATGTCTGGAATGGTAATTCTTGCTGATGGATTCTCAACTAAGATTTTATGCAGCAGAGCTAAAAACAAACATTACGACAACATTCACGAAAGAATCATGTTAGAGAAGCCTATGGCTTGAGGTAAGAAACACATTTTCTGTTAGCCTACTTATGTCTAAATATTATTCCTGGGGAAGAGAAAGAATTAAAGCTACTAAATTACTGCTTTAATTTCATGCAGTTTTTCTCTGCTGCTGTATCTTGGAGTAGTCTTCCCTGATCTGATTCTCAATTGTTTGCAACTGAGAACAAGAGCCAGATGGAAATGTTTCTCCTCATGTGACGAGATTAACAAAAAGATACAGAAACCCCTCTTATCCATTTTCAATACCGAATTTCATTACTTCAATGTCATGTTCTCACGTGACCTCCTTATTCACACAGTTTTATAATGAACATTTACTTACCAATAACTTTTTAAGAGACAGTAATCTAACTAACCATCCTAAGGTATCTTAATTTTCTTGAGAAAAAATTCACGTATCTTCCTATGTGAAGATTATTTCCTAATGGACCAAAGATTTAAATGGAAAAATGAAGCCATAAAAACACTAAATGAAAACATAGGGAACTTTTAAATAGTAGAGGTAGAAGACCTTTCCAAAGAAATTATAGTCAGGGACCACAAAGGACAAGATAATAGATTTGAATGTCAATATAGCAAAACAAAATGAAAATAAATGATAAATTGTGAAAAGTATTTGTAACAAGTGCAAAGGTCAATGTGTTATCAAGGAAAAAAAAAAGCTTCAAAGTGGTAAGAAAAACAATATCCTTGACAAAAATGAGCAAAATAGACAAAAAACTAATACATACATAAAGGGTATACAACTTCATTAGTATTAAATTTAAAATAAAAATGAAAAACTATTATTTAAAGTTTTTTTCCTTAATGTAAATTGATGAGACTGTGATGAAATGGTTCGAACTTTCGGGAAGCAATTTGACAAAATAAGCCATAATAATAAAAACTACATCCTTGATCCTGCAATTTTGCTTCTGGGGATTTCAATGAACAATTTAAGGGTATGTGTCATGATTAAGTTACACAGATACTTATATCTCTTTTGTATCTGTGAAAATTTAGAAAAATCTCCAACAAAGTGATTAAAAGAGTAAAGTAAGGCATATCCACATGGCAGAATATTATCACAGCCTTTAAACCAACGATGTAGACCTACAATTATAGTCATGGAAGAATGTTCGCTGCGCACTAAAACCAAAAACAGTTACAAAATATTATTAGTGTGATCTCATTTTGTATAAAAACACATATAAATAATATACATATATTCATTTTACATACTTATGGGCCACATTAATGATGTTTCAGTCAGGAATGGACCACACGTATAACAGACAGTCCCATTAGATTATAATACTGTATTTTTACTATACTTTTTCTATACTTAGATACACAAATACCATTATGTTACAATTCCTTACAGTGCTCAGTATAGTAACATGCTGTACAGGTTTGCAGCCTGAGATCAATAGGGTATACCAAATAGCCTAGATTTATAGTAAGCTATACTATCTAGATTTATGTAAATATACTCTATGATGTTCACACAATGATGAAACCACCTAATGAAACATTTGTTAGAGTGCATCCCTATAATTAAGCAACAAACGAGTGTATTTGCAACAAAGTATAGCACATATGAAAACTTTAAGTAAAAAGCCATCTAAGAGCAGATTCAAGTTGCTCTGAATATACACTCCCCAAAATATTTTTAAAAATCTATTGCAGAGTTCTGGGACTAAAGAGTTATTTTTTCCTTAATTTTTTACTTATAGTTACTATTTTATCTACAACGAACATGAATTATTTGTAAGTTTAAAACAAAAAAAAAAGTAAGAAAAAATTCAAATAGCACAAGACTTCATATCCAAGAAATCGGTACTCTTTCACTCAAGATAATTCAGTTACCTAGAGGAGCAGAATCGATTTTTTTCCAAGGGTTGAGGTATGTTTTTTTTTCTTTCCAGTCAGAATACTCCTGACAGCTGTCACTGGGTTGGTCCCATGGCAATTCTAAAAACAAAGCAAGTCCCAGTTTTTTTAAATGTTCTTATTATAAAGATTTCAAGGAAAAATAATAATATAAATCCATGAAAAGTTTCCTTTGAATTAATTCAATATGGTTTTCACACTAAGAATCCCAACTTGGAAACTTTAGAGGCACTTCAAAGATAGATGAATCAGGATAGGCATGGCAGCTCAGGCCTGTAATCACAGCACTTTGGGAGGCTGAGGCAGAAGGACTGCTTGAGCCCAGGAGTTCAAGACCAGCCTGGGCAACATAGTGAGACCCCATCTCTACAAAAAATAAATAAAATTAGCTGGGCGTGATGGTGTGCATCTGTAGTCCTGGCTCCTCAGGAGGCTAAAGTGAGAGGATCACTTGAACCCAAGAGGTCAAGACTGCAGTGAGCCAAGATCACACTGCTGCACTGCAGCCTGGGCGACAGAGCAAGACTTTGTCTCAAAAAAAAAAAAACCAAAAAACAGATGAATCATTTCTTGCCCTAGTCTTGTTTTCACAAATGTTTACATGATACACAGGAGAGATAAGTGTTGTGATATTTAATAACTATGCATGCCTTAGCTTAAAAAATCTTTGGGATTATAAATAAGTTACTATTTGCAATGTGCTAAATATTTGTATCCCCCTCAAAAGTCATGTTGATATCCTAACTCATAATGCAATGGCATTCGGAGGTGGGGCCTTTGAGACGTAATTAGGTCCTGGTGATGGGACCACTCAAAAAATGGTATTAGTGCTCTTATTAAGAGCTTATTAATGTCTAATAAGGGCTTGTGTGCCCGGACAATATTGTATCTTTATAGGGCACTAATTATATAATCCCAGCACTTTGGGAGGCTTAGGTAGGCAGATTACTTGAGCCCAGGAGTTTAAGACCAGCCTACGTAACATGGAGAGACCGTCTGTGAAAAAAAACCCACAACAAATTAGCCAGGTGTGGTGGTGCACGCCTGTAGACCCAGATACTGAGGAGACTGAGGCAGGAGGATCGCTTGAGCCTGGGAGCTCAAGGCTGCAGTGAGCCTTGAATTGTGCCACTGCACTCCAGCCTGGGCAATAGAGTGAGACCCTGTCTCAAAAAAAACCACAAAAAAACAAAAAACAGACACAATATCTCACAACATCTGGTCATTTAACAAAAAACCCAAAAAACAGCACTTTGGGAGGCTGAGGTTGGGGGATCACTTGAGGTCAGGAGTTTGAGACCAGTCTGGCCAACATGGTGAAACCCTGTCTCTACTCAAAATACAAAAATTAGCCGGGTGTGATGATGCATGCCTGTAATCCCAGCTACTTGGGAGCCTGGGACAGAATTGCTAGAACCTGGGAGGCAGAGGTTGCAGTGAGCTGAGATCACATCACTGTACTCCAGCGTGGGTGACAGAGCAAGACTCTGGTCTAAAAAAAAAAAAAAAAACCACAATAGAGCTTGCTTCTGCTCTCTTGGCTGTCCACCATGAGAGAGCACAGCAAGACAGCCATCTGCAAATCAGGAAGAGGGCCCTCACTAAAACATGACCAGGTTGGCACCCCTAATCTCATATTTTCAGCCTCCAGAACTGTGAGAAATAAATTTGCTGTTTATAAGCTATGCAGTCTATGATACTTTGTTACAGCAGTTACCAAACCGATCAAGACACTATTAAAATACTACTATAAAAGCTGGGTACCATGGCTCATGTCTTTACTTTAATCCTAACAGTTTGGAGACCAAGACAGAAGGCTTGCTTGAGACCAGGTGTTTAAGACCAGCCTGGACAACACAGCAAGATCCCATCTCTACAATGAATTTTTAAAACTTAGCCAGATGTCTTGTGGCAGGCACCACTGGTCCTAGCTACTTGGAAGAGTGAGGCCAGAGGATTGCTTGAGCCTAGAAGTTTGAGGCTGCAGTGAGCTATAACAGCTCACTGTACTCCAGTCTGGCCAAGAGTGAGACCCTGTCTCTTAAAAAAGAAAACAAAAACTATTATATAAACATGAATTCCTTGGTTTATTTCATTTATTTCAGTATAACTAATCTGACTTTTTATAGGAGTTTTACCATGATTAAATAGCTCTTACCTCCAGCGAGCATTGCAGTAAGTACTATTCCACAGGACCAAACATCAACTGGTTCTGCATGAAATTCTCTTCTCTTCAGAAGTTCTGGAGCAACATATGGTAAAGTACCACACATCTTGTTCAACAAACGCTCACGATTATTATACCGAAATACTGTTGCCAAGCCAAAGTCTGAGATTTTGAGGTTATCTAAACCAAAAGAAAAAAAGATGACACTGAATAAAAATGTTTTGCAAATAGATATACTTACAGGAATTAAGTTTTACTGAAAAAAAATCACTGGTGTTACTTAAGGTTTGTAGAACTTCTCTTAAAATAAGCAAAATAGACAAAAAGAAATTTAAAAAAATAAAATAAATCATCATCTATGCTAAAAGTAGAAAAAGGCCTCACCTCTTCTATTAACTTAAAAGAAGTATTATCAACACACAGAACAGTCTGGACCAGATTAAAGAAAGAGGCTGGAGTCAGAAGGGGCTGCCCTTCTGGAAAAGAGCACTCTAAACCTGAGATGAAAGTAAAGCAAGGCCCCTCATCAGGTAGGGTGGAGGGCAGGAAGGAAACATCAGTAGTATGTTAGGCACAACTTTCTCAGCAGCAAACAAACCCAGTTGGCAGAAGAAAATATGTGAAGACACACCAAAATTCAACAAACCACAGTAATTTTTTTCTTCAAAGTAGAGAGTCTGAGAAAAAGAGGACAAACTCTGTACAAAAAAAAAATATCAGAAGACCCAACTTCCACCCTAACTTCCCATCTTCAACACACAAAAACTGCAGGCAGGACTTAACTTATGTTTAGTGAATATCTACTGTAACTTAGTGACAGACACTATGCCAGCCAATGCAGGTAATAGATAAATTAGTGAAGACTGACAATAGAAAACTGTTATGAAGGTTATAAAAATATAGAGCACTATAGGATCTTAGAGCAAAGGAATGTAACCCAGTCTTAAGAGTTAGAAAAGGCCCTCTATTATCAGAGGGCAATTTGGCAAAACATACTAAACTGTGAAACATTCACTCTTTGAACTAGCAATTCCCACTTCTATATCCATAGAAATAATCCCACAAATTCATAAACATAAGAATATTCATAGCAATATTATTTGTAAATAAATGTCCAAATTTGTACAATGGAAAATGTGGAGGTAGGTTTTGAAAACAATCAACAAGGTATATCTATACATACTAACATGAAATAGTGTGTAAGTGGGACAAAAAGGCTAATGGCATAAAAAATATTATAGCATAAAAAATATTATAGCATGACGCAATTTTTATATTGGCCTTTTACACAAATTGATAGAAGCCATCACTGTCCTATTTTATAAGTTAGAAACAACTTAAATGTCTCAAAATAGGGGACTGATTTCTTTAAAAATCAAGTACATTCACACAATATGTAAACCAATGAAATGTTTACCTCTATCTGACTTAGGAGGTAGCTACTGTGATTACCCTTTTTTTTTTTTTTTTTTTTTTTTTTTGAGAAAGTGTCTCACTCTGCTGCCCAGACTAGAGTGTAGTGATGTGATCACAGCTTACTGCAGCCTTGACCTCCTAGGCTGAAGTGATCAATCCTCCTGCTTCAGCCTTCCAAGTAGCTGGGACTCCAGGTGTGCACCACCATGTCTAGCTAATTTTTTTTTTTAATTTTTCATAAAGACAGGGTCTATGTTGTCTAGGCTGGTCTCAAACTCCTAGAATCACTCAATCGTCCCACCTCAGCCTCTGGGATTACAGGCATGAGCTACTGCACCCAGTTGATTATCTTTTCAGTAGTTAAATATGACACTATTGGACAAACCACTGAGATTGAGTTTCAAATTACTTATGAGTAGTAATCACTTAAAATACTAATGGATAACTATAGTATTCCTTGGACTTTGTTATGTCTGCAACATAATACTCAGCTATGTTAGAGAACTGCACATAATAAAATTTAAATGTAGGAATGTGTTTAGCTCTTAGAAAAACAAAGGAAGAATATATTTGTGATGAAATAAACAGGAGGACATTAAATACTGGTAACATTTTATTTCTTTTTTTAAAAGACTCCTAAATATTAAATAGAAACAAAGAATTATATCTTGTATATTAATACAAGATATAAAGAATAACAATGTAATAAACACCCACTCACTTTAGAAAAACAATGCTCTATTTCCTTTGAAATCTTTAAATACTTCCTTAAATACATTCCCTCCCCTACTTTCTTAGACCATTCTGAATTTGGTTTTATTATACCCTTGCTTTTCTGCATGTTTTTTTCTCCATGTTTACATACTTGAACAATATACTAGGTTTTACATATTTTTGAACTTTGTATAAACAGAATCAGACCATATGAATTCTTTTGCAACTGTCTCTTTTTGCTCTACATCATTATATACCTGAAATTCATCCATGTCACTGCTTGTGACATGCTTGTGTCACTGCTTGTGACATGGCTTGAAAAGCCATGCATTTCATAATTTATTGTTGACAGACATTTGGGTTAGTTTCCTGCTATATTAAAAACATCACCACTGTGAGCATTCTTATATACGAATAATGTTGTATTTTTAAACCAGGTGGGTTGATATACATATATTTACATTTCATTATAATACATAAGAATTTTTGTGTACCTGAATTTTTAAAGTTTTAAATAAAAATAAAGATTTTTATGTCATATAAACTCAGTTTAAAGGGGTAAAAAGTAAAATCCATATGCACATAAGAAAAAAGCATGTATAGGCTGGGTACAGCGGCTCACACCTATAATCCCAGCACTCTGGGAGGCCAAGGGAGGCAGATCACTTGAGGCCAGGAGCTCGAGACCAGCCTGGCCAATATGACAAAACCCCATCTCTACTAAAAATATAAAAATGAGCCAGGTGTGGTGACTCAGGCTTGTAATCCCAGCTACTCAGGGGCCTAAGGCACAAGAATCACCTGAACCAGAGAGGTAGAGGTTACAGTGAGCCGAGATCATGTCACTACACTCCAGCCTGGGCAACACAGCAAGACTCTGTTTCAAAAAAAAAAAAAAGCTGACCATTTGTTAAGCACTATTCTAATACTAAGAATAAAGCATTAAACCAGACAAAAACTACTGCCTCATACAGCTGACATTTCTTTTTTGATTCTGACCCTGTAAGCTTAAAGCTTTCGCTATCCATCCTTCTCAATTTGATGACATTCAGAAAATATAACTAAATTTCTTACATTTTTATCCACGTCATACATAAAAAAAGAGTGAACAGGACAAGACTAAGGTCCAGGGTATTCCACAGGAACTTCCCTTTATTAATCCATTAAAGGATTATTTTAAACTATTCTTGGCCAGGCATGGTGGCTCACGTCTATAATCCCAACACTCTGGGAGGCTAAGGCTGGTAAACTGCTTGAGTCCAGGAGTTCAAGACTAGCCTGAGCAACACAGGAAGACTCCACCTCTTCAAAAAATCAAAAATTAGCCAGGCATGGTGGCACCTGCCTGTGGTTGGTCCTAGCTACTCGGGAAGCTGAGATGGTAGGATTGCTTGAGCCTAGGAGGTCAAGGCTGCAGTGAACTGTGATAATACAGTGCACCCCAGACTGGACAACACAGTGAGCCTGTATCAAAAAAAAAAAAATTATTCTTATACATATAGTGAGCTAGGCTTGCACCTAGGTCAGATTTCTCTACCTGATCCGCACTTGTATTGCAAAATGAGACTTGTGATTTCCAAATATACGAAGTCTCCAAAATTTCCTTGATTTTTCAGATCTTGTCTTGAAATTCCAGTAATGCAAAAAGACTTGATTTTGCCTTGTATGGCTATATTAAAATAATTAGGTAATTAAAATAATTTAGGTAATTATTTTATTTTATTTTAGGTAGTGATAAAATGCTAAACTTACCCCTTTCATCCAACAGAAGATTTTCTGGTTTAATATCCCTGTGAGTTATTCCAATACCATGCAGATAAACCTAAGAGGGATGCAGAGAGAAACACACTAGAATTTGGTAATGTAATGTATTCACTCTAATTTTAAGTAAAAGGGAAATAGACAACTATACCTACCACCCCTGCCATGAGTTGATGGAAGAATCTCTGAGCATCTGGTTCAGGCATGCCTATGTCTGGCTCTAAAACAAATATGAAAGTAAGTTTATTGACTAAATATAATCAGGTAGCAACCACATAGCTTCTTAATTTGAAGCTTAGACATTTACAAATGTGCTTAGGCAAACAGAAGCAAATGCCAACAAAAGATTCAGGAGTCCACTAACACATATGGGGCTTAACTCACATTTACCTGTGTTAGGTGGCAAAAGGCGTCATCACAGAAAAATTATAAAGAGAAAACCAATATCCAAATCAAGAATGCAAGCCATGACTTCAAAGCCTCTGCTTCCTCTTATACTAACCCTGATTTATTTAGTAACCTTGAAATTCCCCCCATTTCTTCTAAATGCTATGCTAATTATTTTTCTCATTCCTGAAATATAATGCCAAAGGGGAAGTCTGGGCAAATCTAAGCCAATTTCACTAAATATTTTACAGATTATACTTCTTTTATAATTTAACTTTTTTTAGAGATACGGTCTTGTTCTTTCACCCAGGCTGGAGTGCCCTGGCGTGAGATCATAACTTACTGTAACCTGGAACTCTTGAGCTCAAGCAATCCTCCTGCCTCCTAAGTAGCTAGGATTGCAGGCATGTACCACCACACCTGGCTCAGATTTAAACTTCATATAGTCTCACAGTACAAAACCACAAATGCCTGTGAGGTCCTTCGTGAAACAGTTTTATTATGAAAGTTCTTTTATCAGTTATCTTTTTATATTTTGATCTCTCTCATTAACTCCATTTCTTTTACCCTCAACTCTCTCCTGAGTCACACTGGAGATCCTAATACCTCTTTATCAGTTTTTAACTGATAAACTTATTTAATACAATAGCTTTAAATTATAAATTTAAATTATAAATTTAGATCCAGATTTTATGTACTTCTCAGTGTTCTGAAATATCAATCCTTTGATTCTACATCGAATATTTAAGTATTAATAGCAAACATAGAATTTACTTAATATACAAAAAGCAATCCTAGAAAATTCTCAATTATTTCATGTAAACCAAGAGGAAACAGCATGCTATTTTAGATCTGTAAATGTATAAAATGTATACAATGATTTCATGTAACTAGAATGTCTACAAAGAAAAAATTGTGTAGGCAATACATTGCATTTAGGATACACTGCATTTATGATGTACCATAAAACTTGTTTGTCACTCTTAAATTCTGTAAGACACCAATCTTAAATCAAAATCACTTATATAACTTGGGAAAGAAGTTTTCTTTCATTGACTCTATATATGCTTTTATGTTATTAACACCAGGTGGAAAAATTTTTTAAAGATAATGTATTCCAATTTCACAGTTGCATGAGCAATTTTGAAAGGACAACGACCAAATAGCATGCCCAAGATTTAAAAAACAAATTTAAAAACTTGTTTAAAATAATTATCTTAAATTTCTTCCATACCTATTCTGTCAAAAAGCTCTCCTCCACTACAGTACTCCAGAAATAAATATTGGATATTGCCTTCTCTCCTGTGACCATAGAATTTTACTACATTTTCATGATTTAGCATTTTATTGATACAGATCTCTTTCTTAATATTTTCTGGACAGTCTACGGCACGCTTCATATCTACAATCTTCACTGCGACTGCTTCTTCAGTTACTCTATTCACAGCAAGTTGAACTCTAAAAAGGAAAAGAGTTTTAACATTACAGAATTCCATTTCTTCTAAAACTTCCAAAGATTAAACATGACTCATCCAAAACGATTTTACCTCTATTACTTTTTCCACAAAGGAGAAACCAAGGAAGTGGTTTCTGCTATGTTCTCAACACACACTACTCTTTTCTAAAATGTGAAATACAATAGCTAACCCTCCAAAGACGTCATTATGCTGTCACACAAGTCATTTAATAAACGCTTCATAAAATAGATTGAGATAATTCTAAGCCACATCACATATATACATGTTCTACTCATATACTTTTAAGAGCATTAATCCCATACTATATGTGCTTGTGTAACTGACTGTCCTAAGCTCCTATGGGGTAGATGCGATTATTGCCACCCTAAAGGTAGTGAAGGAGAGGTACACAATGACATTAAGAAGCTTGCCTAAGATCACAAAACAATGACCAGTATGTGATAGAGCAAGGATCTGAAACCAGGCAGGCAATCTCCAGAGTCTGCTCATTTGCTCATTAACCGCAATGCTTAAACCCTGAGAAGCAATTTGTGGGCATGGAAACAATAACTTCGTGTCCCTTCCAGCTCTCTACAAAGAAAACTTTTTTTTTTAAAGGGAAGGAAAAAATTTTTAATCCTAGCAAAAGGCTGTGTAACTTCAGTTGCCAAAACCCTTGGATCTCAAACATCTACTTTCTAAATCACCAGAGTGTGAGACTCCAAAACAATGAATATGCACTCAGAAAACGAAGGCAAGCTTAAAAGAACTCACTCTCCATAGGCACCTTCTCCCAGGGTTTGCACCAAGTCCCAGTCTTCCACAAAGGGCACTGCCATGACTCCACCGAGCACCTCGGCTGTAAAAGGCAGGAATCCAGAAAAGATGTAGAGTGTAAGATCACCAGTGAAGCCACTGAGCCCCGCCTCTCCCCAGGATTGCCCACGAAAATTAACAGCTCTTGCCTTCCCCTTCTATCTCATCCACATTTATCCAAGTCTTTCAACCACGAACAACTATTCTAAACCTGACCATTTTGTCGTGTAAATCACAATCGCCACTCCCAAGCACACCGAAGGTTGAAATTCTGCCCTCCTCAGGCCCCAGAGGAAATTAATTGTTGTTATGAAGAGGTGGGAGACAAATGCTTTCCGGCGAACGACTGGGGAAGGAGGAGGGAGAGGTGGGGGTCTGGGGAAGAGAGGAAGAGGATATAGGGAGCGGTATGGGGCAGAAAACGCCTGCGGCAGCGCCTCCTCCCAATTGCTCAATTCCAATTCCCATCCCCATCCACAGCCCCACCCGTCCCAAAGGCCGGGGCGGGGCCAAACTGCCCCCAGAGGCGAAAGGAAGGGCTGGGACTCTTCCTTGGGGTTCTTAGCTAGCAGCGGGTTAGTCCCTCCTGCCCCCGCCCCCACAACGGGAACCTCCTGGTACCATTCCTCCACCCTCCGAAACCGCCCCTCCGCAGGAGTCTCTCCAATCCCCTGCGCTAGTCAATGCTAACTTTCTCCCACCATGCCCTCCCTCACTAATCTAGACCCCGAACTCCTTCTTTAGAAACCTTCCCTACTCTACCGGCCGCCCTTCCTCACCGGACTGTCCTTTGCCCACCACTGCAGGAATCCAAATGCAGCGCTTTTCCCGCCAAAACTTGAGGGCGTCACGCTGCCGCAAACTCGCGCACCCGCGCCGTAAAGCAAGACAGCGCGCGTTCCCGTGTCCTGCCCCTCTGAATGTCGGCGGCTCCAAAAGGGTGACGTGGAGATGTTGCCGCTCCCGCCCAGGGCTGCTTTGCAGTCGGGGAGAGATCCTGGCTGAAGAGATTTAAGGACGGCGGACCGCATCGGCGCGAATTGAGCTCTGGGCCCAAATATGAAGTGGCATCCGGTGTGAGGCTCGACTGGGCGGTGCTCGAGCGCTGCTGGGGGAAGCCCAGGCCTCCAAGCCTCAGGGGCGCGCGACCGACCGCGCTGCGCTTCCAGGCGGGGCTGCGGGCTTCGCTCCTGGCCGCTCTGGGCCTGAAAGGCTGCACCGCCACCTGCGTGAGGCCACCGGACAGGACTGTGAGGATCACAGTCGGTGAAGCAGAGTGCTTTGTAAACCTCAGAGTGCGGTACTCGTGGTGCTGGAGCCGAGAAACCAGCAGCAGCTGCTGAGAGCCGACTGTGAAGAAATGGGAGGAACTCCGTGTTGGGAGCGAGAGGCTTCGAAAGAACTGGCCACGCAGTCAAGTGTGTGTGGCGGGGCAAGTTTCCCGGAGAAAGCGAGCAGTTTATGTTGGAGCTTGAAGTCAGGATAACCAGTTTTGCCTTTTTTCTGTGAACCAGCTCCAAAACAATGCTTTACTTCAGCCCGGTCTTTTTGCAGGAAGACCATCTGCTTAGCTTAGTTCTACAAACTTTTTCATTTTTAATGTGCAAAGAACAGGCGGGGAGAGCCAAAATAAATCTTACAACGCAAATTTAAAAGCTGCGTACGTCATTTAAGTGGAAAAGTAAATTCTGAGGAAAGAGACTCAAGAACAAAATAGGAAAAATGGAAATAAGTATTCTCTGACAGTAAACTAGACTGGAACTCAGGGATAGGCAGGATCATCTCCATTACATTCTCCAGCACTGGCCGGGCGCAGTGGCTCCTGCCTGTAATTCCAGCACTTTGGGAAGGCGAGGCAGGAGAATGGCTTGAGGCCAGGAGTTCAGGACCAGCCTGGGGAACATAGGGAGACCCCATCTCTACAAATAAAAAAATTTAGGAATTAGTCGGGCTTGGTGGTGTGTCCCTGTAGCCCTAGCTACTTGGGAGGCCTAAGCAGAACAATCGTTTGAGTCCAGGAGTTAGAGGTTAGTGAGCACTACTGCACTCCAGCCTGGGCAACAGCATGATTCCGTAGGAAAAAAACATATTTTTTTATATGTATATATTTTATATATATACATATATATTTTCTTAGTCCTTAAGACTGGGCCACATACAAACACTAAGCATAACTGGCTATTATGATAATAGTAAAGTGAAACAAGTATAAAATGTTACTCAAGGCCGGGGCCTGGTGGCTCACACGTGTAATCCCAACACTTTGGGAAGCTGAGGCGTATGGATCACCTGAGGTCAGCAGTTCAAGACCAGCCTGGCCAACATGGTGAAACCCCCGTCTCTACTAAAAATACAAAAATTAGCCGGGCACGATGGCGAGTGCCTGTAATCCCAGCTACCCAGGAGGCAGAGGCTGCAGTGAGCAGAGATTGTGCCACTGCACTCCAGCCTGGGCAACAGAGCAAGACTCCGTCTCAAAAACAAACAACCAACAACAAAAACACACATTTCTTTTAAAGAAGCAAAGTCAGGAACAAAAATCAAGGAAAAAACTCTTAAAATGCTTATGTGTATAGTTTTGAATCATGACATCACAGATTAGGCTTCATGTAATCTTTTTACAGTTTGTTGTTTTTGGAGACAGGGTGTGTTGCTCTGTCACCCAGGCTGGAGTGCAATTGGGCAGTCTTAGCTCACTGCAGCCTGGAACTCCTGAGCTCAAGTGATCCTCCTACCTCAGCATCCCAAGTCACTGGGATTACAGAAGCGAGCCACAGGGCCTGGTATAAAAATAAAAGCAAGTTTTTATATCATTTATCCCATTTTCTCTTGTTTCCTCACTGTGTGCTGAAAACAAAGAATACGAAGAGGAAGACCTGCAAATTTCCTGTGTGTCTGATGGAGTCTTTTTAGCCTGAAAAAAAAAAAAAAAAAGATATACAGACTCCAGCAGAATACCAGTTAAAGACAGAATACATAGAAATAGCCTCTATTCTCTTCTGAAAGCCCACTAAAATATTTTAATAGTAAAGGATACCAATATTTAAAAGAACCCATAAGAACAGAGTATGAGACACATTTTGGAAAGCAGAAAGCCTTTAGATGAAAGGTAATGAAGATGAATCCCAAAGCTAGCAATGGAAAGCAGAATTAACATCACAGAACTCTGAAAAAGCTCAAGTTGAACTGGTGACACCAGGTAACTGAAGGTGGAGGTAAAAATGGGGCTAAAAGGGGTAGGTTTAAAGGCTACATAAAAAACAAATAGATCCCCGTATCCCTTCCCTTTCTATGTAACCAAGGAACTGTCCCTCCCCAAAGCTGGTACGAGATTTAAGAGGGTAAATGCACAGTATGTGAACTGGAGACCATTAGGCACAGTTAAAAGCTTGGGCACCTTACTGAAAACGGAGGGATTAAGTTTAAGTTTTATCCACTGAAGGTTGAGCCTGTTACAACTTCTTTCCCTACTCTACTCCCAGAAAGCTGACTGCCTGGCTTACATCCTTGAGTAAGAGAATATGCAAGCCTTCTCAAGGGAATCTTACCTATGCAAAAGATAAAAATCTAAAAATCAGTATCATGGATTTCCCAATGTAACAGCCCAGCCAGATCACAGTAGATTGAAACCCACATTATTAATCCCCATCTACACCCCCTACAAACAGACCTTTCAATCAGCTTTTTTGGGTCCCACTCTTTTTTTTTTTTTTTTTTTTTTTTGAGACAGTCTTGCTCTGTCTCCCAGGTTGGAGTGCAGTGGCATGATGTCTGCTCACTGCAACCTCCACCTCCTGGGCAATTCTCATGCCTCAGCCTCCCCAGTAGCTGAGATTACAGGGTGTGTACCCCACACCCAGCTAATTTTTGTATTTTTAGTAGAGACAGAGTTTTCCCACGTTGCCAGGCCGGTCTCAAACTCCTGGCCTCAAGTGATCTGCCTGCCTCGGCCTCCCAAAGTGCTGGGATTACAGGCATGATCCACTGCGCCCTGCCTAGGGTCCCACTCTTAAAGAGGAGCAGACTAGCAAGAATTTGAGAAAGTCTTTAATATGAAAGACATCAAAACTATGCTTAGTGTTCATTAGCCATGTTGCCCAGGCTGGTCTTGAACTCCTGGGCTCAAGTGATCCGCATGCTTCAGCCTCCCAAAGTGCTGGGATTACAGGCATGAGCCACTGCACCTGGCCTAGATTTGAGTTTTTTATGCTAAGTACACAATAACAGTGAAAATGAAGAGTACACTTTTTAAAAAGATAGCTTCATGTAGCCTAGAAAGTAACAAAATTAAGATCCTCAGAGCAACAACTGTAGCGACAAGTTAAAAGTTATCCTATGTATAGTATAAAGGAAGATCATTAATAATTTCTAACTGGTATTAATCATATTGATAAATAATTCAGAATAACCTCTTCCACTAAAGATTCTTTATAGAAATCAAGTAATGTACTTACATATAGTAAATCAAATCTTGAGGCTAAATCTCACCCACAGTTGAAGAACATGGTATATAAATTGGTTTGGAAGGCTAAGTGCCCTGGCTATACAAATATACAACAGCATATCCCTTAGGAGCACCACTATGACTAATCTAAAAGTTATGCAATTCCTCCTGTTCCCTTAAATGGATAACACTAAACAGTTAGCTTTTATTAACGCCTTAGGGTTTATATACATCAGTGATATATTCATAGGCTCTTTGTCCTGATATTAAATGTCCTCAAGGACCACTGTGCTTCCCAGTTAAATTGTTTTTGTTTAGACAAGATTTCACTGTCGCCCAGACTGGAGTACAGTGGCACAATCACAGTTCACTGTAGCCTCAACCTCCCAGGCCCAAGTGATCCTCCAATCTCATCTTCCCGAGTAGCTGGGACTACAGGTGTACACCACCATACCTGGCTAATTTTTATTTTTCATAGAAACAATCTCCTTATGTTGCCCAGGCTTAAAACTTTTTAAGAAGTTTCTCCTCTTTTCTTGCAGGCAGGCTGGCACTGCTCTCTAGGGACCTGTTACTGGCAATGCTTCCCCTTTTAATTTGTATCTTATTTGGAAAGAGCTTCAAAATTAGGTAGTTGAACTTGGTAACAATATACAACAGCAACACATAGGCTAAGACTAAGGGAAAAAGAAGCTCACCTTTGAACAACCACAAGAGTTTTGAGTAAAGGGTCATTCCTGTGTCATGAATAAGTGAGAGTACTGAAAAGCTCCATTTCAAATTGATATGTATGATTATATTTAAGCTGATTCAAAAACACCTACTGACCATCAAGCTCTATATGTAATGCTGGAAGAGTTTCTTCCTCTCCATTGATAAACCAATAATTTCACTGTTTGTCTTGAGTCTTCAAAACTGCTGATTTATAAAGTCAAAGAGCGTCTAAGGATAAAAGACATTGAGAACAGAGACATAGTAGCCCAGAAAGGCACTCTTCTAGCACTCTTCTGGTCCCACATTTATTCATTCAATAAAAATTTATTGAGCCACGCTGTTTCCAAGGAATTGTACTAGGTGCTGCAATGCAAAGGGTTATGACAAAACTGTCTGTAAATGTAGGATCTGAATTGGTCTTTGATAGTTTTCCTGATTTGAGAAAGAAGTCTCTATTTGGCTAATTTAGGGAGCTAAGAGAATGGACAAGGTCTGCTTATGTCCTTCTGGCAGCCTAGCATAGCTTTTGCCTCCCTCAAATCAGTTATAAGTCAAAACAAATAAGGCACATTTTTTAAAAAAATTCCCCCCTTTAATTGACCAAAGTAAAGCCATGACATTTCATTTGGTAACCTGTTTAGAATTATAAAAATCATTTCATTTGGCCCAGCCCATACTGCCCAAGACAAAACTTCCAGACAATTCTGATGCCATCCAGTTTTGTTCTTACAAACTGCATATTAAAAAAAAAAAAAAAAAAAAATCTTCAACGTCCTAAATGTGATGTGCTCAGTGCGAAGCATATCAGAGCTGGACGTGACATTTATGTCCTTGACAAGCCTCGATTATCCAGGTCCTTTACCTGCAACATAAAGATGTCAGTTTAATATTTACAATCAGATCAACTTTGGAGAAATTTTCTACTAAAATGGATTCACCCAGAGTGGGCAGGATTATGTTGGGTTCTGCAGCCTGGTTTAGGGCTGTGAATACACAAGCACTGACTAGAGACTAGATTCTCTCTGCTTAGCCTTTTGGAATACCTCTGTGAGGACCAATATTACTGATCTACCCTCCACATAGATCAAGGGTTCTCAATCTTTTCTTATATGAGAGATATACTCCTATGTGGTTCTATATGACTCTATATACCTTAAGTTCTTCAGAGAGAGAAGAAAATGTAGCTAAATATAAACATGTGAACTTTTTCTCTATTTCCTGCACTCTCCCCACCCGTGAGCCTGATAATCACAGAAACTGGTTTAGTCAAGCCCCAGCTGGAAAAGTATCACTGCAACAACCGCCAAAATGATGGCAGACTGGGATCATCTACTCTCTAAGAACAATCTAAAATAAGTAAAATTTTCAGTGAGTTTGCAAGCTACTTTTCAAGCACAGGTGTCATGAGAAATTTCCCTATTTGAGAAATATATGTCCCATTTTATAAGCATTGAAACCAATCTCCAAAAATAAAAGTTGCTTTCTGAGACGTATAGCATCTGCTTACCTTGTATATCCTGACCAGCCAATGTTCTGTGGTATATGCTTCCTCCAGGACATCAAGCTCAAAGTCTTTATTCCCAATCTCAGCATTTCGGACACGGTCAAAGCCTGGAGGACGCTCTAGAGAGGGATGAAAAAGAACACACTTCTTTCTACAGTGCTAATTTCCTAGAGAGACAGTATATGGATTCAGGAAACCATCTACTAATTGATGATTATTCCTCAGCCTGCAATTTGTTGAGAGTAGAGCCTGCAAAAAAGGGCATGAGGTAGTAAGGGCAAATCAAGTGTTACCCTAGCTTAAGTTCTATGCAAGATGATGCTTGCCAGTCAATGTCTTATCTCTGATAAGACAGACATAGGGAGCCGACTTCCAAGGCCCTCTATTCCTGAGGATTGTCATTTAGAGCCTCTAATACACTAGCAACCCTTGCATGGATCAGAGAAAAAAGCCTACCAGAAGTCAAAGACCTGCATTCATGTCAGAAATTCTCCCTAGTACAGAATCAAGAAATTGAAGTCAGAAGGAGAGACTTAACCTAATCAAATAACTCTCAATGTAGTCATCAGAAGATACGAAAAGTCACTTTCTTTCCCTTTTGTTCCTGTCTTCACTGTAATACCCTTAAGGACAATAAAAAGTAACGGTCAAAAGCACAGAATTTGGAGCCACTCTTTGTCAGTTTGAATCCTGACTCTGCCATTAGTTATGTGACACTAGGCAGTTAAATAACCTATTTGTACCTCAATTTCCTCATATATAAAATAACAGGCTGGGTGCGGTGGCTCATGCCTGTAATCCCAGCACTTTGGGAGGCCGAGGTGGGTGGATTACTTGAGGTCAGGAGTTCGAGACCAGCCTGGCCAACATAGTGAAACAATGTCTCTACTAAAAATACAAAAAAAAAAAAAAATTAGCTGGGGATGGTAGAGCACACCTGTAATTCTAGCTACTCGGGAGGCTGAGGCAGGAGAATCGCTTGAACCGGGGAGGTGGAGGTTGCAGTGAGCCAAGATCGTGCCACTGCACTCCAGCCTGGGTAACAGAACAAGACTTCATCTCAAAAAACAAAACAAAACAAAACAAAAATAACAATAGCTAGGTGCAGTAGCTCAGGTCTGTAATCCCAGTACTTCAGGAGGCCATGACAAGAAGATTGCTTGAGCTCAGGAGTTCCAGACCAGCCCAGACAACATAGTGAGACCTCATCTCTACAAAAAGTTTTAAAAACAGCCAGGCATTGTGGTGTGCACCTTAGTCCCAGCTACTCAAGAGGCTGAAGCAGGAGGACTCCTTCAGCCCAGGAAATCAAGGCTGCAGTGAGCCATGATTGTACCACTGCACTCCAGCCTGGGTGTCAGAGCAAAAACCCTGTCTCAAAAAAATATGCAAACAACAAAAATAAAGGTAATATGACAATAATATCAGTATATGCCTTTGGGGTTGCTGTGAGGATTAAATGAGTTAACAGACACAAAGCACTTACTAGTGCTTGGCATATGGAAAATACTGTGTATTAGTAATCACTATTATTACTACTGTTATTAATATTATTATGAGTCACTCACTGGCTTCTGTGTAAACCTGTCCAAAGCGATAGTAACACATCTTGTACATGAGGCAGTTGAGCAGCACTGGAGAACCTTCACGGTCCACACGGAACTCCCCAGTTGGAGTATAATAGTCATTCTCCTTGATATGTTTGCCTGTATCTGTGCTCCCTCCAATCCGGACCATCCAAAGAAACTTGTTGATATCTAGGAGAAAAAAAAAAAAAGAACTGCTGCATCACAAAAGTTGCTGGAGTTAAAGCAGGTTAGTATTTCTAAGAAAATTCCTCAACATTTTTTTAATGGGGATTGGTATCATTTAACTCTAATTTGTAAAAATAGTGAGGACAACATACGGGCAAAGCATTTTTCGTCAAAATATACAACTTTTCTGAGAAATTATTATA
The DNA here is from genome assembly GCF_000001405.40 of Homo sapiens. Classification (NCBI taxonomy): domain Eukaryota; kingdom Metazoa; phylum Chordata; class Mammalia; order Primates; family Hominidae; genus Homo; species Homo sapiens. The sequence continues at coordinate 125,618,172 of NC_000011.10, read as the reverse complement.
CTCCTGAAATCCTACGCTACTAGTCCAGACTTAAGCCACAACTGAGATTGGTCCTATAGATTAGCTAGGGCTAGGCTATCAAATATAGCAGCAATTAGCTACATATAGCTGCTGAGCAGCTGAAATGTGGCTAGTCCAAATTAAGATGTACTGTAAGTATAAAATACACACTAGGTAAGTATGAAATACACATTAGATTTTGAAAAGTTAGTAAAAAAAACAAACCCCAAAAGGGGGTATACTGGTTACATGTTAAATTAAATAATAATGTTTTGATATGACTATTCAGTTAAAATTATTAAAATTACTTTCACCTGTTTCTTTATACTTAGTTTGATGTGACTAATATAAAGCTTAAAATGATAATGTGGTTCCCATTATTTCTATTAGACAGTGGGCACGACTGATCTAAAGAGTAGTAGCTTTACCAAAAAGGTAGACAAGACATGAGTCTTCTCATTCTTGACCAACAGCTGCAAAATTATAGACCTCCAAAGCAGGTATATGAGAAGTCAACATTTCTGTGTCAAACACACTCCCATGCTTAATAAATATTGACACTATCATCAACTCATGATATCTCTTTTAGGGTTCATCATTTACTGTATTGCTTGCACAGGCTTTAGGGAAATCAGTTGCTACATGTTTCACTGGATGGTTAGTATTAAAAATATTTCTAATGCATAAAAAAAGATAAGATTCCTATTGCACTACTGCAAAGAGTTCGAGGGGATATCACGGTGGTTAAGAACAGACTCTGGATCCAAACTGCCTAAGTTTGAATTCCAGCACTGCCAATTCTAGCTGGGTGACCTTGGGCAAGTTATTTAACCTCTCTGTGCTTCAGTTTTCTCATCTGTCAAATTAGAAAAATAAGAGTATCTACAACAATAGGGCTGTTATTATGAGTAACAACATGTAAAGCATTTAGTAAGTTGTTTGTCACATGGTAAACATCCAATGAATAATATTACTATCTTCGTTCAGTGTCTGCATTCTTATCTTCATATTACAAATGGAGAAACTGAGGCACAGAGACTTGCCTAGATCATAGCGCCAGAAACAGGAACAAAAATAAACCCCCAGAACATCAGCTCGGCTATGATAGAACAATAGTATTGTAGCTGCCTGGCAGGTATGTCTGAAGCAAAAACCTCATAAGCTCTATGAATGGAAGAGTGAAAATAATAGGAATGGCTGGGTGTGATGGCTCACACCTATAATCCTAGCATTTTGGGAGGCTGAGATGGGCGGATCACTTGAGCACAGGAGTTCAAGAACAGCCTGGGCAATGTGGCGAAACCCAATCTCTACAAAAAGTATAAAAATTGGCCGGGCATGGTGGTGTGTGCCTGTAGTCCCAGCTACTCAGGAGGCTGAGGTGGGAAGATCACTTGAGCATGGGAAGCAGAGGCTGCAGTGAGCAGACATCGTGCCACTGAACTCCAGCCTGGGTGACAAAGTGAAACTCTGTCTCAAAAACAATAATGATGATGATGATAGGAACTGCATCAAGGAGAGCCCATTGTTCAAAAGATATGGTTGTCTACAAAAAAAGAAGCTGGGCCAGGCCCAACTTTTTTTATTTTTATTATGCCTCTCAAATGTTACAGAACTCCTATTAGTAAAGCCCAATGAATAATTTGACCTTGAAAAATAAATTCAGTGTAACAAATTAACCAAAACAGTTGGCCTTCCATATCTGTGGGTTTGACATCCATAAATTCAACAAACCTCTAATCAAAAATATTCACAAAACAAAAAAACAGATGACTGCATCTGTAATGAAGATGGATAGACTTTTTTCTTGTCATTGTTACCTAAACAATACAGTATTAACAACCATTTACCTAGTATTAGGGATTAGTATTATCATCTAGAGATGATTTAAAGTATATAAGAGAATGTGTGTATATTATATACAAATACTAAACCATTTTATATAAGGGACCTGAGCATCCACAAATTCTGGTATCCTGGTGAGGGGTGAGGATAGGGGTGGGGGTGTCCTGGAAACAATCCTCCATGGATACAGAGGGACAACTACACTATCTTCTTTTATGATCTTCACATACATGTTTTCATGGATCTAGACAGTAACAGTGTTTTGCATTTTTCTTTTTTCTTTTTTTTTGAGATGGAGTCTCGCTCTGTCACCCAGGCTGGGGTGCAGTGGCGCAATCTCAACTCACTGCAACCTCTGCTGCCTGGGTTCAAGTGATTATCTGGCCTCAGCCTCCCAAGTAGCTGAGATTACAAGTATGTGCCACCACATGTGGCTAATTTTTGTATTTTTTTAGTAGAGACGGGGTTTCATCATGTTGGGCAGGCTGGTCTCAAACTCCTGACCTCAAGAGTCTTCCCAAAGTGCTCAGATTACAGGCATGAGCCATCGCACCCGGCCTCTGCATTGTTTTTTAATGGTTATCGTATTATCTTCTTTAAAAAATAAAAAGTCTAACTTATATATCCCCTCCCACCAGAATATCAAAATTCACAAATGCTCAAGTCCCTTATATAAAATGGTATAGTATTTGTATATAACCTATGCACATCTGTCTATATACTTTAAATCATGTCTAGATTACCTATAATACTTAATACAGTGTAGATGCTATGTAAATAGTTGTTATACTGTATTTTTTATTTGTATGATTTTTATTGTTGTATTATGATTTTTTTTCACAAATATTTTCCATTTGTGGTTGGTTGAACCCACAGATGCAGAACCCACGGATATGGAGGGGAAACTGTATACACAGTATTTAGAAATATGCATGTAAGTACTAGAAGAAATAGCTGCAGGAATCATTGCTTCTGGGGACTGATGTTAAGGGGGCTTAGATTTTTGGGCAGTGAACTATCACTTTTTATTATAAACCTTCAGAACTGTTTAACTTTTTTTTTTGAAACAGTTTCACTCTGCTGCCCAGACTGGAGTCCAATGGCGCAATGTCAGCCCACTGCAACCTCTCCCTCCCGAGTTCAAGCGATTCTCCTGCCTCAGCCTCCTGAGTAGCTAAGACTACAGGCATGTGCCACTACGCCTGGCTAATTTTTGTAGAGACAAGGTTTCACTATGTTGCCCAGGCTGGTCATGAACTCCTGACCTCAAGTGATCCGCCCGCCTTGGCCTCCCAAAGTGCTGGGATTACAGGTGTGAGCCACCACACCCGGCTGTGAACTGCTTAACTTTTTAAAGTGTAAACAGGCATTACATTAACTTTTAAGGCAGATAACTATATTTGGATGTTTCTTCTAAAAATCTTTGTGCCAATAATCATAGGGCACATGGTAACCTCCATTTTACACACACTTTTATTTATATATATTTTATATATATATAAAATGTTCTCTTTTTTTACACGCTGTCAGGCCATATAAAACATTTCTAAGCTGGTCAATGATTATATGGCTTAAAACCACTAAAAAAATGCTAATTCTTAAGTTCATTGTCATGAGCCTTATATTCAGCTTGGTTTTATTACTGGTTGTGGAACTACTTCTATGCCTTAGACAATCATATAGCATGCTGTACCTACACAAGAATTGTTTACATTTATGTCCTCTTGTTACAAAAAGAAAAAAATCAAAATACCCAAACCTCAAGTTGCAAATACTTAGGAACTTCCCATGAAAGAAAAATATCTTAGTAAAATATTAGTAAAAGTACAGAAAACTAGGATATTCATCTAGTTTTCTTAGAATCTATGTCCTGCAGCTAGAAACAGAATCAAGTATATTACCATCAGAGGAATACCCAGTGAGGCCTCCAAAAATGACCAGCACATAGCTGACATCGAGCTCCCTCATGATCTCATAGGCTTTTTCCTCTGTGGACGCCATTGCCTGGAAAAACAAATGTACAATTCTCAGAGCAAAATCCCAAGTCATATGATCCCCTCATGCAGACACATTTCCCATTAGACCTTGTACACCAAACACTCAAAGATCATCCCTTTATCTTACCTGCCCTACTCGAGAAATATGGGTATTATTCCATGTGTTATTGTCCACTAAAATTGTTCGGTTTGCCATAGCTGTAATCTGATAGCCATAATCCCACCAGGACATGACCTTCGCATCCTGAAAGTAGAATGGGAAATGGAAATAACAAGCTTCTCACTGTCTCTAAAAATCAAATGCAACAGAGAAGGCATCTTTGGTCTGACAGAAGTGACACCTGGCTAACTAATCAATTTCTTCACAAAGTAATGCATGTCAAACCAGAAAATAAATCCTGGCACCTGGTCTTCCATTTATATACAATTATAAAATCTCAGCACAAATAACAAACCAACATTCCCAACACTTCATCCCAGGTCACTTTATACTAACATAATGGGGTGGGAGGTGTGGGAGACTGTGCAATGTAGCCACATCAATAGCCTAGTGTCATTAGACAATTTTCTTAAATAACCTTTTAACAGAATTGCAAAAATCACTTACTATAAAGATGGGGTGGAAACTCAAATCACATGATACGATGGACAAGAATTAAGAGACTCTTAAAAGTTTTTATTCCTAACAAATTGTCTCAGAAATGATATTCCTAATAGTTATTGTAAAGGAAATCACTTCAGATTCTCAAAAGATATAAATTAAAATGTTAAAAGCAGTTATCATAAGGTGATCACTTTACACAAGATTTATATCTTTCTTCTTGATTCAATTTTCTGATTTTTCTAAAGTGAACATGTATTATTTATCTATAACTTTTTTCTTCTTTTATAACTGGGATGTTCTACCTCATGTTAAAATCATCATATCAATAAAAGTGTGCATGCAAAGTCTAGATAATTACTAGTAAGAGTAACTACAAAAGATCCCAGAATTGAATGGAGGTTCACCTTTAAGGCTCATTCAAGACTAGAGTTGCAAAGTTCCAGTTTCACCCAGCTTTCCACCCATCTAAAAGCTGTATGATTCACTGTAACATCAAATGTCTTCCCCTTTGCCCCTAACCCACAATTCCCACCCCTCCCAAATCTTCACCTCTGGAGTATTATGACGAAGCCAATAATATGCTTCTCGGAAGTCATCAAATATGATCCTACTGCCATCCCCACCACGGGCAGATAGTACAATGGACGGAGAAGAGTAGGCCTCACTGGTCACCCAGGTTGAATGAAAGGTGTAGGTGATGAGAAAGAAAGCCATGACCAGTATCATCCCACTTGCCACCTAAACAAGGAAAAAGAATTAATTGTGTAGTTAACCAAACTAAATTCACACAACACAGGACAACTTCTTAGACACATTCATATAGATGAGATTGATCAAAATAAGTCAGAGGCTATATGAGTTAATTCTGACCACCTAGGACAGTGCTCTACTTTACTCCTCCCACCCCCCGCTGCCCACATACACACATACACACACACACACAGAGTTTCCCAAGTCTACTCTTAACATTGCTTCTCACTTCATTCTTAATAGGGTAGGTGGAATCCTGTTGCTTCTTGCTCTTCTTGTCTGGACGACTTATGTCCAGATTCTTCATGTATGTGGACAGCACCTGGGAGACTCCAATGCCAGAGAGAATGCACATAACAGGTGCCAACACTAGCATTAGACGCACCTAACAGAGACAGGAAGCATGATCAGTCTAATCAGTGTTCCACAATTTACAGATTTCAGCCTATTAGTAGATCAAGACATCAATTTAGGGGTTTTCATCAAACATGACCTCCACAAAAAGTGAAAGAGAAAATACTTGAAACAGTTGCAGTATTAGTATGTATTTCTTAAACTTTGTTTCAATTATATGCATGTACATATGCATGTGTGTCTTGAATAATGATATAAAGTATATTTCATAACTGTGGTTTGAGACCAAAAAAATATGAGAAACACTATTTTACTACAATATATAAAATCTCTCCTCTCTTTTTTCTTGTCATTGTTCCCTAAACAATACAGTATTAACAACCATTTACCTAGTATTAGTTATTAGTATTACAATCTAGAGATGATTTAAAGTATATAAGAGAATGTGTGTATTCTCAGTGGCTCACGCCTGTAATCCCAGCACTTTGGGAGGCCAAGGCGGGTGGATCACCTGAGGTCGGGAGTTCAAGATCAGCCTGACGAACATGGAAAACCCCATCTCTACTAAAAATACAAAATTAGCTGGGTATGGTGGTGCATGCCAGTAATCCCAGCTATTTGGGAGGCTGAGGCAGGAGAATCGCTTGAACCCAGCAGGCGGCAGTTGTGGTGAGCCGGGACCACGCCACTGCTCTCCAGCCTGGGCAACAAGAGTGAAACTCTGTCTCAAAAAAAAAAAAAAAAAAAAAAAAAAAAAAATTCAAATCCCTCCTCTAACAATCTAGCACTGGGTAATACTCCCAAGCCTTCAAGAAAAAAATATCATCTCCCGTTTTAAGACACCCAGGGTCATATTATCCAACAAAGTGCAAAAATGCTTCTATAATACAAAGTTACGAATCCAAGAAAGTTGGACCCCACAACCAGAATGTATGAGTGTCCCATACGTTCCTGGAAAGGATCAACAACTTACAACTCATTCCCTCAAATGCTCAGAGGGAAGCATGTGCACAATCATCAGTACTTTCTGAATTCTGCCAGACAGATAAAAAAGCACCTCAGAGTTAGAGTGAAAAAGTCTACCAGACTGAGGGCATCCTCACCATTACAGCTGAAAAGTACATGCTGGTCACACCATACATGATGATAAAAATCCGGGCATCAGACAGGTTGCTAAAGCAGTAATAGAGGCCAACTACAAAAGAGGGAAGGAGAAATAAGCAGCTGAGTCCTGTAGGTTGAAACCTACAAGGTAAAGTATCTTCATTATATGACTGGATGATTCCACACATTTAACCCAGCAATTCCACTTCCAGGAATTTATCCTAAAAAAACAATCATAGAAACATGCAAAGATGTTTACTACAGCACACTTTAAAGTAGCAAAAAAATCAGAAACAACCCAAATGTCCAAAAACAAGGAGCTAATTATACTATATTTATAAAATGGAATATATTAAAATATTGCTGCATGAGATTATGTACTACTTGCCTTCTTACACATCTTGACACATCTCTGTACTTTAAAAAACTAATAAATGATACATTTTAAGTATTTCTATAAAATAATACTAAGTAACAGAGAAATTTGATTCTTTATGAAGTGAAAAAAATCAGGGAAAAAACTATGATCTCATTCTTATTTGATAAATATACATCAAAATGTTAACAGTGGCTAGAGATGGGTAGTGAGAACTCCTGAATATGTACCTTTTTTGAGATGGGGGTCTTGCTGTATAACCGAGGCTGGTCTCAAACTCCCGGGCTCAAGTAATCCTTCCACCTCAGCCTTCCAAGTAGCTGGGACTAAAGGTGCACACTACCATGCCCAGCTAATTTTATTTATTTTATATGTGTGTATGTGTGTGTGTGTGGGTATGGGTGTGTGTGGGTATGGGTGTGTGCGCGCATTATTATTATTATTTTTTTTTAAGTAGAGACAGGGGTCTCACTATATTGCCCAGCCTGGTCTTGAACTCCTCGCCTCAAGCAATCCTCCCACCTCATCCTTCCAAAGTGCTGGCATTACTGATGTGAACTACAATTCCAGGCCTGTTGTTGTTTTTTTTAAGACGTGGGTCCCACTGTGTTGCCCAGGTTGATCTCAAATTCCTGACCTTAAGTGATCTTCTCACCTCAGCCTCCTAACTGGCTAGGATTATAGGCATGAGCCATTGTGCCCAGCATCTTTTTCTATTTATTTACATATATTTTTACAATACACAAATTACTTTCACAGTAAGAAAAAAGTAAAAGTTGGCCAGGCACAGTGGCTCACGCCTGTAATCCCAGCACTATGGGAGGCCAAGGTGAGCAGACTGCTTGAGCCCATGAGTTCAAGACCAGCCTGGGCAACATGGCAAAACCCCATCTCTACAAAAAAAATACAAAAATTAGCTGGGCATGGTGGTGTGCACCTGTAGTCCCAGCTACTCAGGAGGGTGAGGTGGAAGGATGGCTTGAGCCCAGGAGGCAGAGGCCGCAGTAAGCTGAGATTGTACCACTGCCCTGAAGCCTAGGCAACAGAGCAAGACTCTATCTCAAAAAAAAAAAAAAAAAAAAAAAGGTAAAAGTTATTTTTTAAGAGAAAAAGACCACTAACACCGGTAAATTCTAAAACACATCTGGATTGGCCAGAAGATAAGAGATTGATGAGGCTTTACAATCAGCAGTACTCATTATGGGACTTCAATACTTCCAAGAGGAAAAACAAGGGTAAAGGGGAAGGAGTACGACAGAAGTACTCAAACAAAACAAAACAAAACCGGAGTAAAAATTACCGTTAAATTTTAACTTATAACACAAATGACAAATGAACAGAAAACTGTGAGGCTGAACTTGCCAATATCTACAACTGTTGAACTTCTGACTTCTGCTCAGCTTCATACATGAGAAAATTTGCTTAGCCGTCCTCTGTATTACACAACATAAACAGGCAAAGAAAAACAAAACACGAATGAGGGTAGCTTGCAAATTTGGAATCAAATTGTGATTCTTATGAACAAGGCCATTTCAGAACACGAGGCCACATACCTGGAAACATGAAGACGAGGAGCTGCAGGTCAAAATAGTATGAGGACCAGGTTGTGGGCTGATGCTCAGACACAGAAGCAATGATGGGGATGTTGTTCTTAGCATAAGAGGGATCCAGCAGCGAGTAGAAACGCCCCGTCCAGGGAGATATTTTTCCTAGCAGCAAAGAGGCAATAAATATTCCACACACACTCTTCAAACAAACATCTGATCCAAATGAATCACAACTTCCCATTTTAATAAGATTCTCAGTGACAGAGAAGGATTAGGTTTTTGCTTAATTGCCACCAATACTTAGAGAGTTTCACTCCTTCCTTTCTTTCAAACCTGAGAGTACTTTTGTCAGCACTGCCAGCAGAATAAAGCCAGGCTGTATATAAACTTGGAGAGAAGAACAGAGGCAGAAATGCTACCTGAAAGGGTTTTAGGCCAAATTTGGTCAAACCAAGGCCAACTGTAGAGATTAAATCAACTATATCCTCAAGTCCTGCTCTGAATTAGTCAATAGATAGACTTGAGCAAAATCAAATTCATCTCTGAGAAAGCAAAGTAGAGAAAAAGAAGGAAAATTTGGCTTTCCAACCAACTAAACAGCTATGATTTAGTTTCCATGGGATTAGATGAGTGCCACTTTGGAGGGTATGGTAAGCAATATAATGACTTCTCCCACCCAATCAATAGGAAAGAAAAAAAAAGAAAGAAAAAGGAGAAAGATTCGCAAGGTAAGATATAGTCCTTTCACCAGGTGTGATTAAGAGCAGCTCCAACAAGATATTTTCTGCTATGCTGAATCCAAACACTGGGCTGAAAAGTGGATTGAATGTAAAATTGTGGGATTGTACATGCTTCCGATGAAAAAAGAAATAAGAAAAAAATAATCTTTTGTGTTCAGAAAATACCCTGTCTTTTGGAGTTTATTCTATGTCTGTACCCATCTGCATTTAATAGTAAAAGCTCTAAGCCTGACCGGGTGCAGTGGCTCACGCCTGTAATCCCAGCAATTTGGGAGGCCGAGGCGGGCGGATCACCTGAGGTCGGGAGTTTGAGACCAGCCTGACAAACATGGAGAAACCCCGTCTCTACTAAAAATACAAAATTGGCTGGGCGTGGTGGCGGGCGCGGTGGCAGGCGCCTGTAATCCCAGCTACTCAGGAGGCTGAGGCAGGAGAATCGCTTGAACCTGGGAGGTGGAGGTTGCAGTGAGCCGAGATCGCACCACTGCACTCCGGCCTGGGCAACAAGAGCGAAACTCCATCTTAAAAAAAAAGAAAAAAGGAAAAAAGCTGTGAGCCTTCCCTACCTGTCAGCATGAGGAGAGCTCCCACGGTGAGAAGGACAAAGCCTACCAGAGAGATGACGCTCCGGAAAAGAACTTCAAATTGTTGTGGATTCAACTTGCTGCGCAGGTAATCCACAAAGGCATGGATCTGGCAGAGACCAAAGACCCCAAAGGCTGCCATGTGCTCTGATGAAAGGACAGGCTGTAGGTAAAAGGATATGTATGTTAATACTAAGGAAAAAAAATGAGTAAGTCCAGTGCAGGCCTGCATTATTCTTATCTAGTTCAAACCAAATGGTCAAATGAGTTCTGAGGCCCCGAAGGAATCAGGGCCAATCTAGGGAAGGGTTTAATTCACCAGCCATATTTTCTACAGAATATTTGCAGCCCCCTAAAGCATAAGATACACTATCATTATCACATCTCTGGCTTTTGCTCAGGTTATTTCCTTAGCCTAGACTGTAATTTTCCCCAAATTCCCATCCACTAAAATTCTCATCATTCAAGGTCCAACTCAAATATCATCTCTTCCCAATCTGCCAAACTGAAATCAATCACTCCTCTCTATGTTCCATATCACATTAGTTCTCTTCTAGCACTTAATCATTCTTTGCCTTAGATCGGTGGTTCTCAAATGCTAGTGGGCATCGTAGTCACCAAGGAGGTAGGAGTGTCGAAGCACAGATCGCTGAGCCCCACCTCCAGAGTTTCTGATTCAGTAGGTCTGTGTTGGGGCTCTAGAATTTGCATTTATTTCTAACAAGTTTCTAGCTGCTGCTGCTAGTGATGATGATTCAAGAACCACACTTCCAGAACTGTAGCCTATCGGATATAGACAGCTGCCTGTATTTCTTTCCCTGTAAGAAGACCAAAACTTCCTTAAGGACTATGACCGCATTTTTATTCTTTTTACATTTTCAAGTGATTAGCAAACTGCATATACAAATGCTTTTCAACTTATGATTGGGTTATATCCCCATAAACCCATTTTAAGTTGAAAATATCTTAAGTAGAAAATGCATTTAATACGCCTAGCCTATGGAACATCACAGCTTAGCGTAGACTACCTTAAACATGCTCAGAACATTTAACATTAGCCTACAGTTGGGCAAAATCATCTAGCACAAAGCCTATTTTACAATAAAGTGTTGAGAATCTCATGTAATTTATTGACTACCGTACTGTAAGTGAAAAACAGAATGCTTGTATGGGTACTGGAAGTACGGTTTCTACTCAATGCAGATCACTTTCACACCATTCTAAAGCCAAAAAATCCTAAGTCACGCTTCATAAGTTGGGGACAATCTGCAGTAGGTAATCAGTAAAGAAATACTTGTTGACCTCTAGATAAGGTTTGCATTTTCATGATAATTTCACAAGAGAAATCAAACATACCACATTATTCTTTGATTTAACAGTTGTCTGTTAACCCTGTGGAGCAATGTGGTTAAAGGTTTGTGCTTTACTTCCTGAAGCACTTACAATTAGATGCCATTAAGATCAGGAATCTCTGCTACTACATGGGGTCATCTGCATTAAGAAGACTGGAAATTTTAACTCTGATCACTCATCTAAACTCAACTCAACTAAATATCCCTCCCCTTCCCACAAACTTAAAGCCAAAGTAAGAGCCATGGAATTCAAACTCCACGGAGCAAATATTAGCAGACTCCTGGATGCAAACTTTAATGACCAGTAATTCTGTTGCTTCAACTAACACAAGTAGTTCAATATAAAGGCTGTGAATAAGTCGTACTCTTCTTAACAGAATCTAAGATAAATCAGTCTAGTTGGGGCTGCATAGAAAAAGTAGAAGCTGAAAACCCTACTCAGTCAAGGGCTCACCTGGAAACCCACAAAGGAGATCTGCATAGAAAGTATAGTGCCCAGGCAGTAAACAGTACAGTAGGCCACATAGATCCGGTGAGAGAAACGGCCTGTGAGCATCAGCACGAGGACGTGGAGAGGAATTAAGTTGATCAGGAACACATAACCTCCCCATGACGAGACCTATGATGGAATAGAAAAAAACAGTTCCTCTGAGTATGCCTCCTCAGACCACCACCACTATATTGTAGGATATCACCTGTGACTCTTTAAAGAACACTTATAGTAACTATAACTTTATTTATGCCAAATGGCTTAAAGAGTTCAAATAACTGATTTTTTTTTTTAAACAGGAAAATCAAGTCCTTACATGTACAGGTCACACAAAATAAAATAAATTTTAAAAAAGAAAATATAAAATCAAGTTCAAACCCATCACTGTAACTCAATCCCCTGCTCCCTTGTGGTTGCTGATGTCATGATCACATAACGAGAGGGACTCAAGCCTCAGAATTAATCTAAATGCAATCTACTGTAAGGTCACACAGAGGATTTAGGGATATGTGAGCAAGTGGAAGCAATTAAGGAAGTCTACATGTATACGTAAGTATGAACAGAAAAAATATACTGGAAAAGAAAAAAATTTAGGGGAACCTACCAGAAAAGAAAGTTGGTCAAACAATAAGTACCCATAGGAAATACAGTATTTAGAGAACTTTAAAAATTGAAAACATGTAGAAAAAGTTACCATGTAGAAATAAGCAAGGGCACACTTAGCTGCCCAACAGATGGAACCAGTCTTTACTGCCTTGATCCACATGTAGTAGGTGAGTAGCATGCAAAAGATGGCAATCCCTGCAGAAAGGACACACCAAAAATTCAACAAGAGGCCAGGCTAGTATAGTCATTAAGAATACTGTTCTGGAACAGACTGCCTGGATCTACTACCAAGTAATAGTGTAATTTTAGGCAAATTATTTACTTCCTTTTGTTTCAGTTTCATGTAAGAAGAAGTAATAGTATCTACTTCATAAAAGTGTTCTGAAAACAAATATAATTAATGCCTGTAAAGCACTTAGAAGAGTACCTAGCATATAATAAACATTAAGTAAATATTGGCCATTATTATCATTCTTTCCAAGCACTAAACATCCTGCTAGTATAGTTCTAAAGACATCTTATACTATCATTCATCATCCTGCCTCTATGTCTTAACATATAATACTCATGCCCCAATTGCCCCTTTCCTTGATATCTGCCTAATGAAGTCCCAACTTCAGGACCCAGTTGACCCTCAACCACTTCTAAAAAGCCTTCCTTGATTCTCCAGTCTGCTTTTTTTTTTTCTTAAAAAAATAAAAATAAAAACAACAACAACAACAACAAAAACAGGGTCTTGCTCTATTACTAGGCTGAAGTGCAGTGGCAATCACAGCTCACCGCAGCCTCAACCTCCCAGGCTCAAGCGATCCTCCCACTTCAGTCTCCAGAGTAGCTGGGACTATAGGCGCACACTACCATGCCCAGCTAATTTTTGTATTTCTTATAGTGACAGGGTTGCCCAGGCTGGTCTCAAACTCCTGAGCTCAAATGATCCACACACCTCAGCCTCTGAAAGTACTGGATAACAGGGCGTGAGCCACCAAGCTCAGCCCCAAATCTCTCCTTCCACTACATTCCTGAAGTACTCTGTTCAAATTTTTATCATGGCACATAGTACTATCTCCTGTCACTGGAGTTATATTTACATGTCCATTTTAATCTTCCTTAATAGATGATGGGCCAATATAACCTTATTCATTACCTATCTCTTTAATTTCTTATAATTATGCACAAAGTAATCTTAGTCATTACCTAACACTTAATACTATGTTTTCCCAATAACATTCAACAAATGTATGTTGAATTGAGAATAAGTCAATCAGTCATTAAAATTTTAAGGACATCCACTCCCTTTATGTAGGAAAATAAAGCAAATGATTATAATGTTAAAACAATAGTTAACTATTTTATGAGTGCAGAGATGAACCAAAGACTTGTAAGAAAAGTTACCAACTACCTTTCTGGAAAGGATGATGGGAAGAGAACATGAGCTTGTCCAAGATCCGTTCCTGCCCATTTCTAATATTCTCACCCAGTTACCATTTTTATTATTGCTAAACCATAGACTGCACTTTGTGAAGCTCTGTTGGATAATGAGGTGAGATGATCTTCTTCAGCATTTTAAAAGTCTTACCTTCATTATCATAGGAGCCAGCCACAGATCGGGAGATATATCCAGGAACTACAGCAATCATGGCAGCAGCAAGAAGCCCAGCCCCTGCATCCTGTAAGAAAAAAAGGGTAATAAGACATTAACACCAATACAATGCTGAGAAAGAACAGAGGATCCACTAGTCCATTCTGTTTATAATGAGCCCAGAAAACAGTCCAACAATTTCGAAGGTAGATGTGAGATGTTAGAAATGCTAGAAATGCTCACAGCACAAGCAAGCTAAAAACTTCATGACCAATTCCCCATGATGACACCAAACCTGACACTGAGAACACATATGCTGAGGACAGACAAATCAAGTGAGATGTCAAACATCAATACTGTCCCAGAATGGGCTGTTTGGCTACCAATCTCCCCAAGCTCGTAAGTCTCTACCCCTAACAATATCTGTACATCATTGGAACACCAGTCACACCTCTAAAAGCCATGCAAGGACAATCAAAGGAAGAAAATTATTATTTCAGTTAAAAAGCCAAGAAAGCTAAGTGATAATCTACCTAAACTGAAGATGCCAGGAGCTTAGGCAATAAAGCTTAAATATCACCAGGCACCCTTTGAGCTCAGGAGAAAGGAGCAACAGATATAAGCCACATTCCAAAAAAGTAAAGACTTGTCTGTTGAAAGAGTCAAATTTGGGAAAGGGCAGCAAGGAGAAGGATCAAAAAGTTTTCCAAACTAAATTCAGGCTTCCCAAACCCCCTACTAGTTTATCACCTCTCAGGTATCTCTCTAACACCGCAGCACAAACTAAGAATAGCACCCAGGGAGCCAAGGTCAGCAATGCTGAAACCTGGAAAAACAGAGTCAGCATTATGGAGTCTACTACGGAAGCCAAATGGCTTAAGAATTTTAAAATAAAAAAAAATTTTTTTTAAATCAACAAATAATTGCTGAGTACATTCCTGGTAGGAAAAACTAACCGTTTTGGAATGTTTCATGTAGTTTTTTTTTCCTCTCCCTTACATTGTGAGGACTTCAAAATCCAAACCTCACATTTTGCATTTTAAATGTTTTTTTCTTTATGTTGCAATTTACATTTCACTTTCAACTGTACTCTCATAAGGACAAACAGTTGCTAATGATAAAAAACACATATTGCAGAAAGGGGTTGGAGTGAAGCCAATTAATTTGGCCCAGTAAAAGCTGTCTTCACCTTCTGGCTCCCTGCCTTTCTAAGGCTCTGTCCCCCACCCTCCAGCATCGATTAGAGAGGCTCAATAACATTCATTCCCAAGCCTCCTGTCACCCCAAATCCTTCACCTTGAGCTCTTTGGTAAGGTGGTACGTGACGATGGTGGTGAAGGAGGAGAAGAGAGGGGCCAGGAACACACAGACATTCCGAATGTCGATGGTGATGTGGAAAAAATGGAGTACATGGTAGATTGCAGCAGAGGTGATCATTAAACCTGTAACAGGAAGAAGAAACTCCATTAGGTTGTCTTACCAGAACTTAAGGGAAAAAGAAAGGGAAAATCCCAGATACAATAAAGTGACTATGTAAGTCTTGACAAATCACCAGAAATACTAACATAGCAACTGCAGTAAGCCTATAAATTTCTCCCCTAAGGATTCAATCAGAAGTCTAGAATGTATAAAAACCACCCATCTCCACTCTACTACAAATGTACTCCTGTTTATGTAAGATGCACTTTTAGGAACCTGTAATCAGGATGAAATTACAAGTGTCACAAGACAAAGCTATTAGAAATAAAAGAAACTGGTTCTCTAGCATACAAATATTTCTGTTTTTTTTTTAAAAAAAAAAACACATCTGGTCTCCTCACCTGGGTAAATTGTTCCTCCAATGATTCGTCCCAAAGGGTACCAGGCTCGGTCATCAAACCAGTTATGGAATTTATAAAACCCCTCCTCAGCCAGGAACCTGGTAGTCCGATAATTAAAGTACCTATAGCAAGAAATAAACTTTGTTGTAAATTTGTGGTGAATTTTGCTCCTCAGGATACACCATTGAGAAATTCAGCATTACTCAATGAAAAATCAGTTTAACATCAGATATTATGCCATGAAAATCATTTTACACTACCATAAGTCTGTTTACTTCTATCTCCATGCTTGTCTCAACTAAAGCACTGCTTTTCTCATAAGGAAATGAGCCGGGTGCAGTGGCTCATGCCTATAATCTCAGCACTTTAGGAGTCCGAGGCAGGTGGATCACAAGGTCAGGAGTTCGAGACTGGCCTGACGAACATGTTGAAACCCCATCTCTACTAAAAATACAAAAATTAGCTGGGCACGGTGGCATGTGCCTGTAATCCCAGCTACTCAGGAGGCTGAGGCAGGAGAATCGCTAGAACCTTGGAGGCAGAGGTTACAGTGAGCCGAGATTGCCACTGCACTCCAGCCTGGGCAACAGAGCAAGACTCCATCTCAGAAAAAAAAATAAATAAATAAAAAGGAAATGAAACTGGAGCCTAACATTGTAACAAAGCAATCAAATGGGATACTTCAACAAGCTGACATGTGGTAGGCATTAGGACCAGTCAGAGAATTCAAGCACCATGAAGACAAAGCCACTGAGATGTGGGCACCAATAGATTTTGGCTTTCTTATTTATTTTTTTTTTTGAGACAGAGTTTCGCTCTTGTTGCCCAGGCTGGAGCACAATGGCACGATCTCGGCTCACTGCAACCTCTGCCTACGGAGTTCAAGCCATTCTCCTGCCTCAGCCTTCTGAAAGTAACTGGGATTACAGGCGCTCGCCACAATGCCCAGCTAATTTTTGTATTTTTAGTAGAGGCAGGGTTTCACCATATTGGCCAGGCTGGTCTCAAACTCCTGACCTCAGGTGATCCACCTGCCCCAGCCTCACAAAGTGCTTGGATTACAGGTGTGAGCCACCATGCCTGGCCAGATTCTGGCTTTTAAGTGACAGGAACATATTTTTAAAAATCTATACTGCACACAAAGACACATGAATAATTTCCAGTGATGAGAATCTTTAAAGATGTTGGTATACCATCATATGCAGGATGAAAAAATTTTAACCTACTTCATAACACAACTTTCTTAATCAGTGTTTAAACTTTTAACAAGGTCTACTCATGTGGTTATCTAAAATGCTTCTTATGTCACCTATATAGAAGCATAAAAATATAGATTACAGCCAGGCATGGCAGCTCATGCCTGTAAGCCCGGCACTTTGGAAGACTGAGGCAAGAGGATCGCTTAAGCCCAGTTCAAGACCAGCCTGGGCAACACAGTGAGACTCTGTCTCTACAAAACATTTTTTAAAAATTAGCCAGGCATGGTGGCACACACCTATAGTCTCAGCCACTCAGGAGGTTGAAGTGGGATGACTGCTTGAGTCCAGGAGGTCAAGGCTACAGTGAGCCATGATCACAACACTGTGCTCCAGACTGGGCAACAGAGCAAGACCCTTTCTCAAAAAAAATATAGAAAGATACACAGATACATAGACAACATGAAAAATATTTGACATAAAATGCTTAAGAGCTTTAAATGGAAAGATAGTTCTTTAGGCCCAAAATATGTAAGTCCTTAAGTTTCTTATTTAAAAAGAAATAAGGCTGGGTGAGGTAGATAACACCTGTAATCCCAATACTTTAGTAGGCCAAGGCAGGTGGATCACTTGAGCTCAGGAGTTCAAGATCAGCCTGGGCAACATAGAGAGACCCTGTTTCTAAAAAAAAATACAACAATCAGCAGGACTTAGTGGCACACGCCTGTAGTCCCAGCTACTCAGGAGGCTGAAATAAGAGGATCACCTGAGCCCAGGGAGGTTGAAGCTTCAGTGAGCCCTGATCATGCCATTGCACTCCAGCCTGGTGACAGAGCAAGACCCTGTCTCAAAAAATAAAATAAATAATAATAATAATAAGGCCAGGCGCAGTGGCTCACTCCTGTAATCTCAGCACTTTGGGAGGCCGACGCAGGTGGATCACCTGAGGTCGGGAGTTCGAGACCAGCCTGACCAACATGGAGAAACCCTGTCTCTACTAAAAATACAAAATTAGCCAGGCGTGGTGGCGCATGCCTGTAATCCTAGCTACTTAGGAGGCTGAGGCAGGAGAATCGCTTGAACCCGGGAGGCAGAGGTTGTGGTGAGCTGAGATTGTGCCATTGCACTCCAGCCTGGGCAACAAGAGCAAAACTCCATCTCAAAAAAAATTAATAATAATAACAAATAAAAATAAATAAGAGGCCGGCGTAGTAGTTAATGCCTGTTATCCCAGCACTTTGGGAGGCAGAGGTGGATGGATCGCTTGAGCACAGAAGTTTGAGACCAGCCTGTGTAACATGACAAGACCCAATCTACAAAAAATACAAAAATTAGCCAGGCGTGGTGGCGCGTGCCTGTAATCCCAGCTACTTAGGAGGCTGAGGCAGGAGAATCGCTTGAACCCGGGAGGCAGAGGTTGTGGTGAGCTGAGATTGTGCCATTGCACTCCAGCCTGGGCAACAAGAGCGAAACTCCATCTCAAAAAATAATAATAATAATAATAAATAAAAATAAAGAAGAGGCCGGTGTAGTAGTTCATGCCTGTTATCCCAGCACTTTGGGAGGCAGAGGTGGATGGATCGCTTGAGCACAGAAGTTTGAGACCAGCCTGTGTAACATAACAAGACCCAATCTACAAAAAACACAAAAATTAGCCAGGCATGGTGGCGCGTGCCTGTAATCCCAGCTACTCGGGAGGCTGAGGTGGGAGGATCACTTGAGCCCAGGAAGTTGAGGCTGCATGAGCCATAACTGAGCCACTGAACTTCAGCCTGGGTGACACAGCAAGACCCTGTTTCCAAAAAAAAGGAAGACAGACAAAAATAAACAAAGAGTCTCAAACTAGAGACAGTTTAATTACTATGGATAATCATGACTAACCGTCCTCTCTGCCCACCTCTCTAACCCTATTTCCTCCTTGGTCAGTCAAGTTTTGAAAGCTGAAGTAAACAGAAGCAACAGATGGCAGAAATCTCTATCCTTCTGTTTGTCACTGATGTTATTTTGGTGACTGTCAGAAACAGAAGAGATGAGGGTTGCAGACATCAGTATGTGTCAGAATTGTGTCCTTTAGCTACCAGTAGGAGAGGCAGAGTGAGAGAGGAAGTATAAGTTAGTAGGAATAGGTCTGGACTGCATTCACCACTCTGGGAATCAGTTTCCTCCTCTGCAAAAGGAAGTGTCAAGTCCCTTATGGTCCCTAACAGCTCTTGACGACAAAGCAGATGCTCTTGCATTCCTTGATTATCTAACATCAATATTTGCTCATTCAGAGGGTCTGAGAAAGAAGCCTAACAGATTGGGATCAAGAAACAAAAGTAGGCTGGGCATGGAAGCCCATACCTGTAATGCCAGTACTTTGGGAGGCTGAGGAGGGAGGATTGCTTGAGCCCAGGAGTTTGAGACCAGCCTGGGCAACATAGTGAGACTCCATCTCTACAAAAAATTTTTAAAAAATTAGCTAGGTATGGTGGCACATGCCTGTGGTCCCAGCTACTTGGGAAACTGAGGTGGGGGGATCACTTAGGCCCCACAAGTCAAGGCTGCAGTAAGCCGTGATCACTCCACTGCACTTCAGCTTGGGTGACAGTCAGACCCAATCTCAAACAAAAAAAGAAAAAACAAAAGGACATGTCTCCTCATTCATGAGAAAAAATATAAACTGAATTTGGGAGGCCCCAAACAGAATTATTTGTAATGCCTCCAAAATGCTTTCAAATATCTACACAAAACAAAATTATAAATTTGCAAATAGATGCAGGCATTTTCAATCAATACTCCACAAGATTGAATATACTATTTTTAAGATACCAATAATATTTCAAGAACCTATGATTTTGGCCCTCCAAATTTGTTATAAGCCTTAACTTTAGGCAATATAACACAGTGACTACAGTCTCTGGAGTCAGACAAACCAACATTCAAATCACGGTTCCTCCACGTACTGAATAATCAACCTTAGATAACCACTCCCAGCCTGAGTCTCCTCATTTCTTTTTTCTTTTTCTTTTTTTTTTGAGATGGAGCCTTGCTCTGTAGCCCAGGCAGGAGTGCAGTGGCATGATCTTGGCTCACTGCAACCTCCACCTCCTGCGTTCAAGCGATTCTCCTGCCTCAGTCTCTAGAGTAGCTGGGATTACGGGCACATGCCACCATGCCCAGCTAATTTTTGTATTTTTAGTAGAGATGGGGTTTTACTATGTTGGCCAGGCTGGTCTCGAACTCCTGACCTTGTGATCTGCCCGCCTTGGCCTCCCCCAGTGCTGGGATTACAGGCGTGAGCCACCGTGCCCAGTGGAGTCTCCTCATTTCTAAGAAGGGAATAATAGTACCTACATCTCAAAGGGTTGCTGAAAGGATTTAGAGATAATCTGTAAATTAGTGCTTGGAACAAAATGAATGCTTAGTAAATACTAGTTATTAATACCACTAAGGAATTCCACTATATCTTTTTCATCTAATGAACAAAATTCCTTATCAAACTGATAACTTTGAGTTTTTTCATTGCCCTAGAATTTAACTAAGAAGCCCAATTTCTATCACATAAATTGCTAAACAAACAAACAAACAGCAAAATGTCATGAATCTCAAGTCCATTGTTTGTGATTCTCTTCTGAGCCTGGAATACACACCAGGACCCTTTCCTTCAATCTGCATCACAAACTTTTACCAAACTGGGCAGCCAGAATTCTCTTAGCCTAGCCAGATCTTAAGTGATAGGCAGACATACTAGCAATGCCTCTCACATTTTTTGAGTTTCAGAGACTTACTTGGTCAATTCCAACACATACTTTTTTTTTTTTTTTTGTAGAGATGGGGTTTCACCATGTTGCCCAGGCTGGTCTTGAACTCCTGAGCTCAAGTGATCCCTCCACCTCAGCCTCCCAAAGTGCTGGGATTACAGGTGTGAGCCACTGTGCTGGACTCCAACACATACGTCTTAAAAGGAGATAATTATCTCCTTTGGAAGAATTTAAGGGTTTTTTTTTCCCTTAAATGTACTGAAAGCACATCTCTATCACTGAGAGCTGACTGAAATTTGAATCTGAAACCCATGAACCTGAATGCCTCCCAAAGGAAATAATACCAGATCAAGCAAAGGTACTCACGGATCAAACTCATGGATAACACTTTCAAATCTCAGGACAGCAAACAGACGAGTGGAGAAGGCTGCAAAAACCAGAGAGTTAATATTTTATTGGTAATGTGCCATGAAAGAACAGCAGATATAGTATTATAATGAAGACAGTATTATCCAGTAGAGAGGTCACAGAAAATATAAAATAATCCCTGAATAAAGTCTTTATCCATCTTTCCCCACATAAAGGAAACAAGAGAAGTTTACTTTCCCCTGACAATGGCATCTACATTTTCCACTTTCATAGGTCACAGTTAACTAATTATAAAAGCCTATAACATTACATTCACCTACTAATACCAAACTCAACTTACATGGTCATCTTTTATATACGCTGACTCCCCCACCATACACACATAACTAACCTTAACCTTGGAGCAAAGTAATAGGTATGGCAAGCAAAATTACACCTAGGACTCATGAAGAGCCAGAAAATCTAAAATACAGAGTAAACTCTCAAGAGACTTTCAAAAATACTATAGGAGACATCTAAATTGAAGATAATTGTCTTTTACAAAAATCAGTTATCCAAGGGTCCCCAATATCACTTTCAACCCTATGAGAAAACAGAATTGGCACAGCATGCTTCCCATTCTTTCAAAGATGATCACAGCCCTCTTTTTTTTGAGACAGAGTCTTGCTCTGTTGCCCAGGCTAGAGTGCAGTGGTGCAATCTCGGCTTACTGCAACCTCTGCCTCCCAGGTTCGAGCGATTCTCGTGCCTCAGCCTCCCAAGTAGCTGGGAATACAGGCATCCACCACCACACTCAACTAGTTTTTGTATTTTTAGTAGAGACAGGGTTTCATCATGTTGGCCAGGCTGGTCTCAAACTCCCAGCCTCAAGTGATCCACCCACCCCAGCCTCCCAAAGTGCTGGGATTACAGGCGTGAACCACTGCATGTGGCCCATAGCCCTGACTTTTATATTCCTTTTATTTTGCCTTCATAAAATTATACTAATGAGGAATGGAAAAATGTAACAATCTGCTAAAAAGAACAAGGCATTTTAAGATAGCGATTTTCAATTTTTTTCTAGACTTTCTTCTTTCTATCCCCAAAGAAAGAGAGGTTCACATGCACACTCACATAATACAGCAGCCATTGACAGAATGAGAAGCTTCAAAAGTGTGTCCTGCTTCTCATAGGACAATCGCAAAAATCCAAACTTAGTCATCTTGACATGAATGGGTGGCAACACACGACGATCAGCTAAAATGAAAAAGTCAAGACCACAAGATATTGAACACCTTCAATTTACTTAATTTTCATATTTTATGATGAGAGGGAATCATAAAGGACGTAGGAGCTAGCAAAAACACCAGACAGGGTCAAGGCTAATACTAGTATCCAAGCCTGGCCTAAAGTATGATCAACTTGCAAGGAAGTAGGCACAAGTCAGGTCTATGTGTCAAGACTAAAATGGAGTGGTCAGAATAAACCATCCATAATTCTATTTCCCACTCCTTCACAGCTAACAAGTACATAAGCACAATTAGCAATAGTATAGCACAAGGAAGAGATGAAAAAATAAACAGGAAAGATTGGAAATACTGAAAAATAATAAAATGGAGAAAGAGAGCACTCAAGAAAAGGCAGGACTATATGGGGTGGCAGGGGCGGAGGGGGGGAAGCAGGAAATAAACATTGAGACCAGAAGTGCAAGCCCCAGCAATTTCAGAGGCTAAGGAGGGAGGATCGCTTGAAGCCAGGAGTTCAAGACCAATCTGAGCAATACAGCAAAACCCCATCTCCACAAAAAACTGTTTAAAATTATGCAGGCTTGGTGGTCTGCACCTGCAGTCCCAGCTACTCAGGAGGCTGAGGCAGGAGTTGGAGGCTGCAGTGAGCTAGGATCACACCACTGCACTCCAGCCTGGACAATAGAGCCAGACCTCCTCTCTTTAAAAAGGAAAAAAAAAAAAAAAGAAGAAGTGAAAGGCATTAAGAGGAAAAATAGAAGTCACGACTGAATCAACACAATTTCGAGCCCTAAATTTAAACTTCAACTGAATGGCTATAAACTTTTTTCTTTTCCAAATCCCAATGGGGCTGTCGGGTCAACTAACAGCATACCTGATAACTAATGCAGGTACAATCATGCACTCAAAAAGAGGTGGAGGTACCCAAACACAGATCCACTGTGTTCTCATCCCATATATCAGACTGTAACGACTGCTCAGATCTATACCCGCTTCCAATCATCTGTCTCAAGGCTTCTCTGTAACTGACAATGCTGATTTAAGAGACTGATTAAATTACACAGACAGTTTGATGGCATCAGATGATAATCTAGAGGGAAAGAAAACGAATTTTTCCTACTGAAGCAGAAGAGTCGGGGGATTAAAAAAAGTAGATTAAAATGTTGAGGGACACTATCTGTAGGCAGTTCAAAATGGAAATCACATGACAGATATGAATTATTTATATAGCAATATAGCACTAATCTACCATAGGTTAGTTATTCTTGTATAAGACAGTACTACTATCTTTTTTTTTTTTTTTTTTTTGAGACGGAGTCTTGCTCTGTCGCCAGGCTAGAGTGCAGTGGTGCCATCTCGGCTCACTGCAACCTCCATCCACCTCCTGGGTTCAAGCGATTCTTCTGCCTCAGCCTCATGAGAAGCTGGGACTACAGGTGTGCGCCACCACGCCCAGCTAATTTTTGTATTTTTAGTAGAGACGGGGTTTCACCATGTTGGCCAGGGTGGTCTGGATCTCTTGACCTCATGATCTGCCCACCTCAGCCTCCCAAAGTGCTGGGATTACAGGCGTGAGCTACCACGCCCAGACCTACTTTTTTAAATTACAAGGTGATCAAGAGCTAAGTTATAACGACTATAACAAAGGATATGCAACACCATTCAAGATGTTTTGCTTTTATTCTTTTTGACTGACACATAATTGTACATATTTATGGAGTACAGTGTGACATTTTGGTACATGTATATAATGTGTAATGATCAAGTCGGGAAATAATTAGTAGATTCATCACCTTATTTTTTTTGTCTTAGGAATATTCAAAATCCACTCTTCTAGCTATCTGAAAATATACAACAAATTGTGTATTTTTGTTGTTAATTATACTCCTAATAATAGTTATCCTATAGAACACTAGAATTTATTCCTATCTAGTTGTACTTGTGTATCCCTTAACAAACGTTTGTCTATCCTCCTCCATGAATCTTTTTTCCCACTATTATTGGAATAAAGGAGAAAAACAAAACAACAACAACACTGGACTAGGTGGAAGGCATATAGAATGCTAGCCCCAACACTGAGAAGTCAAGCATGTTCTCCATAATTAACTGTCCCAGAAGAGCAGTTTAGAAATGTGTTTAAGTATAGTCCCAAAGGGAAAGCTTACTTTGCAACTAAAAATAAAGGCCTAACTACTCCAGGAGGTCAACAATCCAGCCATATCTCTCAGGGTTTGCAGCTGTTTTCTGGAATGCCTGAAATAGGAACAAACTTAACACCACTGCGTTGATACGAGCCACACACCAAAATGAGACTGCTAGGATCTCTACTTGAAAACTTGAGTAAACGAGCTAGTCATTGAGGGCAGGGCCGTAAGGGAGATTTCATCTCGTGCTCTTTGGTCACTTTCGCACACCGCCAAGCAAATAAGAGCAAAGACACCTTTCTTAAAACACTTACCAACCTGCTCTCCTCAACTGTGCCCTGCAAGCTGTGGCATCTCCTGCCACCCTGCCTCTAGTTTCCCAGACTGCAATTTCCCCAGCCCCGTTTTCCTACACACGTTTCCACACCCTCTCACGATCTTTTACTCTCTTCTCCCTTCCGGTCGTTCCAGCGGGTCCCACCTCCCTCTTCTTCCCACCCTCAAAGAACTGACCACCTCTGATACCCCTCAGCGCGGGACACTCATCACCCCAGCATCCTACGCGCCTTCCCCTCCATAACTAGTCCCAGGACCCAGTCTTTCCCACGCTCTGTTCTCAAGACCCACCTTACCCTCCCTCCCTAGACCTTCGCATCCTTCCATCCAGGAAGCCCCCACACCACGCCCCACGCCCCCTCCTCTGCAAGGCCCTAAGCTCTGCTCTCCACCCCCATTTAGAGTTTTGCCTCCTGCACTTCGTTCAGCCCCATCAACGCCATGGACTGCACCTGCCGCTGATTTTCAAGTTACGTTCTACGGCCTTCTCACCTGGCCGGCTTTCCTAAACGATCCGCGGGGCTCCCTCAGCCATCCGTTCAGCGGCGCACCCAACCCTGGCAGGAGCCGGGTCCGCCTCCCGGACCGCTCCCCCGTTGGCTGGCTCCAGGCCAATAGGACGCTTCTGGAGAGCGATAGGGTCTCGGAACTGTCTGTCAAATCCGGAGGCGTAAACCGGGCCGCGATTCAAGTTTTTAATTGGTCATTACAGCTATCACTTAGCAGTCTAGAGGCAGGTCTGTATGCTCCCGCCGAGCTGTCATAGGCCGGCGCGTAGGAGTCAAGAGCGCGGAAAGAACGTGCCCCAAGCAGTTTGGTTGAGGGCCGAGGAGTGACGTGTCGGTTTGCGGACCCACGGGGAGTCGCAGTGGGAAGGCGCGGCCCACTGACTCCCGTCATGTGACAAGAAGCGGAAACTACGCTGAAATAGGCCCTTGCTCCAAGTCCCAGTAACTCGGAATGCGGAGCCGCTCGTCTCCCGTCTTTTTTAAGGTAGAAATTGTTACCTAATACAAGGTGAAAGGAGAGGAGGGAAGCATTTTCTACCTATTTATTCTCAATTAAAACTCAAACGCGGACTGGTCCAGACAGTTCGTCTTTTGCAGGATGTGCCTGATAGTTGACTCGAGCTTTTACTGTGCCTTGGTAACTGCGATGGACCTGGGAACCTTGACAGAGTTCACAGCCCCTGGTTTTGTGAAAGAGCGTGCCTAGGCCTAAAGGGGTTGTCGGGGCTAAGCTGGAAGCATTTCTACTGCCAGCTGAGACAGCCACCGCCGCGGAGGCACAGCCCTCCCCAGCAGCAAGCGGGCTTCCTCGGGAGACCGGGAGGCAGCCCGGCCATGCTTAGTCAGTTCAGCCCTTTGTTAAAATACCGGCCAGAGAGCCGCTCTCCCTATCCTAACTTGCCTCTCTTCTCTCGCACCCCACGCGCTCCCCGACCCCCAATAAGTTTGCTGAGGGCAGAGAAGGGGACGAAGTTTGAGCAGCAATTCCATCATCTCAGACTCGCACGTGTACACCTTTATCCTCAGGCACTTCCACTCCCTGCGCGCCTCGGTGAGCCAAGGCTACACCAGAGAGAGTGGGAACGTCTCGCAGCTCTTCGAACTTGTTGCCTCTACCACTCACGCAGTTTCCTATTCTCCCATGAACGGAACCCACCACTTATTGAAAGGTCATTATTTAAATCACTGCTTCAGAATCACATGCATTTTTTTCAAAATCCACATGACCAGGCTCGCCCCAGGACGTTATGATTCAATAGATCTGCTTTTTTTTGGTTTTGTTTTTAGTAGTAAGTGTTCGATGTAATTTTACTTTAACAAAAGGAAACTGAAGCTGAGCCTGAAGGAATTACAGAACTTGGAGTAAATGCTTCTTCAAAATACGAGTTTTGGTCGGGCGCGGTGGCTCACCCCTGTAATCCCAGCACTTTGGGAGGCCAAGGCGGGCGGATCACGAGGTCAGGAGGTAGAGACCATCCTGGCCAACATGGTGAAACCCGTCTCTACTAAAAATAGAAAAATTAGCTGGGCGTGGTGGCGCGTGCCTGTAATCCCAGCTACTCGGGAGGCTGACACAGAATCACTTGAACCAGGGAGTCGGAGGTTGCAGTGAGCCGAGATCGTGCCACTGCACTCCAGCCTGGCGACAGAGCTGGACTCCGTCTCAAAAAGAAGTTTTTTCTCTTTAAAAATAAAAAAGCGGGGAGGGGGGCATTAAAATTAGAAAGATTGTGTTCAAGTTTCTTTTGTTTTTTTTTAAGTATTAACCTAAGAATATTAAGGCCGGTCGCGGTGGCTCACGCCTGTAATCCCAGCACTTTGGGAGGCCGAGGCGGGTGAATCACCTGAGGTCAGGAGTTTGAGAACAGCCTCACCAACATGGTGAAACCCCATCTCTACTAAAAATACAAAAATTAGCTGGGCTTGGTGTCAGGATCCTGTAATCCCAGCTACTTGGGAGGCTGAGGCAGGAGAATCGCTTAAACCCAGGAGTTGGAGGTTGCAGTGAGCCAAGATCGCGCCATTGCACTTCAGTCTGGGCAGCAAGAGCGAAACTCCGTCTCAAAAAAAGAAAAAGAATATTAAGATGTTAGAGTTTTTATTAATTTTTTTCAAAGTAGGCCAGGCGCGATGGTGGGCTCCTGTAATCTCAGCTACTCAGGAGGCTGAGGCAGTAGAATTGCTTCAACCCAGGAGGCAGAGGTTGCAGTGAGCTGAGATCACGCCATTGCACTCCAGCCTGGACAACGGAGCAAGACTCTCCCACCAAAAAAAAAAAAAAAAGTATTAAACATGTTTCTTAGAATACATTTAAGCTTCCAAGTGATCAAATTAAGTAAACCTTTTCACAAGTCAAAATGTACTATTAAAAAACAAAGTTTGGGGCCGGGTGCAGTGGCTCACGCCTGTAATCCCAGCATTTTGGGAGGCCGAGGCGGGCGGATCATGAGGTCAGGAGTTCGAGACCAGCCTGACCAACATGGCGAAACCCCCGTCTCTACTAAATATACAAAAATTAGCCGGGCCTGGTGGCAAGTGCCTGTAATCCCAGCTACTCGGGAGGCTGAGGCAGGAGAAATTGCTTGAACCTGGGAGGCGGAGGTTGCAGTGAGCTGAGATCGCGCCATCACACTCCAGCCTGGGCAACAGAGGGAGACTCTGTCTCAAAAAAAAAGAACAAAGTTTGAAAATCTAATCCTATTTTTAGGATGAGTCTTTGATACCAGTCCATGAGGAAAGGCTTATTTGTGAATAAAATCAAAGGAAAACAAACTCATAGGAAAGTCTTTATAATTATTATAAACAAACCTGGAGGTCCAGGTGTCGTGGCTCAAGATTGTAATCCTAGCACTTTGGGAGGTTGAGGCGAGAGGATGGCTTGAGGCCAGGGGTTGGAGACCAGCCTGGGCAACATGATGAGATGCAGTGTCTACAAAAATAATTTTTAAGAATTAGCTGGACATGGTCGTGCTGGCCTGTAATCCCAACTACTGAGGAGGCTGAGGCAGGAGGATTGCTTGAGCCCAGAAGTTAGGCGGCAATGAGCTATGATCACGCCACTTCACTCCAGCGTGGGCAACAGAGCAAGAAAGACTCTGTCTCTAAAATAAAATAATAAATAGGCCGGGCATGGTGGCTCATGCCTGTAATCCCAGCACTTTGGGGAGCCAAGGCTGGCAGATCACCTGAGGTCAGGAGTTAAGGACCAGCCTGATCAACATGGAGAAACCCCGTCTCTACTCAAAATACAAAATTAGCTGGGTGTGGTGGCACATGTCTGTGATCCCAGCAACTCGGGAGGCTGAGGCAGGAGAATCTCTTGAACCTGGGAGGCGCAGGTTGCCGTGAGCCGAGATTGCGCCATTGCACTCTGGCCTAGGCAACAAGAGTGAAACTTCGTCTCAAAATAAAAGAAAATAAACCTACAGTTTATACGTGAATTATAGTGTATCAGTTAATCCTCCTCCCTCCTGATTTATAAGTCCAAAAGTTTTGAACTGGTTGTTTCAGAAAACAATGCTTTTACTATTTCATCAGTTGCTTAAAAGGAATGTTTTGATGTAGAAGTTAGAACTTTTTCGTAGAGCTTTTCATTTTTCTTAAAGCGTCAGTTTACCTTTCTTGTATATCATTAATCAAACGAAACTCATGCCTTCATCTCATCTGTAGCACACCAGAGTAATAGTATCTGTGTTCTCCAAGCTGTTCTCTCCAGAAACCACGTTTCTACGTGTGTGCAAAGTTGTATTACTGGGATTTCCCCTGAATGCACTTCTGGATTCCACTGTTTCGTGTTATTTGGTTGGGTGTTTTGTCTTAATAAGACATAGTTCTTTTTCTTTTTTTTCATAGATTATCATCTGATAAGACATCTTGCTATTTCTTAGATTTATTTTTCACTTTTGATGAATTTTTTTTCAAGTAAGTGTTTTAGAAAGGCTGAATGGAAGCAAACATTGCCTTTGCGTGTTAGAAAATATCTGTATTTTGTCCTTAATAGCATGGCTGGGTTTAGAATTTTAGGAACAAAATTGGGACCCACCCACCCCACCCCGTATGCACACAGACACATAAAAGCACACTTTCAAGCCTCTGTGACTATATTGTTCGTGATCCACTGTGCCTTAAGAAACCTGACACCAATCTGAGTCACTTTCCTTTATCGGTAATCTATTTCCCTCTCTGATAAATTGTCTTTCCTTAGAGATTTCATCTATGTGTTTCACCTTCTTTCATTTTTTTCTGCTTTACATTTGGCAGGCCCTTTCAGTCTGAAAACTACAATTTGTATCATCAGTTCAGGAAATGTTCTTTGATTTTATTCATCTCCATTTTTCTATTCTCATTTTCTGAAGTTGCTGTTGGACAAATGTTTTATCTCCTGGTTCTTGGATACCTCTACCATTCTTAACTTTTTCTTGATCTTTTTGCTGTATGTTCTGGAAGATTTCCTCAATATTATCTTGCAGTTCACTAATTTAGCCTCTTCAGTGTCACTTTTTTTTTTTTTTCCCTTGAGACAAGGTCTCATCTGTCACCCAGGCTGGAGTGCAGTGGCACCATCTCAGCTCACTGCAGCCTCAACCTCGTGGGCTCAAAGGATCCTCCTGCCTCAGCCCTCAAGTAGTGGAAAACACAGGTGCGAGCCACCACGGCTAATTTTTGTATTTTTTTGTAGAGACGGGGTTTCACCACGTTGCCCAGGCTGGTCTCAAACTCCTGCGTTCAAGCAATCCACCCACCTCGGCCTCCCAAAGTGCTGGGATTACAGGCGTGAGCCACGGCGCCCGGCCAAATCTGTTCTTACTTTATGGATGCAGTAGCTTCTGAAATCTCTGTGAAAATAGTTACTAGAATTTTTTAAATTACCTTTTGTTTCCATAATTACTTAAATTTCCTCCAGAGCCAGGTGTTGTTATTTGTGTTTTGGAAAAGCTGCTGAGCTGATTCCGATGTTGATTCCTCGTGAAGAGGAATGATTAGAGGAACTTACCTAAATGATTAATTGGTCATTGTTTTCTTTCTCTAGGTCTCAAAGCACTACAGAATATTTAAATTTGAAATCAGAATGAGTACAAGGAGAGGCTGAACATATGGGCTAATTGCTCATCTTACTCAAAGATTCCCTGAATTCCAGTGTTTTATCCAGCTTTGAGACCTATGGAAAAATAGCTGATCATGTAATTCTTGAAATTTTTGCATAGTCATTTGCTTGTCAGTCTCTCTCACTGGACTGTCAGGTCCTAGAAGGCAGTAATCATATCTTTTTGGTTCACCCTTGAGTCCCCAGTCCCTTGCTCAGTACCTGACAGAGAAGGTGCTCAAATGCTTGTTACGTGATTAAGTCATAATTCCCTCACTTGATCCTTCAGTGGTTCTGCAGACTCATTTTAGGTCCATCCAAAATTTGTACTGGTGTATGGCTCTCGTTGTTACAAAGGTGTAAATTGCACTGACCTGAAGTCAGCTTCCTTTTAACTGCTGTAGGTTATACAACTTTGGCAGAATATCGTTTTGTTTTTTTTATTTTGAGATGGAGTCTCACTCTGTCGCCCAGGCTGGAGTGCAGTGGTGCGATCTTGGCTCACTGCAACCTCTGCCTCGCAGGTTCAAGTGATTCTCCTGCCTCAGACTCCTGAGTAGCTGGGACCACAGGCGCGTGCCACCTCGCCCAGCTAATTTTTTGTATTTTTAGTAGAGACGGGGTTTCACCATGTTAGCCAGGATGGCCTCGATCTCCTGACCCCATAATCCGCCCGCCTCGGCCTCCCAAAGTGCTAGAATTACAGGCGTGAGCCACTGCACCCAGCCCAGAATATGTGAATAAAAGGTGAGATGACTGCTAAACTATCTATTCCACCCCACTACTGATGAACAGTAACCTTCACCAGAGCAATCTCAATGATGGAGGTAAACACACATAAAGGAGCAGAATGAACGTACTACTGCTGTAATCAGAAAATAAAGTACTATTTGTGGGTGGAAAATGAGGAGACAGTGAATGGACAACTGTAGTTGCCTTTTCTCTCATAGATGCTATCCTTTTATTAAGTGCAGAGCAGTTAACACATCAGTACATGAATGTGTCATTTACGTTTCTAGCAGACTTAACGTACTCAGATCTAAAGCATCTACTTTCTAATTTTGAGAGTTGCTATAGCAGACAACTCAGCTCTATAGATAGAATAAAAAGGCTTGTGTTTTCTATTACATATACCTGTCCAAGCTGTGATGTCTATCCCTTGAAAAGTGCTTCTGGGAACAATTCCTCAGATCCTACTGGTTTTGTGATTAAAACAAACAAATTTTCATTTTTAGTTTTGTGAGCTCCCTTGTTTTTGGTTACTAATTATTAGTCTGCCTCAAACAGGTATTCTGCACTTGGCAAAAATATAGTCTCTTTTTGACCCATTTCCTAATCACTGCTCTCAGTGACAATACCCTCGTGAAAGGCAGGAAAAATTTACACTGCTTTGTGTATATAACTCATTTGAGATGGTCACATTTCTCTTATCACAGATATGCCTAATCTAGCCTTTATACAAAAGGCTTGGCTGCTCAACTGTGCTAATAAAACTCTGGAGATTCCTCACTTCCAGTCATTTAAACCTTTACACATTTTCTATAGCCAGGCACAGTGCTGGGGATAAAAATCATATACCTTCATCCACTCAACTTCCCTCACCCTTTTTTTCCCCCGCAAAACAGAGTCTCACTCTGTCACCCAGGCTGGTGTGCAGTGGTGCGATCGTGGCTTACTGCAACCTCCACCTCCCAGGTTCAAGCGATTCTCCTGCCTCAGCCTCCCGAGTAGCTGGGAATAGAGGTGTACACCACCATGCCCAGCTAATTTTTGTATTTTTAGTAGAGACAGGGTTTCACCATGTTGGCCAGGCTGGTCTTGGATTCCTGACCTCATCATCCACCTGCCTTGAGCCTCCCAAAGTGCTGGGATTACAGGCCTGAGCCACCACGCCCAGTCTCCTTCACCCTTTTAAACCAAACTGAGATGTTTCTATTTTTTTTTTCAATAGTTTATGAGATGCTTCTAAATGGTACAAATATAAATTTCAGGAAGCAAAGATGTGACTGCTTAAATAACTAAGCCTACTTTTAAAACTTAGTTTTAAGAAACTAAGCTTAAATAAGGCAATCACTTATCACTTACAAGCTGATGAAATACTGAAGTCTTCTGCAAACCACACCCATAGCAATCTGGAAGTAGTCTGCAATACTATTGTTAAATGACCAGAGATGTCATAGGAGAATGTTGGAAGTAAACCTTACTTTAAACCATGTCTTTTACAATTTTTTCTGCCCAAGCTGGAAAGTGTTCACTTCCAAGATGCCTACCATTTAAAAACCCTCCTTCCATCAACCGCATAAACCTTCAAACTTGGTTTACAACTCTCAGCAACAATTTTTTTTTAACCTTTTTTTTTTTTTGAGATGGAGTTTTGCTCTTCTTGCCCAGGCTTGAGTGCAATGGCACGATCTCGGCTCACTGCAACCTCTGCCTCCTGGGTTCAAGCAATTCTCCTGCCTCAGCCTTCTGAGCAGCTGGGATTACAGGTGTGTGCCACCACGCCCGGCTAATTTTTTGTATTTTTAGTAGAGACGAGATTTCACCATGCTGGCCAGGCTGGTCTTGAACTCCCAACCTCAGGTGATCCACCTGCCCCAGCCTCCCAAAGTGCTGGGATTACAGGCATGAGCCACCATGCCCGGCCTAACCTATTTTATAGTTAATAGAGACGGGGTTTTACTATGTTGCCCAGACTGGTCTCGCACTCCTGGACTCAAGTGATCCTCCTGCCTTGGCCCCTGCCAAAGTGCTGGAATCCCAGCCATCAGTTACCATGCCTGGCCCCAGCAACAATTTTTAATTCCATATTTTATCTTGCACATAGTAAAGGTCTCTGTTAACCAGATGTTTAACGGCTTCCCTCGATTAATACTCAATACACCAATATCTAGGAGGGTCTTTCTCCCTTCATGAATATACAGTAGCGATATACATATAGACTTTAGAAAAAGTAATAATCTGACTCTTCTACCAAATATAAATGTGATTATAATCATATAATCCAGGCTTTCTCAGGGAACATTTTTCAGGGCTAATTTCTCAAAACTGTAACTAAATTATCCAAGACAAAGTCTTATATTCCATGAATACATTTCTCGAAATCAAGATTTGCAAATTCAACCATTAGACACTTTGTGGGAAACCAGCTCATGTTTAATTGTGACATTTTAAAATTGTACAGGTATTTTGACATCTGCCCCCCACATTTAGTCTCTCAAAATGACAGGAAAACAACCAATCACAGGTTTAATACATTGACCCCTTCAGTTCCTATATGCAGCACCCAATATTCCTTTGAAATATGAAATAGACCTGGCAGTGGCCAACAGTAAATTTCTGCCCGCTGCCTCCCACCACCAACGGAGTTGAAAAGTTCAGGTTTAGTGTTGTTGTAGTGGCACTTGTCCAGAATTGGTACCTCCCCATAGTTGGGGGACTTTAAATGTACCAATGAAAATAGCTTTTTCCCCTTCAAGGGGAAGAAAGAAAATCACTCCTCAAAACCCAGCAGATCTGGCTGTGAGGTCTTTCCTCCTATCTCATCTCTTCAGGCTTTTTTTTTTTTTTTTTTTTTTTTTTTTTTTTTGC
The DNA here is from genome assembly GCF_000001405.40 of Homo sapiens. Taxonomy (NCBI): domain Eukaryota; kingdom Metazoa; phylum Chordata; class Mammalia; order Primates; family Hominidae; genus Homo; species Homo sapiens. The sequence goes on along the minus strand of NC_000011.10, from coordinate 125,584,227 downwards.
AGTGGAGCAAGAGAGACCAAAACCTAACCTGAGTTACAAGAAACAAGACAGTAATGGCTATAAAGGGAGTGACCAGGAGCAACTGGGACACTCCTTTACCTCCCATATCCAATGTATGTGTTTCACAGAAAAACAACAAAATTAACAAATTCACAAAATACAACAGCTAGAATTACAAAATCCATTCATCCAAGGGTGGTAGAAGGCAGGATGGAAAGGTGGAAGGGTAAATGGCACAGGGAGAAAAACAAAGTGTTCCAATCAGTCCAGGCACAGGGACTGGCAAATGCTAGAAAATAGCTGCAGAAAAACCTGTGGTCCTTTCAGACTCACGGTGATGTTAAAAATCCACACACTGGTGTCAGGGAACATTCTGCCTTACGTGCACCAGAGACAAAAATTTCAATTCCTCAGAGAGAAGGGAATACGCAGAGGGCCCTTGGCAGAGCGGGTCCTGCCTTCCCTGGCAGGCGGGAGGTGAACAGGGAAAAGAGCTGCCACAGCTTCTTCCAATCCCGCCCATCCCCTTTGGATGGCAGGCAACTCAGTGACCTGCAGTAGCCTTCAGTTTGGCAGGCGACGGATGCGGTGAAGGGAACTTCTCTGCAGAAGTAGAGCTGCTCAGGGCCGACTGCAGGTAGACTGTCTTGTGGAAGAGTCTGTTGCTTAAGAAGACCACCAAGGAGAAGAGGCGCAACTGGAAGAGACTAAAAGGCAAGAAACCCAACTTGTTAGCTCCCCAGTTACTCAAAATTATTTCCGTTGTTTGACAACTTGACATTAAATTTAAAACTACACAGGGAAAGACAAGACAAATGAAACTTGATCAAGGAAATACAGATATTAGATACATGGATGGAACAGGCAACTAAAGAATACATTGGAGCCGGGCGTGGTGCCTCATACCTGTAATCCCAGCACTTTGGGAGGCTGAAGCAGGTGGATCACTTGAGAAAAAAATTAGCAGGGCATGGTAGCATGCGCCTGCAATCCCAGCTACCCAGGAGGCTGAGGCAGGAGAATCGCTTGAACCTGGTAGGCGGAGGTTGCAGTGAGCCGAGATCACGCCACTGCACTCCAGCTTGGGTGACAGAGCGAGACTCCGTCTCAAAAAAAAAAAGAATGCATTGGGCCCTGCTGCTGCCATGAATGTAATGCAGTCACCAGCGTTGAAGTATTGTGGCTCTTACAGGAAATAGTTATATTTTAGATTAACTTTGATTTGAGAAGTACTTTTCTATGGCTGACTTCGGGGTACAGACTTCAAGCTATGTCTGAAGGTATCATATGCTATCTGTGGTTGCAGGAAGAAGAGTTTCAAAAGAAAGTCAAATATTCCTCTTAAGATAAACAGTGAGCTGTGCTGTATAGCAAGAGCATACAAAAACCCAAAGCAGACCTAAGTCTCTAATACAAGTATCCACACTGACTTAACCAAAATTGATCAAAGATGAATTGAGCTTTTCTTTGAAGTAATAAAACTTTTAGAATGCTATTATTATTGCTAAAAACTCATTTTAAAGTATATTTTACTACTGTTATCAATAAACTCATGTGGCCAGGTCATACAGCCCTCTACTTGAATATGTATAATGGGATCGGTTTTGGAAATATATATATACTCATGTGCATATATGCATGGAGAAAAGTTTGGGTTATATCCCAGAAGTGTTTCTCTCTCATTAAACCTTATATTAAGATTTTCCTACAGTAAGAATTTTTTTTTTTAAAAAGCCTCACTGACATAACTGGTGTTACAGCCCCAACCCTTTACACAGCAAAAATTTCATCACTGGCTAATACTTACTATGCTTTGCCAGGGGTCTTTGCTTCATTGGCGCTGATAATGAATAAAGGAAAGAGGATAGAGAAAAGGCAGCCACTGTTTAAAAAAAAAAAAAAGAAATAATTAGTCACCTTCATAACAGACATGACTTTGAAGAAGATATTAGAAGCTCCAAGTTCTTTTGCTTCCAGTGTAAACATTATGGCTTGATGAAACCTCAATATTTCAAACATTTTTTTTTTTGAGATGGAGTCGCGTTCTTGTCGCCCAGGCTGGAGTACAGTGGCAAGATCTCAACTCACCGCAACCTCCGCCTCCTGTGTTCAAGCGATTCTCCTGCCTCAGCCTCCCAAGTAGCTGGGATTACAGGTGTGTGCCACCACGCCTGGCTAATTTTTGTATTTTCAGTAGAGATGGGATTTCACCATGTTGGCCAGGCTGGTCTCGAACTCCTGACCTCAGGTAATCTGCCCACCTCAGCCTCCCAAAGTGCTGGAATTACAGGCGTGAGCCGTGGCACCCAGCCCATCAAACACATCTTTCAAAAAGAACAGAAGATTTTTCTAAGCACTGGGCATGTTTAACATTGCTGCAGGGCTGGGCATGGTAGCTCATGTCTATAATCTGAGCACTTTGGGAGGCCAAGGTGGGTGGATCACTCGATGTCAGGAGTTCAAGACCAGCCTGGCCAACATAGTGAAACCCCATCTCTACTAAAAACACAAAAATTAGCTAGGCGTGATGGTGGGCGCCTGTAATCCCAGCTACTTGGGAGGCTGAGGCAGGAGAATCAGTTAAACCCAGGAGGCGGAGGTTGCAGTGAGCTGAGATTACACCACTGCACTCTAGCCTGGGCGACAGAGTGAGACTCTGTCTCAAAAAAAAAAAAAAAAAAAAAAAAAAAGAATAATTGCTTCAGGAGGCAACATAGAAAAAGAATATGGGATATAGGGACATTCAGACTAGATCTTCATGCTAACAAATGTAGAAATACCCTGCAGGTCTCCTGATGGACAAATGATGATGTAGAATGCGAAACAGAACGAAGCAAACAAAAGGCACTGACTTCATGAATTTTTATTTTTACTAGTCTCCTTCAAATCCCTGTAGCCAAATTACCTGATAATATATGAGGACTGCATTGCTGTGAGAAAAGCCAAGGGCAAACCAAACCCAAAGTAGTAAGGCCAATTCCTTTCTATGTTAGACAACCGCTGGTGCATTTCAATTCCTAAAACAAGAAAGCCAATACAATTAGATATTATATTTCCTTTTAGTCAAGTGACTAAGTAACTATGGTAGACAAACCATGAGTTTTAGGTACAGATTTTATTATTATTATTATTATTATTATTATTATTATTTGAGATGGAGTCTTGCTTTGATGCCCAGGCGGGAGTGCGGTGGTGCAATCTCAGCTCACTGCAACCTCCACCTCCTGGTTTCAAGCGATTCTCCCACCTCAGCCTCCCAAGTAGCTGGGATTACAGGCGCCTGCCACCTCGCCCAGCTAATTTTTGTATTTTTAGTAGAGACAGGGTTTCACCATATTGGCCAAGCTGGTCTTGAACTCCTGACCTCAGGCGATCCACCCACCTTGGCCTCCCAAAGTGTTGGGATTACAGGTGTGAGCCACCACACCCAGCCTAGGTACAGATTTAGAACAGAGCTACAGCATATAAATTAGAAGTGTACAAATCTGATATAAAGCATGCAAAGTTTCTTAGAATTCTATAATCGTAATTTCAAAGCTGACAGGCTAAGTGAATTAAGAATTTCAGCACCAGCATCCTTTGTCAGGATTAGTCTGGAACTAAGCAAGATAGCAAATCAAAAGGATGCCATCCTGTAAGTATCAGTTAACCTCTTTCAACCACGCACACCCTGGTAAATATCTGAAGGTCTTTCTAAAACACCCCCAAAAGGATCCAGATGCTGACATCAATTTGACTTCTCTAATTTAGAGCAACTCATGCTCATTTATGCCATCTTACAACCCAGTCAGAGATATACCATGTTAAGCACCAAAAAGATAATGCCATACTACCACATCCCCCAGCCTCAAAGTTGAGAGTTAAACCCACTAAGCCGAAGGTAAGCTCCCTCTTGCCAATGAGGCTGCTTCCCTCAAAGGATTGTTTGCCAAAAGCCTGACTATGAGTAGTTTAAGAAGTCTGCTTAGCAGTAGCATTTCCAAACTGGGCCTCCATTTTCTGGATTTCTTTAGATGGACTTACCTTTATTGAACCAACGATATTCAAAGCAGTACAGTGAGTAGAGAAGGGACATATGCAGGAGACTAACCAGCTGACCGACAAGATGGATGGGAAAGAGACTCACAAACATTCCCTGAAGAACAAATATGGAAAATCTTAATCCCAAAGCCTCGGAAACCTAGCACCATTCACCTGTCACTCTCCAATCACTGTCTGAGATAGCTTCCTAGCTGCTTCTCAAGTTTCTAAAAGGCCGAGTGCAGGGTGGGCACAGTGACTCATTCCTGTAATCCCAACAGTTTGGGAGGATGAGGCGGGAGGATCTCTTGAGGCCAAGAGTTAAAGACCAGACTGGGCAACATACTGAGACCCTGTCTCTACAACAAGATTTTTAAAATGAGCATGATGGCATGTGCCTGTAGTCCCAGCTACTCAGGAGGCTAAGGCAGGAGGATTGCTTGAGCCCAGAGTTTGAGGCTGCAGTGAGGTATGATTGTGCCACTGTACTCCAGCCTAGGTGGCAAAATAAGACCCTGTCTTTTATTTATTTATTTATTTTTGAGACAGTTTTGCTCTTGTCGCCCAGGCTGGAGTGCAATGGCGCGATCTCGGCTCACTACAATCTCTGCCTCCTGGGTTCAAGCGATTCTCCTGCCTCAGCTTCCCGAGTAGCTGGGATTACAAGCATGTTGCCACCACGCGCAGCTAATTTTTGTATTTTTAGTAGAGATGGGGTTTCACCATGTTGGCCAGGCTGGTCTCAAATGCCTGACCTTAGGTGATCCGCCCACCTCGGCCTCCCAAAGTGCTGGGATCACAGGCATGAACTACTGCGCCCAGCCGACCCGTCTGTCTCTTTAAAAAAAAAAAAAAATTAGGCATAACTATAAAAAGAAAAAAAGTTTCCACCTGGCAGGACTGGAGAATAACCAGAGTAGCAGAAAAAAGCAGGTAAATTCATGTTTCTTATAATTTTATAATGTAATTTTAAAATTCTCATTTCCGTGGGGAAAAAAAGATTTAAAAATCATTACCTCCCACCAGCATATATATAATACTCTGTATAAATATAATACTCTGTCTTTGTGAAGTTCTCTCTAGTGAAACAGTTTTTCTTTTTAATAAAGCTGCCCATATGCCCAGAAGGTCAGTCTCACCTGAATGAGGAAAAGAGCCTGCAGCAAAAGGTTGAAGAGCATGTCAGCAATTATTTTGCTGACACTAGGGAATGGGTGAGGCTTCCTCCCTGATACCTCAAATGCCAGGTCAGCTATATCCTGTAACAGAGAAAGTGTACCAAAACATGAATTAAATGGCCTTGATATACATCCCCAAAGCTAAGGCCACTAGTCCGCCACTAGAGCTGCCAGTTAAGAAAAGGCTTATTTAAAAATAAGCTGGGCACGATGGCATGTGCCTATAGTCCCAGCTACTCAGGAGGCTAAGGTAGGAGGATTGCTGCCTTATGCCGTGGCTCACGCCTATAATCCCAGCACTTTGGGAGGCCGAGGCAGGCAGATCAGCAGGTCAGGAGTTTGAGACCAGCCTGGCCAACATGGTGAAACCCTGTCACTAATAAAAATACAAAAAAAATTAGCCAGGCATGGTGGCACGTGCCTGTAGTCCCAGCTACTTGGAAGGCTGAAGCAGGAGAATTGCTTGAACCCGGGAGGCAAAGGTTGCAGTGCACTCCAGCCTGGGCGACAGAGTGAGACTGTCTCAAAAAAAAAAAAAAAAAAAAAAAAGCCAAAACGAAAAAGAAAAGGCACCAGACACCTGCCAATGAGATGCTGAGACAATAATTCCATTCTGTAAGAACACAAAGATCAGCTACTGGCTACCTGGCCAAGAAACATTAAGGCTGAAAAACAGGTCCCCCTACATGCCCACTAACTTCACAGGCTGAAACTTGTCACCTGTCAGCCAATCATGCTGCGGGACCCAGACTCCATTCTGCCCTGGACCTACCTGAAACCAAATGGCATTCACCACTTTGCTAAGCACAAACAAGGGGAGCACCCAAAGAGCACTGAAAATTGACGTGAGGAAGAATTCCAGCCACGACCAAACATCTCCATGTAGTGATGGGTCACCTAAGAAAGAGGAAACGAGTTACTAGAAATGGAGAAATGGAAATCCAGAAGACCAAATGCGGAACCCCCATCTCGTGACTATTCTCTGTCTCCTCCTGGATCTTTCTAGTTCTTGCCAGCACATCACTATACCTATCTCAAAGAGTCTAACTCATAATAGACGCACCACATTCTGGCCACAATTCCAATTCAAAGAAACCATAGATATGTGCTGCTTGACACAAACCTGCTTACATGATGGTAACGAGATGCCACAGTGATTACCAGTACGCTATCTGCAGGATACCATCTGGGTTTAAATCTCAGCTTTGCCTCTTACTAATGGTTTAACCTTGGTAACTTGCATTTCCTCATTCATAAAATGGATAGAACAACAGTACCCATTCTTAAAGGGCCTCTAGGAGAATAACGAAATATAAATTTTTAAAAAGAATAAAACAACAAAAAAGAAAATAAACAGTGAAAGCTCCTGGTACACAGGAAATGTTCAGTAAACTGAGGGAGACTGAAACATCATCTCCCACTCTGTCCCCAACAGACAAGGAGCAGGGTATACACTTACCGATAATTCGGGCTGTTACCGACTGAAGCACAGGAATAAATACTCGATAAAACAAGAGGAGACTGAACTAAAGAAAAGAAGCAACAAGGCAAACATCAAAATCCAGTCTTTAAAACAGGAGCTTCAATTTTTAGTGTAATGATTTTATAGATGGGAGTGACTTTTATAAATCAGGAGGCCTAGGCCGGGCGCGGTGGCTCATGCGCGGTGGTTCACTTTGAGAGGCCAAGGCAGGCAGATCACTTGAGGTCAGGAGTTCGAGACCAGCCTGGCCAAGATGGTGAAACCCCGTCTCTACTAAAAATACAACAATTGGTCGGGTGTGGTGGTGCATGCCTGTAATCCCAGCTACTGGGAAGGCTGAGGCAGGAGAATCGCTTGAACCCGGGAGGCAGAGGTTGCAGTGAGCCAAGATCATGCCACTGCACTCCAGCCTGAGCAACAGAGCGAGCCTCCATCTCAAATAAATACATAAATAAATAAATAAAATAAATCAGGAGGCCTGAAAAAGCACCAAAACTGGATCCATTTCTATTTCCCAACACTCCAATTGAGAGATACAAACTTGATATTGCCTATAAAACAATGAAACTTTTGGGGGCATACAGGAACATTTCAAGTAGTATTCAGGCCAAAATACAGGCATGTACTAAGTACACAGGAATACATATTAATTAAATTTAAAACTAACATCTGAAAACATCTGTGAATTGTTTAGATTAAGAAGTGATGAATTACTCTAAATTCTAAGTCAAAGGAAATATTTATCCATTCTTCAAAGTACCCAAATTTCAGTTAAGCCTGCACTGGGATTCTCAGTAAATGGTAGGCAATCTTTTCTGCTATAGGTTTCAATGCAAATTAACTCTTGTTGATCACTATAAGCAGAAGCAGGGAGAACCTTGTTCTTGTCTAGCCGTATCTGCCCTTCCCGAGTCCCCATAGTTGCTGTTAGCATTTTAAAATGTCTAGACAGTGTCAAGAGAAACTGCTACCTCTAATACTTGTGAATGAGTCATTTTAGAAACAAAATTCAAGTGTATATTCAGGGCTGTGACGTTTGCTTACATATAAGTGTGCTTTCCTGAGTGGGAATAAAATCTCTGCAGATGCACAGACTCCTGAGTTATATTTCTAAGTGTACATCAGCAGATGAAAACTATTTGTCTCAGTGTTTCAAGAAAACAGTTCATAGCTATCAACCCAGCAACAATCTGAAGATGCTTATAAGGCACCTGGAATTTAAAGAACTTACCCAGAACACTCCACCATTCCAAGCACAACACTGGAAAATTCTACTAACAATACGTGGCTCACTGGAAAAGATCACATGTATTTAGTTTATAAAGCATAAGTTATTTCCTAATTGTCATTCAGTAGTTCATTTTATATCTTATCTTTTGTGGGTACTGTATTATTTTTCAGTGCCTCATGTTCTCCCAATGTTCTAATGTCAGTCAATGAGAAAAGACTAAAAAAATGGTCAAGCGCAGTGGCTCACGGCTGTAATCCTAACACTTTGGGAGGCCGTGGTAGGCGATCAACTGAGGTCAGGAGTTCGAGACCAGCCTGGCCAACATGGCAAAACCCTGTCTCCACTAAAGAATATAAAAAATTAGCCAGGCGTGGTGGTGCGCACCTGTACTTCCAGCCAGCCGGTTCGCTGAGGCAGAAGAATTGCTTGGACCTGGGAGGCAGAGGCTGCAGTAAGCTGAGATTGCACCACGGCAATCTCAGGTGACAGCTTGGTGACAGGGCAAGAATCCGTCTCAAAAAAAAAAAAAAATGTGTATATATATGGAACCAGCTTTTAAAAGAAAAATAATTTATTTTCTAAAGTCTGATGATGGAAAAGATTAAGAGAAAGTGTGGGGCCAGGGTTCTTCTATTAATACATAAATCCACACAGGCTTCCCTAGAAGTATCTATCAAACCAAATAATATTTTGCGATTCTCTATTCAGCTTTCTGATTTAACACCATGACATTTTTAGCAAGGATTATTGTTAGACCCTAGTTTAAGTCAATGTTGTTGGGGGGAAATCACTTGCAACATTTTTCTGGGAAAAAGCACAAAAGAAATAAAATGGCACTGAAACATCAAGTCACTATGTAAGGTCTTCCCTCCCTTGGACATTTTGATATCAGGCATGCACTCCTTACCTCTCTTGCTTCCGCTCTATACTCTGGGCTCTTCTCTGTGCCAAGACACTACTTGCCCTTCTTCGACGCTGCTCCTCTCTCTTTTGCTGGATTCGAGCATCTAGCTTTGAGATGGTACAAATACCCCAGATGGAGTCTTTGATTCCCTATAGAAAAGGCTATCATTATTATTATTATTATTTGAGACAGGGTCTTGCTTTGTCACCCAAGCTACAGTGCAGTGACTCAATCATAGCTCACTGCAGCCTCCAACTCCTGGGTTCAAATGATCCTCCTGCCTCAGCCTCCCAAAGAGCTATGAGTACAGATGTGCACCACCACACCTGGCTTTTAAATTTTTCTTCTGTAGCGATGGGGATCTCACCATGTTGATCAGGCTGGTTTCATACTCCTGTCCTCAAGCAATCCTCCTGCCTAAGCCTCCCAAAGGCTAAGAATTCACTCATGCATCCATCTCCCACCCACGTACTGAGTATCTTCAATAAGCTATATATTGTCATATAGAAATGCTCAAGAAGCTTATAACTTAGTAGGAAAAGCACACAAGTAAACCAAAAAATTACATTAAAGGTTTTTTTTTAAAAAAGTTTTTAAATATGAAACATTTCATGAATTTGTGTGTCATGCACAGGAGCCATGGTAATCTCTGTATTGTTCCAATTTTAGTACATGTGCTGCAGAAGCAAGCACACATAGTTTAGTAAGTGCCACAACAGATGTATGGCCCAAGTAGAGTGTTAGCACTGGGGCATTCAACTTCATGAGAAGGCAGAAAAAATTATTCTGGAAGCAATGGCCAAGCTGGATTTAAGAATGGATAGCATTCTCGTCTACTGTTATCAGACAAAACGAATTTTAGAAATAATAGCTGGAATACAGAGAAATGGGCAAGTTGATGTATTATCTGTTAACAGGAACATAAATTGGCACAGTGTGCCTTTGATCTTTTTTTGTCTGAGTAATTTTTACTCTTAATTTTGCTTTTAACTCAGGAAACTCCAACTATCTAAGATAGTTAAGTTCAAATGGCTGAGGGCCTAGTACATGCTAGGATGATAGGATCCCCACCTCTAAGACATCTACAGTCCAGTGGGGCAGACAAACATGTAAATAGCACACTGTAGAACCAACACAGGGTTGAATTTTTTTTTTTTTTTAAACAGAGTCTTACTCTGTCGCCCAGGCTGGAGTGCAGTGGCATGATCTTGGCTCATTGCAACCTCTACCTCCCAGGTTCAAACGATTCTCCTGCCTCAGCCTCCTGAGTAGCTGGGATTATAGGCATGTGCACCACGCCTGGCTAAATCTTTTTTGTATTTTTAGTAGAGAGGGGGTTTTGCTGTGTTAGCCAGGCTGGGAGGGTTGAAATTTTACAGCACATGAATGGCAAGACAACAAGGTAAAGATGTTAAAAGTAGATCATATGCTGCTGGGCACGGTGGCTCATGCCTGTAATCCTAGCACTTTGGGAGGCTAAGGTGGGCAGATCACCTGAGGTCAGGAGTTCAAGACCAGCCTGGCCAACATGGTGAAACTCCGTCTCTACTAAAAATATAAAAATTAGCCAGGCGTGGTGGTGTGTGCTTGTAATCCCAGCTACCTGGGAGGTTGAGGCAGGAGAATCACTGGAACCCAAGAAGTGGAGGTTGCAGTGAGCCGAGATTGCACCACTGCCCTCCAGCCTGGGCGACACAGTGAGACTCTGTCAAAAAAAAAAAAAAAAAAAAAAGGAGATCATATGCATAAAGTCTTTTTAGACCTTCTAAGATACTCTTTCAATCCTCCCTCTTTTACTCAAAAGTAATAACCTTTTTACTTTCTTGCCCTGCTATAGTGCACTGGTACCATCATAGTTCACTACTGCTTCATACTCCCAGACTCAAGCAATCCTGCCTCCTTGGTCTCCCAAAGTGCTGAGATTACAGCTGTGAGCCACCTCCCCTGGCCATAAAGGTAACCTTTTAAACTCTTCCACTAAAGAAAGAACCTCCCCACTCCAAGAATTGGCCTCTTTCATGCTAGTGGAAATATAAGAGGGGGTTACAAGTGAGACATTATTAGGCTTCAGACATACATTAAAAGTAGCAGACTTTTGTGCTATTGGTAATTTGGATGACTGGGTCCTAACCAGATCTTTATAGGGCATTTTCCTAGAGTATCCTCCTCACGTGCACAGCTTGTAGAATGGGGAGAAAAAAGGTTCTGGCAGGTGCAGTGGCTCACTCCTATAATCCCGGCACTTTGGGAGGACAAGGCGGGTGGATCACTTGAGCCCAGGAGTTTGAGACCAGCCTGGGCAACATGCCAAAACTTCGTCTCTACTTTTAACAGAAAAATTTTTAAATAAATGAAAAATTGGGAAAAAAAAAAGATAGGTTCTCTAATTTAAATCTGAATTAATTAGTTTAGGTGATAGTACTGAACCAATGTTCATTTCTTAGTTGACAAATATACCACGGTTATATGTTAACATTAAGGGAAGCTGATGAAGGACATACAGGAACTCTCTGTACTACCTTATAACTTTTCTGTAAATCTAAACACATTCCAAAATAAAAAGTTAAAAAAAAAAAAAAAAAAAGCTCTGAAGCCAAGATGATTAGGGTCCCAATACTGGAGACATCCACCGAAGAGGTCTTCCAAGCACCTGCAAGACTGTCTGCAAGATGTAGAACAATACCTATTTCTTGAGTAGTGTGGTCTAGAATAACAACCTTTATGTAAAGAACCCAAGAAATATGATAAAAGTTCCAAAAACCCTAAAGGATTTCCTAGATGGTTCCTTCAGCAAAAAAAAAAAAGGCCGAGAGATGAATTCCTATAAACAAGATGTACTCACTCTGGCAAGGTCCTGGAGAAAGGTTTTGACACTGTCAGCCATCTCTTCACCACCAAACTATCAACTACACACAGGAGAGAGAAGTGTCCCCAAATCTCTCATCATGAAGGATCTGGAAACAGATGGAACATAATGGAGGCAAATATTTATTTTAAAGATAAGTTACTTCATGCACATTTCCACATGATGACCTCACATACTTGTAGCTCTAGTAAGATAGCAGTAGATTCTAGCACTAATAGAGTGAATCAAGTGAAGCTATTCCTGTACAGCTGAAACCTAAAATCCCTATTTTTTTTCTAAAACACTCACCACCCTTTCATTTTTACAAGGGGTTTTACATTTTACACCCTCTCATTTTTACATTTTACATTTTTACAATGTGCTCTTGACCAGTAACCTCCTCTGAGCCTCAATGCCCCTAACTATCCCTCCTACACATTCTAAGCACTTTTGAGGGTTTGGAGATGGAAGATAATTACATTTCAATATCTTCTTAAGCAATTTTTATGTTTGCTGGATACCTTCAAATACTTGAATGAAAATACAAGAGCAAGATAAAAGTTCTTACAAAAATTACTAAATACATGCTTCAGTCATACAGAGCCCTCGGGCACAGTAAAGTTTAAGGTATGACATGAAATTGCGTACCAAAACCTCCAAATAGGTCTTTTTTATTTTATTTTATTTTTTGAGACAGAGTCTCGCTCTTGTTGCCCAGGCTGGAGTGCAACACTGGGCTCGGCTCACTGCAACCTCCACCTCCCAGGTTCAAGTGATTCTCTTGCCTCAGCCTCCCGAGTAGCTGAGATTACAGGAACCCGCCACCACGCCCAGCTAATTTTGTGTATTTTTAGTAGAGATGGGGTTTCGCCATGTTGGCCAGGCTGATCTCAAACTCCTGATCTCAGGTGATCCATCCATCTCAGCCTCCCAAAGTGCTAGGATTACAGGCATGAGCCACCACGCCCGGCTGGTCTTTTCTGTTTTCTAACTTTAAATATATACAGATACAATTTTAATAAACATGCAATAAATAGTGGATTTTAAACTAGGCCTCAAAAAAGTTCATATGTATAAACAGTCTTTAAAACAGTAAGGCTTTCCCATTTTATTTCTCAGGTGAATGGGATATCTAGTTTCAAAAATTAAGAACTTGAGAGTTCATGTGAGAAATACTTGTAATTAATATACTATTCTCTCATTTAATCTGTGGTGACTTCTAAGATGAATAGAAAACCCACTTTCAGGCATTTTTTAAGAACCTGATATTCTAAAGTTCTCAACACTCACTCAATCAAGTTGCAGTATTCTCAGTTTAAGAGGTATGACCATAATACAAAGACAGAATTTCACAAGCAGCTTGTACAAACCTTAAATTTCAAAATATAAGCACACTTTCCCCGACCTTTAACCACTTCACCAAACTGCTCCTCATTGACCCAACTGGACTAATGCCATTCAGAACTGGAAGAGCAGGGGATATGGCAGTAGGAAGGCAATTTGCCCAACATTGTATATACCCTCTGCTCCTTAGGTCAAATCCTACACAGATAGGCTCACTTCGGATAGAAGTCTCTAGGGTAAGAAACTTCTGTTAATACTCCCACTGTTTCCTCCTGAAAACAAACACCTCAGAGTTCCAGTCGCGTAGGTACAGCCATACAGACATGTTCTCAGGGTTGAGGTGAGGGCAGCTGAGCTAGATAACTAGCAAAGGCTCAGTGATATGCACGACACTAGTTTGTAAAGACTCACAGATCCACTCCCGTAACCTGCCACTGGCTCATCTATAAATTAAGGGTACTAAACTTCTTCATAGGTTTCTTGCATCTAATAGGGCACAACAGCATGAAAAAAACTTAAAATTCTATATAAACACAACCCCACCAAAGTGAGCCAGCTTGGAGGTTTAAGGAAGCCCATTACTTGGCCTGGATTTCTCACAGGGAACTGACAGGGAACCTGAAACATTCTGTCTCAGTCCACAACAGCTGTGTCATTTGATCCCTGGCCAGCTAACACCTGGTTTCTGCATGTACCAAGTGGCAGGACACCTCCTAAGAGTGACCTATGAAGGATAAATCACTTCACTTTTATACTTAGATCCTAACATCCTTCCTACAGGAATATTTGGTGAATTACCCAGTCTGACAAATAGCTGAGGCATGGGGAAAAATAACCTGCCACAATTTGAGAACACACACACAGACTGAATGACACAGGGGGAATCCTACAGCTGAGCTAGACAGATGAAGATGCATCTGGCTCATTTAACAGGTGAGAGAACCCAGTCTCAGAAGTTAAATGACTTGCCCAGACTGACAGCAAATGAATGGCAGCTACAGTGAACCTCAGAACCCGGTGTTCTAACGTTACCTCGGTCGAGACTTGTTTTTACTTAAGCTTTGCAATGAAGATTTTTGTTTTAACACGAGCATCCCATGGACAAATAACCTCTCAAACCTGGAAATACAAATGCCATTAAATTCCCAACAGTCATTAGAAGCTAATAAGCATCTGCTGAGACACACTTTTATTTCTAAGTCACTAAACCCAAGTCTCGGCAAACAGGAAGCTGTCGTAGCCCACTCCAGGTACAGGGAAGGTAAACATCCTCACTTCCCACGGGGCTCCACGGGCTGCCTCTGAGTCCACGGGTCCATTCAGGCCCATCTCCCCACAGCTCCTAGGCAATTCGGCAGAAAACTGGTCTCCCTAGGCACAACTGTGCACGAGGTACGGATCACGCGAGGTGCGGATCACGCACGCTCCGGGTCACACAGGGAGCTAAAGATAGCTGCGCCGCACCTGGGGCAGCCTCGCCCGGGGATGTGCCCGGCCCCGTCCCGCTCCCTCCGGCCCCTTCCCATAAGGGGTCCTCGCCGGTAGCCCCACCAACCCACGCTCGGGCCCTGCCTGCCCTCCCGGTCCCTGCCACTCAGAATGGGCGGCGCGGCGGCCCCGAGGCCTAGCTCGGCTGAGCCCGCACCTACCCACAGCTCCGCCGCCGCGGCTCCGGCCCTGCCCCTAGCCCACCGCAGGCCAGCTCCGCCGGGGCGCTTCCAGGGCCGGGGCCGCTGCGCCCGCACTGGGCATGCCCGGGCCGCACGGGGCCGCTGGGAAGTCGGGCGAGCGCGAAGAACCAGCCGGCACCACGAGGCGGGGCCCAGAGCCGAAGGGGTGGGCCGCGCGGAGCGACGGAGACTGGGAAATGTAGTCAGTCCGGGGTCCCGCCTCGCGCTGCGTGCGGGATCGTCCGGCTCCCAACTCCGCCTGGCGGCGGAGAGGACCCCTCACCCCTCCGCGTCGCCTCCTCCCCGTCGCCTCCTCGCCGATCCCGTTCTCACAGATCTCTCCTCCTGTTCTTTGCCCTCCCCCATTGACTCCACAACGCTGCTTGCGTTTCTAAAATCCTGTGAAATTAGTAACAGGATGCCTTTAATCCCAGCATTTTGGGAGGCCAAGGCAGGCAGATCACGAGGTCAGGAGTTCAAGACCAGCCTGGCCAACATAGCGAAACCCCATCTCTACTAAAATAACAAAAATTAGCCAGGTGTGGTGGTACCTGCCTGTGGTCCCAGCTACTCAGGAGGCTGAGGCAGGAGAATTACTTGAACTCAGGGGATGAAGGTTGCAGTGAGCCGAGATCACACCACTGCACTCCTGCCTGGGCGACTGAGCAAGACTCAGTCTCAAAATAATAATAATAATAATAAATTTAAAAAATGAAATAAAATAAGTGGCTGGGCACGGTGGCTCATGCGTGTAACCTCAGCACTTTGGGAAGCTGAGGCGGGCAGATCACTTGAGGCCACCCTGGCCAAGATGGTGAAATCCCGTCTCTACTAAAAATACAAAAAATTAGCTGGGCATGGTGGCACACACCTGTGGTCCCAGCTACTTGGTCGGCTAAGGAATGAGAATCACTTCAATTCAGGAGGCAGAGGTTGCGGTGAGCCGAGATCGCACTACTGCACTTCAGCCTGGGTGACACAGCTAGACTGTCTCGAAAAATAAAATAAAATAAAACAAAACAAAACAATATAAAATAGAATAGAATAAGGAATCCATCTACTAAAGCTTAGAAATCTTGTTACAAAGAGACCTAAGTGGTTTAATGACAAACTGATTATTGTGCTATTAATTATAATAATAGCTCTTCCTCCAAGCTCTATTCTTTCTCAAGAGTGTCAATTTAGAAAAGATTTTAGAAAGAATTTAGTAGGTATGAGTTTATTCTGGCTTACTTCATGGGAGGAAATCTTTTTTTTTTTTTTTTTTTGAGACTGAGTCTGTCTTTGTCTCCCAGGCTGGAGTGCAGTGGTGCGATCTCGGCTCACTGCAAGCTCCGCCCCCTGGGTTCACGCCATTCTCCTGCCTCAGCCTCCTGAGTAGCTGGGACTACAGGCACCTGCCACCAAGCATGGCTAATTTTTTTGTATTTTTAGTAGAGACGGGGTTTCACCGTGTTAGCCAGGATGGTCTCGATCTCCTGACCTCGTGGTCCGCCCACCTACAGCCTCCCAAAGTGCTGGGATTACAGGCGTGAGCCACTGCGCCTGGCCGGGAGGAAATCTTTTAAATCTCAACATGTATAACCACATTTAAAATAAAAACCAATAATAATTAATACCTTGCATTTTTAAAGAGCTCTCACATGCTTATGTATGATTAGATGCTATTTGTGGACAAGTAGAGGATATTATTTTCCAAATTTCACAAATGAGGAAGTTTGTGGCAGAGCACTTTGAGAAGACATGACCTCCAGTTAAGCTGTGAACCTTAGTTTCTTTTTTTTTTTTTTTTTTTTTTTGAGACAGTGTCTCTCTATCTTGGCTCACTGCAAGCTCCACCTCCCGGGTTCACACCATTCTCCTGTCTCAGCCTCCCAAGTAGCTGGGACTACAGGTGCCCGCCACCACGCCCGGCTAATTTTTTGTATTTTTAGTAGAGACGGGGTTTCACCATGTTAGCCAGGATGGTCTCGATCTTCTGACCTCGTGATCCACCCGCCTTGGCCTCCCAAAGTGCTGGGATTACAGGTGTGAGCCAGCACGCCTGGCCCAAACCTTAGTTTCTTTAACACAGGCTGCTGAAATAAATGGTATATATATGAAGGTGTTTTTTAACTGTATGGATATATGATTTAGTGAAATGATAACAATACTAGATCTAGTGATAGCGACAGGAGACAGCCAAATGCCTAGGCAGTTAGTGGCGGGTCCCCATTGAAACCCCACCTCCAAGCCAAAAACAGTTTAAAGCTCGAAAGCCAAGCTACAAGTTAAGTCCTCAGACCAGATTGAGAACTTGTCTTCCTGTCTTGCATGTTTTCCTCTGATTGATCCCCACCCTTCACCTATTTTACATATACCTACCCTTTCCTGATTGGTTTTCTACACTGTTGTGCCCACCTTTGAGTGGTGCCTTTGCTTTAACCTTTCTTGCATAGCCACAAACCAATCTGCACATACTCCCCATCCTGTGCCTATAAGGACCCCTGACTTAGTCAGTAGAGTGGGAGACCGCCTGACTTTGAGGAAGACGACCTGCCCTTCCTGTCCCTTCTCCAGCTCCCCTCACTGCTGAGACTCGTTTTCATCACTAAAAAAAATTCTCTGCCCTCAACATCCTTCTTTGTTTTTTTCTTTGTTTTTTTTTTTGAGACAGAGTCTTGCTCTGTCACCCAGGCTGGAGTGCAATGGTGCAATCTCAGCTCACTGCAACCTATGCCTCCTGGGTTCAAGCAATTCTCCTGCCTCAGCCTCCTAAGTAGCTGGGATTATAGGCACCTGCCACCACGCCCAGCTAAGTTTTTGTATTTTTAGTAGAGATGGGGTTTCACCATGTTGGCCAGGCTGATCTCAAACTCCTGACCTCAGGTGATCCACCCACCTCAGGCTCTCAAAGTGTTGAGATTACTGGCGTGAGCCACCGCACCTGGCCCGCCATCCTTCAATCCTGCATGTGACCTCATTCTTCTTGGACACTGGACAAGAGCTTGGGACCCACCAAGTACAGGTACCCAGAAAGGCTGTCACACTGGTCCTTTGCCCCCACCAGTGGAAGGCAGCTGCCCCACGTGACAAGGCAAAGGGCCAACTGAGCTACTAACACACTGCTGTTTGTGGATGATGAAACTAAAGGAGCACTGTAACACCCGCTCTGAGGCTTCAGGGTCATGGGCACTTTCACCTGGGCACTGCAGTGTTCCTCTTGAGGCAACATGCCTGGTCTGGCCACAGGCCCCACACAGAGCTTGCTCCTGTGCCAGTGCCCAGAGTGGCTGGCTGGATCTTGAACTTGCTTGCTCATGTGCTCCCTCCTGCAAGTGGTTGATTGTGGTGGGCCTGGTAGACAAGGCGCCCCCTTCCATGAGTTTGTCAAAGGGGCCAAGAAAAATCCTGCATCATTAGGGGCCAGATCTCCTAGCTTCCAGCCTTGGAATCTTCTAGGAGAGAGAGATACTATGATTTATTAAGCATCTACTATACCAAGCCTTTTATATTTATTATTTCAACAACAATTTAAGTGTTGTAATGAAAAATTATCACTATTTTTTTTTGTTTTTGAGATAGAGTCTCACTCTGACACTCAGGCTGGAGTACAGTGGCATGATCATGGCTCACTGAAGCCTTGACCTCCTGGGCCTAAGCAATCCTCTTGCCTCAGCCTCCTGAGTAGCTGTTGTAGCTGATTTAAAAAAAAATTCCATGCCTTCCTATTAAGAAAAAAAAACTCCAACCAGGTTTGTCTAACGCCCGATTCCACACCCTTTCCTCTACCATATTTGTGTTCCATTATGGATCACAAAAGTCTTCTCATTTAAATTTAGGTTGTGTATTGTCATTATTAAAGTAGTGCTCCTCTTTGTTTTGCCTGTGGTTGCTAAAAGAAAAAAAGAGAGAGAGAAAGAAAATAATGAAAGTGTTGGCCAGTATGGTGGCTCATGCCTGTAATCCCAGTACTTTGGGAGGCAGAGGCGGGTGGATCACCTGAGGTCAGAAGTTTGAGACCAGCCTGAACAACATGGTGAAACCCTGTCTCTTCTAAAAATACAAAAATTAGCCTGGTGTGGTTGTGCACACCTGTAGTCCCAGCTACTCAGGAGGCTGATGCAGGAGAATCACTTGAACCTGGGAGGTGGAGGTTGCAGTGAGCTGAGATTGTGCCACTGCACTCCAGCCTGGGCACTAGAGCGAGACTCTGTCTCAAAAAAAAAAAAAACAAAAAAAAACTGCCATTCCTCATGGGTCTTACAGATGCAACTCCCTGCTGGGAACTCAAGCCCTTTTTTTTGCCAGGAAAGGTAAAATCATCTGGGGGTAGAACCAAAAAATGTACAGGTTAATAGAATTATGAAATTTAAGATGTTTAAACAGGGTTTATGTAACGTAGTTGTAATCTCTTTGCCTAAATGTCTTATGAAAATGGGTATTGTATCTAGCTGGAGGATGCTTCCCCTATCTAGTACTATAAAACCAAAGACATGTAAAGCTGCTCTTTTGAAAAGTGTTAGTTGGACATGTTAATGGGAAATAGTAAAATCACCTGAGCCCACAAAGTATCAGGTAGAAGCTAGAGTACTAGTTGGGACAAATCATCCCCTTCATAGCCCTTTGTGGAGTGTTTATTGGGGATAATGGCAAAAAACAAAACAAAACAAAAAACTCTTATAAGTACTTCCCAATGACAACTACCGGACTAGAGAATTTCCACTTGAGGTGCATTTACTGCCTTGCTATGAAATGTTAACTGAAGCTACCCCTATGCTAACTGAAATAATGATGCCCCAAAGAGTTCCATGATAAAATAAAATCTTGCCACCTGGGGATACAAGGAGGAGATACTCATAAGCAGGGAGCCGCTTTCTCCCTAGGACTGATTCTAACTATGTATGTGAGGAGCTGCTAAATTCTGCAGTGCCTGATAGACAGCTTTCATGAGCTGTTTGGCTTACGAAGGGCATTTCCAAGGTAAACAAACATCTTGTTTGAAACTCCTGACCTCAAGTGATCTGACCGCCTTGTCCTCCTAAAGTGCTGGGATTACAGGCCTGAGCCACCACACCTGGCCAGGAACAGCAAATTTGATAAGGCTTCTCAAACAGTCCTATGATTTTGCAAGAGGGAAACTTATGTAAAAGGGGACCTCTTAACCCCCAAATTTCCCATGACCTGGGTAATAGGCATCTTCAGTGGGAGGATATCCCAGTTATCATAAAGCCAGTCATTGCTCTCATATGAAGCATATTATTCAATAACTGCTTCATCTGGGGTGCTTCACTTGGTATTTTATAGGGAGAGCTGGGTAGTCCGCTTCACAGGGCAAACAGACCTTACAGTGGCATTTATCTGGTCTGCTAGCTGATCATTCTTTCAGGAATAACCTCCTGTGCATTTAGATTACATATACTTATCAGTGATTGTTCAATAGTGAGCTGTGGGCTCTGCATTAACCCAAACAAGTTCTTCAATTCTGTAGCATTTAAAATTAAGGATTTTGTCCATAAATTGTTTATTTTTACAATCCACTATAGTAAAGATTTTTTAAGAAGCTGATGATACCAATCTACAAAATGGAACCATTCCTTTACATTATACCCTCTGGGTTTGTTTTGTTTTTTGTTTTGAGATGGAGTCTTGCTCTGTCACCCAGGCTGGAGTGCAGTGGCATGATCTTGGCTCACTGCAACCTCCACCTCCCAGGTTCAAGCGATTCTCCTGCCTCAGCCTCCCAAGTAGCTGGGTCTACAGGCGCCCACCACCACACCCAGCTAATTTTTGTATTTTTAGTAGAGACGAGGTTTCACCATAATGGCCAGGCTAGTCTTGAATTCCTGACCTCGTGATCCGCCCACCTCGGCCTCCCAAAGTGCTGGGATTACAGATGTGAGCCACTGTGCCCAGCCTATCCTCTGGTTTTGATAGTTACTTGGTTTTGCCTTTCACCCACATCAACTATCTTCTTGGAAGCCACAGGTCTCTGAGATAAACTTATTTCCCTGTCTTAATTTGTGTTTTTTTTTTTTTTTTTTGAGACGGAGTCTCGCTCTTTCGCGCAGGCTGGAGTGCAGTGGCGCAATCTCGGCTCACTGCAACCTCTGCCCCCCAGGTTCAAGCGATTCTCCTGCCTCAGCCTCCCAAGTAGCTGGGACTACAGGCATGTGCCACCAGGCCCGGCTAATTTTTTGTATTTTTAGTAGAGACGGGGTTTCACCGTGTTAGCCAGGATGATCTCGATCTTCTGACCTTGTGATCCGCTCGCCTCAGCCTCCCAAAGTGCTGGGATTACAGGCGTGAGCCACCGCGTCCGGACCTTAATTGTTTTTTTAACCATTACTTTTACTTGTATACTTTTTCCTTCAGCTTAAAGTGACTTTTCAATTGTTTCTTAACTAGAAAGAAACACACTTTTTGTTTTTTGCAAAATCCTTATCTTTGTGTTTTATAAACTTCGCCAAAAACATTTTTTATGCTCCATTTTAATTTAGTAACCCAAATTTCCTATGGAAAAAAAAATCGAGGTTTTAACATAATATGACTTAAACCTTTTAAATTACTGGAGACAGTTTTGAGGTTAAATTTAACAAATTAATTTTACCAAAGATTACCAAGATCATGTGAATTAAAAGTGTCTGAGCTAATTTTTACTAATCTGATAAGCATTTCTTTTCTTTTAAGTCAATTGATTAGCTCTTTTATGTAGTTTGGTAGTGATAAAAGAAAAACTTTAGCAGAAATAAATTTAAAGGAGTTTAACTGAGCAAGGAATGATTTGTGAATCGGGCAGCCTCCTGAGCCAGAGTAGGCTCTGAGACTTCAGTGCAGCCACATGGTGGAAGAAGATTTATGGACAGAAAAAGGAAAGTGACATACAAAAAACGAAAGTGAGGTACAGACAGCTGGATTGGTTACAGGTTGGAGTTTGCCTTATTTGAACACAGTTCAAACAATTGGCTACATTTCATTGGCCAAAACCTTGTGATTGGCACAACTGTAGGCTACGGTCTGTTTACACCTCCACTTGTTACAGTTCACGATGTACAGATAAACCTTTAGGTTCAACTTAAAATATATAAGGAGGCAGCTTTAGGCTAAACTTTTTTTTCTTCTTGTCATACTTTAGTAGGCATAGGCTAATCTTGATTTAAAAATTCCCCACTTTTGGTCATCTTCTCAATTTTGAGAGATTGACCAAAACTTCAGTCATTGATGTCACTAATACCATCATAAATGTACTTATTTGGTCTTGAAACCCACTGGGAAATAGTAGAACAGCAGGTTTTGTAAAGTAGGAACAAAGACTGAGTAGAGGGTACCTCCTTAACAAAGACTGAGTAGAGGGTACCTCCTTATGCCTGAACATCCTGTTTATAGGAGAAAAATAAAACCTGGTCTGGTCTAGAACCTATGTGTTTTCTTAAAGTCTTAGTTTGATTATGTCACATTTAGCATGAGTAACTCCATTTTGGTTTGGTCTGGTCCACTGGGGCCTAGTTCATGAGCTCAGTCCAAAACAATGGCCTCCCATAATGTTGTTTTAAAATTCCCCCCTTTCAGTCAGGTTCTTACTTAGGTGAGGGTGTGACCAAAACTTAGGGCCTCAGCACCACTCTCAGTTACCATCATTTTGGGTTTCCGGTCTCAGCACATCACTTATAGGTTACAGTGTCCTTATGGTCAGACATTTCTTTCAGCTCTTGAAACTGTAGTTGAAGAGAGACCATTTGACATTCTAGAGATGGCTGCATGCAAACACTTAAAATCTTTGAGAGAATACAGCACACCAGAGAGACTACTATTATGACTATCAGGAGGCTAACACCAAGAGTATGGAGTATGCTCCTTACCAATGGTCTCCATAAACCAAACCACGTAAAACTAAATAGATCAAAGAATGAGTTAGATAAAGAGTCTACTCACGTAACTAAGCAGTCTCTTAATTAATCCCCTGCAACTGAATCTCTATAATGTACATTTGAGGTATTTCTCCATAGACCACAAGTGCCAGCAGGTGCACAGATACTTCTGTTTAGCCAGTAAGTAATCTAGAGCAATACTATTATTTAGCATAACTTTCACAAGAGAATTTAAAGTCTGTTGCATAACCATGGCCTTTACAGCAGAATCTGCTATAGAGCCTATCATGAGGGATACATTTCTAATCATTGCCTCTTTTACTCCAAACCGTCGAAAAAAGGACCTAACAAATGATGTCCTTCTAGAAGAGTGAAGGCCTCCTGGCAATATTCTCTTTAACCCATGATGTGGGTTAAGAGTAGTGAACCAATGTTCTGTTTCTGGCTGACTGTGAGGCAATGTATGTATCGTTAAAGTTTCTCAACCTACGTTGGGCTTTCATCTTTCATCTATCAAAATGTAAGGTTATCTGTGTATAAAGCTGGCTACAAAATCCCTGACAAATAAAAGTATACCCCATAAGTGCACAGAACAGACCCCCTTTTCACCTCTATTGTCTATAGAGGCATAAGCAAAGGGAAAAATATTCAAAGATAAATATTCTACTATCTCATGATAGTAGAGAAGTCTTGATTCATGATCTTGGGAAAAGCTGTCCACATCAAGGATGCCATTTTCTTAGGAGAAACTTCCCAGGTTAGCTTTTCCTTAAGGGTTCCAATGGGTGTACAGTTCCAAGAGTGTAGAGGGACCCTTCTTGGTTGTGAGATTGTGAACCCAAAGTTCAAGGTCCCAAAGTTTTGCTACAGTGTAGATGGCAAGGGCAGTGTTTTTCTGATGTTCTCAGAAGATCCAGTCTTCAGGTTCTAGATTATGAAGGGGTTGATTGTACTCAGTCAGTGAACCATAAAACGCTTTCTTTACCTTGTCAAAATACACTATGGCATAATAATCTACTATCATAACATTAGCTCTCTTGCATAGGAAAGCTTTTATACAACTAGAAAACGTGAATTGAAAATGACAATTGGCCAGGTGTGATGGCTCACACCTGTAATCCCAGCAATTTGGGAGGCCAAGGTGGGTGGATCACTTGATGTCAGGAGTTCGAGGCCAGCCTGGCCAACATGGTGATGGTGAAGATGGTGAAACCCCTCTCTACCAAAAATACAAAAATTAGCTGGGCGTGATGGCAGGCACCTGTAATCCCAGCTACTTAGGAGGTTCGGGCAGGAGAATTGCTTGAATCCAGGAGGCAGAGGTTGCAGTGAGCTGAGATCATGCCACTGCAATCCAGCCTGGATGACAGAGTAAGACTGTCTCAAGGTAAAAAAAAGATAATTGGATGAAATCCCTCTATAAATGTTTAAGTGGCCCGTCAGGTAGCAAAATTTACCTATAGCTTTGATCGTCTTTCCAGGAATATGGCTTTGACAAATGAAACATTAGTCATAAACTATTTTAGCAATTTAGAAGTCACCACACCAATATATGTTTAATTTGGATCATTTTATCTTTTCCGTGATGAGTCATGGAATGCAGAACTTTTAATAACAAGAGCTTTAAGGACTCAGGAAAGACAAGGCAGCCATCCCAGTTTTCCATGAGTCCATGCTTAACATTGAACATATGCCTTCTTGAATACCAGTTGTTTCTCCAATTTAGGAGCATAGCACTAATAACTGATGGGTTATCATAAGTAATTTGACTTAGACCATGGAGTTCATTGTGTATCTACACAATTTTAGTATTGGCTGATTTAGCATGAAAATCTGGCAAAGTATTTTCTTGGTATTCAATTAATTTTTGTTCTACTTTGGTTAGCAGTTTTATAAACCAGTCAGTCCTTTCATTACAGTTCCAGGAATTCTCACCCAGTCTAAATGATATGATTATGAAGTTGTCAGAAACCTGTATTCAAAAGTGCTTTTCAGGGTCTTTTCCATCCTTTCCTGAACTTCCTAAAATACATCATATTATAGGCTTTTGTGTACTTGTGAAGTTTTCAGAAGCTGCATCTGAATTAAGTAATTAACTGTGGAAATTACTTTACTTTTATATATTTATTTTTGAGACACAGTCTTACTGTATTCTCCAGGCTGGAGTGCAGTGGTATGATCTTGGCTCACTGCAACCTCCACCTCCTGGGTTCAAGCAATTCTCCTACCTCAGTCTCCTGAGTAGCTGGGATTACAGGCACCTGCCACCATACCCAGCTAACTTTTGTATTTTGGTAGAGACAGGGTTTCACCATGTTGGCCAGGCTGGTCTCAAACTCCTGGCCTCAGGTGATCTGCCTGCCTCGGTCTCTCAAAATGCTGGGATTACAGGCATTAGCCTCTGTGCCTGGACTGGAAATTACTTTAAATAGTCATAGTAAAAGACAAATCAACAAGGAAATTTGGTTATTTCTGTAGTCTAGAATAGCTTAACATAATAACTATAATTATGATTGATAACATATACTCAGACATATTAGAATTTTAGAAATCCCATACAATTTTGGAACAAATATTAATAACATTCACTAAAATATAACCTGAAGGAGGCTAAGCTTTTTTAGATGGAGTCTCGCTCTGTTGCCCAGGCTGGAGTGCAATGGCGTGATCTCAGCTCACTGCAACCTCCACCTCCTGGATTCATGTGATTAACCTGCCTCAGCCTCCTGAGTAGCTGGCATTACAGGCACACACCATCACGCCCAGCCAATTTTTGGATTTTTAGTAGGGACGGGTTTTCACCATGTTGGTCAGGCTGGTCTTGAACTCTTGACCTCGTGATCCACCTGCCTCGGCCTTCCAAAGTGCTGGGACTACAGGCATGAGCCACTGTGCCCAGCCCATTATTATTCTTTTTAACGATGCTTCCCAGCCAGGCATGGTGACTCACACCTGTAATCCCAGCACTTTGGGAGGCCGAGATGGATGGATCACCTGAGGTCAGGAGTTCGAGACCAGCCTGACCAACGTGGAGAAACCCCGCCTGTACTAAAAATACAAAATTGCCCGGGGGTGGTGGCGAATGCCTGTAATCCCAGCTACCTGGGAGACTGAGGCAAGAGAATCGCTTGAACCCGGGAGCTGGAGGTTGTGGTGAGCCAAGATCATGCCACTGCATTCCAGCCTGGGCAACAAGAGCGAAACTCCATCTCAAAACAAAAAAAAATGCTTCCCATATAACTTAGCATGTCAAAAAATCCTGTTTACCTCTCTTTTGGATGCTTCAGGGGCCCTCTGTAGTATCCCAGAATTAGAGGTCAGGAAAGACAATTTTGAAGATGAACTTTGATTTCAGGAGGCCTGCCAAATATGTTAAAGGTTTAAAACACTTGATATTATAAAGTAGGATTCCAGGGCACGGTAAGTCATTCATTTAGTCAAAATGATGACTCAAAAATTTAAAAAAAGCGAAAACCTTTACCAATTGATAGAGGGAAGACTTAGCTTTCCAAACAATCTGTCTCTTGTCTTTCCCTTGTTTTTCCTGTAGTTTATTCAAAAGGCAAACAAAAATCTTTCATTATCCTTTAATATTACATGAAAATCTTGTTCAAGAGAGAAAGCCAAATTTCATCCTTGTGTTAGTGTACTATTAATGTCAACTCAATTTTTTAATAAAACATTATAGAAAAATCTATTCAGTCTTTTTTTTTTTTCTGAGACAGAGTCTCGCTCTGTTGCCCAGGCTGGAGTGCAGTGGCACGATGTCGGCTCACTGCAACCTCCGCCTCCCAGGTTCACGCCATTCTCCTGCCTCAGCCTCCTGAGTAGCTGGGACTACAGGCGCCCACCACCACGCCTGGCTAATTTTTTCTTTTTGTATTTTTAGTAGAGACGGGGTTTCACTATGTTAGCCAGGATGGTCTCGATCTCCTGAACTTGTGATCCGCCTGCCTCGGCCTCCCAAAGTGCTGGGATTACAGGTATGAGCCACCGCGCCCGGCCAAACGTTAGCAAAGAATGGACAGCTATTCAGTCTTAATCAATTTGACCATAAGGTAAGATTCTCATAAACCTTTTACGAATTATTGTTAAAGAGCAGATCAATGCTCTCAGAAAACCCTATTGTGCTTTCATTCCAATGTTCAATTTAAATTTAGCCAATATGTTCACACACAGAATTTCTTTTACAAGATTAATTTTTCACAAACCTTCCACAACTTGCTCAAACCTTTAGCTTTATCCTACATAATTTAAAACAATCCTTTAACCCTCTAAACTAGGCAAAAATTTACATTCCCATGCCTTCTTGTAATCTTTCACTAAAAGCACATTTCAGTTTTCCTCACACACCTTCCAAGTAAAACTGCCTTTTTTTCATAAGTCTCAATTACATGTTACAGTGCTAACTCTTAGCAATTTTTCTTTTTTTTTTTTTTTTTTTTTTGGTGAAAAACCTGGTAAGTAAGCGATTATAATTATGTACTAGGTGTGGAGCCCAGGACACCAGACAGAAGTCCACATAACATCTGACTCTTTCCAGCATAATCAGGGGGAATGGCTAACTCCATATGTCCCCAGGCCTCACCTAGAATCTAATGGCTCCAAAGCAGGTAAGTTGAACAATTTTCAAAAGTTAAAGAAGCAGTTTATTACCTTAAAGAATTTAGCAAATCTAATATCTAACCTGCCTAATTTAGACCAAATGTCTTTATTTGACCAATAATCTTTAAAATTTTTTATTTCCCAAAGCTTACTAAAGTCACATGAACTAAAAGGCATTAGTTTTCTAATTCTCTGACAAAAAAAAAAAATTATTTAAGCATTTGCTATTTCTAAGCTAATTAACAAGAGCTCCTTCAAACATAAACGTTACACACATAACACATATAACTACACAGAAGAAGATCCAGTAGTTGTAAGGGTTTTCATTTGCCAGTTTTTAAGTTTCTTAATTAGATTACTGGCTTCAGGATGCAGTTCTCTGAGGAACAGGGCTAGGAAAACATGTAGTTTCTTGGGCCTAATAAACAGCATCTGGAAAGCAAAACAGATCCCAAAAAATTCAGGGTCCCATTTTCATACTGTTACATTAGGTAGCTAGCCAGGCATGAGCAGGGCAGGAAAGGGCTCACCTCCACCCAACCAGGAATGTCAGGCGATGATCAGGTGATGGTTTGGCAGTTGCCACACTGCCTCTCTAAAAATTATAATTGGTCATAGAGGCCAGGGAGAGACAATTTCCCAACGGATAAAAATGCTAGATATTGGTAATCAGCAGCTTCCAATAAAATACCAGGAATTGGGGGAGTGAGCTTTGGCGTCTGCATTATCAGATAAAATGGTGAAGTATGACCTTCCAGGGGCATTTCACCAGAAAAGGGAAGAAATCTTCAGGTGGGCAGGTGTACAACAACTTCTTTTATTTTTATTTGTTTTAAGATGGAGCCTTGCTCTGTGGCCCAGGCTGGAGTGCATTGGCAGGATCTCGGCTCACTGCAACCTCCGCCTCCCGGATTCAAGCGATTCTTCTGCCTTAGCTGGGACTACAGGCACATGCCACCACCCCCGGCTAATTTTTTTATTTTTAGTAGAGACAGGGTTTCACCATGTTGGCCAGGATGGTCTCAATCTCTTGACCTCATGATCCACCCGCCTCGGCCTCCCAAAGTGTTAAGATTACAGGTGTGAGCCACTGCGCCCAGCCAGGTATACAACTTCTTAAACACACCGCACAAGCTTACCTCCCAAGTTTAAGGAGAGCACTGTGCATGTGGGCAGCTCACCCTAAGGAAAGAGAATGAAGGGAATGTGGTGTAAGGCTAGAAGTGTGCCAGTGATATAGCAGTTAAGAAGAAATCACTTAGGCAGATAGGAAGGGTATGGGAGTCCTCAGTAAGGCTTTTCTTTTTGATGAAGAGCAGCCGCAAATCATTTTCTAACAAAGAGCAGGCTGCAAGATGGAAGCTTGCATGGGTGAATGCAGGCAGGAACTGAGGACTAGACATGTTCAAGGCGGAGGCTCCATCGTCCCTTCTCTTCCAGCCACATGTACTGTAAAGGAGCAGACAAGATGGCACTAATCAACTAGAAAGCCCATTTGCATAAAAACATTAGGGTGGGACGACAGCCTTCCCCATGCACTGTGTAAACGTCATACCTGATCAAACCAATCTATGAGCCCTGGGTAAATCAGAATTGCCTCCTCAAACTGGACTATAGAACTCGACACATTGACTGCTAGCTAGTCTTTTCCACTCAAGGCCCCTTCTTCTATACAGGAAGCTGTTTCTCTTTCTCTTCTACCTCTGTTCCTAAACTCCTTGTGTGTGTCCATGTCCTAAATTTCCCTGGCAGGCGACAATGAACCCCAGGTTATATTACCCAGACAATGTAGCTGCTTCATAATGGGGACCTTGCCTGGGATACCAAGGTATAGCATTCATCAGAAGAGTGAGTAGAGGAGTGGACTCCAACTCTGTCCTTTCATTTTGAGGCTCTCAGCCTCCATTTTAGAACTAAATCAAACCAAATACTGGGCCCCCTTTAGCCATTTAAAAATGATTAGTGTGGCTGCCAGCCTTAGAAGACTTGGGGGACAGGCTTGCTGTGGAGAACATGGAGAAGCCCCAGTATCCATAGGATGCTGGGCATATTGCCCGCCCCCCGCCACCTTTTTTTTTTTTTTTTTGAGACAGTCTTGCTCTGTCACCTAGGCTGGAGTGCAGTGGTGCGATCTCGGTTCACTGCAACCTCCGCCTCCCAGGTTCAAGTGATTCTTCCTGCCTTAGTCTCCCAAGTAGCTAGGATTACAGGCGTGTGCCACCATGCCCAGCTAATTTTTGTGTTTTTATTGGAGACGGGGTTTCACCATGTTGGCCAGGCTGGTCTCAAACCCCTGACTTCAG
This sequence comes from Homo sapiens, assembly GCF_000001405.40. NCBI lineage: Eukaryota > Metazoa > Chordata > Mammalia > Primates > Hominidae > Homo > Homo sapiens. The sequence goes on along the minus strand of NC_000011.10, from coordinate 125,554,797 downwards.
GTGGTCCACCTGCCTCAGCCTCCCCAAGTGCTGGGATTACAGGCATGAGCCACTGTGCCTGGCCTGTATTGGCCATGTTTAAACCAGTTTCCTTTCGTGGAGGACTTAGCCATCACATGGGGCTGGAAGAAGTCCTGGAGCAACTGAGGATTTCTGGCTGGAGCTACCCCTCAGTGTTATCTAAAGGCTTCTGGACGGACCCCAGTCTCTGACCACCCCAATGGGGTGTCAGTAACAAGATCTCCAACTTTCCTATCATAATTTCCTCTTTTCCTGTCCACAACGGTCATATAGCTTATCCTCTCTGTGTATGCAATGTGTGGGAAGTTTTACAGTTCAGGGAAGTAATCTTGTTTGGCAGGATCAGGGAATGTCATAGTAACTGGGGATACAGCTCAAGGGAAGGTGTCTTTGTAATTTTCTAGGAACAGAGGTTCCCCCACAACAGTGAGCATCACTCTCTGCCCTCGGTCTAGAGAGCACAGGGTATTCCCAAGTCTCTCTCTGCCCTTTGTCTGGTGAGCACATAACACTTCCAGGTCACTCTCTGCCCTTGGTCTGGAGAGCACATGGCATGTCAAGCTCACTCTGCCCCTAGTCTAGAGAGCGCAAGGTGTTTCAAGGTCAACAGTGCTCCCTAGTGGAATAGAGATCCTCTCAATGAGGCATATTGTTGGTCCTTCACGGAAACACCCTAGCTTCCCAGTTCTCTCCCCTTTGTGCACCCCTCTACCAGAAACCAGGCTTTATGCTGCTTCTGTAAACAGGAAAATTCTGCCTCCAACAACTAGGAGTAAAATATACTCTGAAGCCAAATTTTAGTCTCGATACTGTCCCTTCAGCAGGAAAATGGCCATTTAGTCCCTATGTTCTTTTACAGCACCTATTCTGCCTCCAATTAGAATGGTACTTAATTAGTGAGGGGATTTTAAGTTTGGAAGTTAACCAGAACCATTCTTTAAGGGTAAATGCTTTAGCATGGGCCATAATAGCAGGATATAGTGTTCAATCTCACACGCCCCTTCCATTAAAGGGGCTTTGTCCAACTATTACGTAGTTTTTCTTGAGATCCATTTTTAGGGGAGCCAGGCCCATCACATAAGTCTAGGAAGTCAAAGGGAAATCACAGGGAGAGGACTAGAGCCACTTGGGTGAGTGTGACTAGCCCTAGTTGCTTAGTTCCTCTTCTTCCATGGCTGGGGGGGGTCATACCTGCAACCATGGATGGCATGTGCCAGGACCCAGAAATCATGGATGGAAAACAGCAGGAGGGGACATCCCCACTGTCTTCCTCTCCACCCTGGGTCACACCAAAAGAAAGGAGACTAAAGGGATGCCCTTTTCTCACTTCTTTTTCTAGATGGGTACCATCTTCAACCTGCACTCCCCTGGAGTGCATTCTGAAGCACTGGGACCCCTTTCACCCTGAGACTTTAAAGAAAAAGTGGCTCATTTTGTTTTGCACAAGGACATGGCCTTTTTACTAGACCTTTTGCAAGCATTCTAAAATCAACACAGCTCTTTTAGCAATCTTATCTGGCAGGCCCAAAGAGAATAATTCCCCAAAAGTAAAAAAGCAACTTCTGGGGGAACCATCTGAGGAAGCTATCGGGTGTCTCAGCCCTTCCACTCCCCCTTATCTGGAGCCACCACCAACCACACCACCAGCTCTTCCATCTCTACCATCTCCAAAATTTCCCACTCCCCCGGCTTCAGTCTTCCCCCTACAGGAAATGCCCAATGGAGCTGATGCTACTAGGTTTCAAGTTCCCTTCTCATTACAGGATCTTAAGCAAATAAAGGGAGACTTAGGCTGATTTTCTGATGACTCTGATAGGTATATAGAAGACTTCCAAAATAGGTATTTGTCCTCTCATAGCGGGATGTTGTGCTGCTCCTAAGCCAAACCCTAACCGCAGCTGAGAAGCAGGCAGCTATGTAGGCAGCAGAGAAATTTGGGAGATGAGCAATATGTCTCCTATAGTAGGTCTAAAAGGAAAAGGGACAATAGAAAAGGTGAAGAAATAGGGGAAACACCATCCCTAATAGGAAGAGAGGCAGCACCTCTTGACAACCCTATTTGGATCCCCTAGACTTTTCTATGGTATCTTTCCTTTCACAGTTTAAAATAGTTCTTTTACAATGTTCTTCCAACCTGGGAAAAGCTGACTTCCCCAAACCTTAAAATGCTCCACTTAGGGTTGAGCTAGGAGGAAGGGAACCCAGAAGCCTGACATGCTGGCAAAAGGGTAAAAGTTTTTTTTTTTTTTAACCAGTCAAGCTTTTGTCTTCTCTCTCCCTATGCAAACTGGCAAAAAGCATAATAAGAATCATTGTTTATATTCTCTGTAAAGTTTTAATTAATGAAAAAGGATTTGTGAGGTTGGTCTTAAGCTGTAGTCAATCTGGTGTACTTTGTGAGTCTTTCTGTATGGTTCTGTCAAAAGAAAAAGGGTACCTTAGGTTAGGATGCAGGCCCAGGACCCCATAAGCCTGCTGTTCAAGCCAGCACAACAAAATGGTCAGTAACAAACTAGGCTACAAGTCTCCATCTTGTTTCATGTCCTTGGGCACATGACCTGTAACCACATGGCAATACTTTGTTTTAGTCTCTGCCATTTTACAATGGTGGCTGTATTCTTGTACCAAGTCAATTCCTGGGTGAGGGCCACAAAATCAGATAAGCCAGTTTGTCAATCTGAGTGGTGGCAGCTGATCCATCAAGGGCAGGGTTTACAAAATATCTTAAGCACCAATCTTGAGAGCAGTTTGGGGAGGGTCAAAATCGTGTAGCCTCCAGCTGTGTGACTCCTAGGCCATGGTTTCTAATCTTGTGGCAAGGTTCTTGGTCCAGTCCCCAGGCAAGAGGGAAGTATATCTTAAGAAAGGGCTGTTATCATCTTTGGTTCAGACTATAAACTGTAAACCAGCCTCCTCCCAAAGTTGGTTTGGCCTATGCCTGGGATGGACAAGGACAACTTGGGGGCTGGATGCAAAATGGAGCTGTTTGGATCAGATCTCTTTCACTTTCTCAGTCACAATTTTGCAATGACAATTTCAAAAGCTCCTTATCACCCTTTTGAAAATACCTTTTATACTCATGGTTAAGTCATAACCTAATTAAGGCTCATTGGTTTCACCTGTGAGGTTACATTTTGTGACGTTCAAAAATTGAAAATCTTAACTGCTTGGCATGGTTAAAGTTGAGTAACAAGGGATTTAAAACGATTTTCTTAAAGAGTGCCCAGGTTAATTAAAAGTGGATATTCAATTTATAGGTAGATTTGAAAGGCCTTTATGTTTTTCTCTTCTTGGATCTTGTTTTTTTTTTGGAAAATGGTTTTTTTTTTTTTTCTTTTCAGTCAACCGAATTATTTTTCTCTATTTTTTTTTTTGTCTTCCCACTCTTAATGCATGCATGAGAGGTCCTAAGATAACTTCTGGTAGCATGGGACTCCTAGGGAAAAACAGAGGAGGCACCACAGACCCCATTTTGGGAAAAAAACCTCTGTTTTCCTCATGAAACCCCAGGAATTAAAAGCACATAGTTCTCTCTTAAAATCAAAGGTTCTGTTGTGTTTTGCATTGTGTTATCTGACAATTTTGAGTTTTGGGGGTATTAAATTACTTCACATTAGGAGAGAGTTTTGGTGTGTAATAACTAGGTAGGAAATACAGTTTAAGGGATGGCTAATAATAGTTATAAATCAGAGAAGCATGCTCTTGGCCACCTGAAAGATATGGAAACATCCCCACCCACAACTAAGAGATGAGACTCCCATGGGGGATGGGCTGATTACAAAATAAGCCAATTGGCTTTGTGTTGCCTTGCAATGAAATACACAGTAGAAGCACTGCATTGTCTTCTCTCATAGTATTTCCCTCCTTTTGGGGATCCAAAGTCCAGTATAAAATGGATCCTTTAATTTTAGAGATCTGTCTTTGCCATCAGCTGTGCCTGCTTATTAGACCCTAAAAATGCATGTCGCCTTGCCCTGTTCCTCCAAGGGCTCCACCCTGAAGCCAGTAATCTAATCAGGAAACTGGCAAATGACAAATCTTGCAAGTGCTAAATCTTCTTCTGTCTGTGCATATATATGTTGTGTGTAATATCTGTAAAAAAGAGCTGGCTCTAAAAGAAAATAAGCACTTAAATCAAATATATTTTTAGTTCACATGACTTTAATCTTTAAGAAATAAAAATAGGCTGGGCGCGGTGGCTCAAGCCTGTAATCCCAGCACTTTGGGAGGCTGACGTGGATGGATCACCTGAGGTCAGGAGTTCAAGACCAGCCTGGCCAACATGGCAAAACCCCATCTCTACTAAAAATAAAAACATTAGTTGGGCATGGTGGTGGGCACCTGTAACCTCAGCTACTCGGGAGGCTGAGGCAGGAAAATCACTTGAACCAATGAGGTGGAGGTTGCAGTGAGCTGAGATGGTGCCACTGTACTCCAGTCTGGGTGACAGAGCAAGACTCTGTCTCAAAAAAAAAAAAAAAAAAAAGAAATAAAAATAGTCTTAGGGATTATTGATAAAACGCAGGTGTCATCAAAAAGCAAATAGGTGGTCTAAATCATACAAGGTCAGATGCTAGGTTTGCTAAACGTTCCAAGGTTGTATACTGCCTGCTTTACAGATAGGCAAGGCCTGGAATACATGGAGTTAGACTCTGGAAAGAGTCCGACCTTATCTGCACTTCTGTCTGGATCCTAGGCTCCACACCTGGTGCATGATTGAAATTGCTTACTAACTAAGTTTTCACCAAAAGTAAAAGTTGCTAAGAGTTAACAGTGCAACATGTATTTAAGGTCACTAAACAGTTTTATATGCAAGGCATATAAAAACAGTAAAATATGTCTTTTAGTAAAAGATTATAAGAAAGCATGGAAATGTAAATTTTCCCAGGGATGAGGGATTATCTTAAATTTTATATGATACAGCTAAAGGTTTAAGTAAGTTGTGAAAAGATGGTAAATATTAATCTTGCAAAAAATGTACAAACATTAACTACATTCAAAAAGGTATTATGTGGTCTTTTTATAAATTGAGCATTTAAATAAAAGCACAGCAAGTTTGTCTTAAGACACTAATCTGCCCTTTAGAAAAAGGGGTTATAAAGGATTTGTAAAGATTTCACCTTATGGTCAAATTGGTTAAGATTAGATGGAATCCTTTATAAGGTTTCATTTAAATAAATTTGGATTAACATTAATAAAGTAATGCAAGGGTAAAATTTGGCCTTGAACAGGATTTTTGTGCAATAGTAAAGGCTAATGAACGGTTTTTGCCTTTTGAGTCATCATTTTGCTAAAATAATTTATGGAAATCTGGAATTCTATTTTATAACGTCAAGTGTTTTAAACCTTTAACATTTAACAGGCACCCCAAAATCAAACTTCAAGTTTCAAAATTGTCTTTCTTGATGTCTGACTTTCTGGATGGTTCAGAGGGTCCCTGAAACATCCAGAGAAGTGGTAAACAGGATTATGTGGTATGTTTAGTCACATGAGATTGCCAAAATGATGTCTAATCTTCTTTAGGTTGTATTTTGGTGAATAATAATAATATATGTTCCAAAATTGTATGGAATTTCTAAAATTCTAATGTCTAAGTGTATGCTATCAATCATAATTAAGGGTAAAGTTTTTATAAACCATGGAGATAACTAAACTTCTTTGTCAGTCATGTATTTAACTGCAACTACCCTGGAAATTTTGTCATTCACAGACAATTGTTGCCTTGCTTTGTTCTTTCTCAAAAGATGGGTTATAATCAAGCTATAAGACTTTATTATTATGTTTTTTTATTTTCTTTTGAGACAGAGTTTCTCTCTTGTTGCCCAGGCTGGAGTGCAATGGCACAATCTCAGCTCACTGCAGCCTCCGCCTCCCGAGTTCAAGTGATTCTCCTGCCTCAGCCTCCCAGGTAGCTGGGATTACTGGCATGCGCCACCACGCCCAGCTAATTTTGTACTTTTAGTAGAGACAGGGTTTCTCCGTATTAGTCAGGCTGGTCTTGAACTCCCGATCTCAGGTGATCCACCTGCCTCAGCCTCCCAAAATGCTGGGATTACAGGTGTGAGCCACCACATCCAGCCCAAGCTATAAGACTTTAACAGTGTTCTCAAATGCAGTTTTCTAATAGCTTTGAAAATTGTAACATTGGAATCGAGAAAAAATGCACAGGACTCGTAAAGAACTGACATGTTCACCAATGTTAAGCAAAATGAATTAACTAAATGGACTGCACTCAGAAAGTTAAAGCAACCTTTTTGACTTTTGCTTAGAATATTTCTGATCCTTGTTTTGTTTTTCAGCATCAAGGAAACTGATTTTGAACTATTTATGGTCTTTAATAATTGAGTAAGTTATACTTCTGTGAACAAAATTTGGAGCATGTTTGTTTCTCTCTGCCTGGTTCCTCTAGAATTTGGAAACTATCTGTGTGTTTGGCAGTTATATTGCCAAACAACTTATGGTGATATAGTTGTTTGCATCGGTGCAATAAGAATCCATTTTTATTTTTTGACAGGACACAATTGGAAAAATTGGTTATTTTATCAAGGCTTTGACTGGAAGGGTATGCTTCCCTTTAAGGAGTCAACCTGTACCTGCAGAGCTGATAAAAGCCCCATGGGGAGAACTGGCCTCATACCTTGTTTACACAGTCCTAAATTTCCCTAGTGTGTGACAACAAACCCCAGGGTACATTGTCAGGGTATGTACCCCAGACAATGTAGCTGCTTCACCAGTATATAAAGTCCTAGGATCAAGGTTAAAGGGAATACTTGACCTCCAAAGTGCCCACTTTGGTCTCTTCCAAGTGTACTTTTCTTTCTTTCCTCCTCTAAAACTTTTTCATAAACTTCCACTCCTGCTCTGAAACTTGCCTCAGTCTCTTTTTCTGTCTTGTGCCCCTCAGTCAAATTCTTTCTTTTGAAGAGGCAAGAATTTAGGTTCTGCATACTCATTTGGATCTGCTGCCAGTTACTTGGATATTCGCTACTCCTAACAATACTGGATCCTAGATCCCCAAAAGAGAAATGCTATAGAACAAGACAGTAAATGATTTTTTTTGTTGTTGTTGTTATTCTGAGACAGAGTCTCACTCTGTCACCTAGGCTGACGTGCAGCGACACAATCTCTGCTCACTGCAACCTCCACCTCCCAAGTTCAAACGATTTTTCTGCCTCAGCCTCCCAAGCAGCTGAGACTACAGGTGTGCGCCACCATGCCTGGCTAATTCTTTGTATTTTTAGTAGAGACAGGGTTTCACTATGTTCACCATGTTGATCTCGAACTCCTGGTCTGAAGTGATCCACCTGTCTCAGTCTCCCAGAGTGCTGGGATTACAGAGGTGAGCCACCACGCCTAGCCAGAGCAATGGTTTTACTTTGCATTTCATTGCAAAGCAACCCAAAGCTGATCAGCCCATTTTGTGATCAGCCCAGCTCCATGGGACTCTTATCTCTCAGTAGGAGGTGGGGACATTTCCATACTTTCTACATGGCCGAGAGCATGCTTCTCTGATCAAAACATGCAAAGAGCCGAGTATTTCCCCATAACTGCCATTTGCCATCCCCAAAACTATATTTAGCCTTAGATTTTGAGAGGGATCTATGTGCTTTCAATTCCTGGGGTTTCATGACGAAAACAAGTTTTTCCCATAACAGGGTCTGTGGCTCCTCCTCTGTTTTTCCCCAGGGGTCCTAGACTGTTAGAAGTTATGTTAGGTCTCCTCATGTGTGCATCAAGAGTGGTAAGAAGACAAAATGGAGAAATACAATTCGGTTGACTGAAAATAAAAAACAAAACTTTTTTTCCCAGAAAAATAAGAATCAAGAAGAGGAAGAACCATAAAGGCATTTTAAATATACCTGTAGCTTGACTATCTGCTTTTAACTAAGCTGACTTTTAACCAAATATCTTATTATGAAACTCTAGCCAGAACAAACAGCAAATATTTCTGGCTTTTGAACGAAGGTAACCTTTTCTTTTCAGAGAAAGGAAAATTCAAAATGGGAAGTCAGAAGTTGTTCATGGAGAAGAAGAGAATCAATAAATGGCAAAACTCACACCAGATATCACACCAAACAGGACTCATTCCCTAAGCCAGGAATTGAACTCTGACTGCCATTATAAAAGACAAAGCCTTAGATGCTAAGCTACAGCATTGGGTGGTTTCATTGTTCTTCCCACAAGGAGCCTAGAGCAGTCCATTTTGAGCTTGCAATGGTTTTTAACTTTTCAAGATAATTTTTAGAGCTAACTATGACACCAACCCCAAAATTCCTGTTCCCTGGATGGCAAAGACCAAGAGAAAGTATGGCCATGTGGTTACAAGGTCAAGCTCCTAAAGATGTAAAACAAGATGAGGGGGAAACCTCATCCAGTTTTTTTGTTGTTTTGGAGACCAGCAGCAAAGTTTGTCACTGACCAGGCTAACTTGAACAGGAAGTTTATGGGGGTCCTAGGCCTGCATTCTATCACATGATACCACTTCTTATGACAAAACAATGCAGAAAGATGAATTCAAAGCACAAAGTACACCAGATTTGCCACAGCTTAAGACTAGCCTCATGAATCCTTTTTTTCATTAATTACAACTTTGTAGAGGAGACAGTGATTTTTGCCATTCCTACAACCAGTTTGCATAGAGAGAGAGAGAGGCCAGAAGTCTGACTGGTAAGAAATTCTTACCCTTTTGCCAGCATGTCAGGCTTCTGAGTTTCCTTTCCCAAGCAGCCCTAGCCATGCTGCTTGCTGCACGATAGCCCTGGGGGCCAATCCACATTACAAAGGAAACTTACTTTTTTCCATTTCGTGAAATCATAGGCAACACCGCTCAATTTTGCAAGGTGCTGCCCAGAACTTGCATGGGGTTACCAAATAAACACTTTCCATTCTGGTCAGAGCAAAATTCATGTGACAAAACAGACATTAGCCACTCTGCTTAGCACCAGATATTGAACTGTCAGGGCTCAAACTTGCCCCTGGTTGGGCCCTGTCATCTTTGATCCATTCAAAGTTGATTATAGAAGTTTCAACATGTGGGTCTCTGGGCAAGATGGTTGCTCTGAGTAACAGAAAAGAGAGGAAAGGGAAAGGAGAAAGAGAGAGAAAAGCATTGGCTGTGCTGAGGTGAGGAAGACTAGGAGCTCAGGGAGGCCAGAGAAAGGCCAACCCCTTGCAGTGACACTGAATCAAATGTTCAGGCAGCCACTTGTCAGTCGCAAAGCGATCTCTTAAAGCAGTCCCATGTTCCTGTACACACCTAATCCTGTCACCCACAGCTATCAGCAAATAGTGCAAGGCAGATTAAATTCAAAGAGAATAGTGCTTAACATTCTGTAGTGCCAAATCCATTTTTAACCAAGAGGGACTTTACTGAGAGGGACCTCTAACCCCCTAAATCTTATGAGGGACTCTAATCTTCCTAAGTTGGGCCTCAAACCCAATCCTATCCTTTACCGAGGTAAAATGTACCTCACTACTTACTCAAAGTCAGCCAATTGGTGCTGCAATCTATTTCCTTTGGATAGGGATAGTAACTAAACCAAAAGTTTAGCATATTTAAATTTTTAAATCAATTAGTTGCTTAAGCTTTTTATTTACCTTTCGTAAAGTCTTCATTTATTTTTATTTTTATTTTTTGAGATGGAGTCTCACTCTGTCACCCAGGTTGGAGTGCAGTGGCATGAACTTGGCTCATTGCAACCTCCACCCCCTGGGTTCAAGTGATTCTCCTGCCTCAGCCTCCCAAGTAGCTGGGACTACAGGTGCCCGCCATCACGCTTGGCTAATTTTTGTTTTTTAGTAGAGATGGGGTTTTGCCCTATTGGTCAGGCTGGTCTCAAACTCCTACCTCAGGTGATCCATCCACCTAGGCCTCCCAAAGTGCTGGGATTACAGGCATGAGTCACTGCATCCAGCCTCATAAAGTTTTTAATAAAAATACTGATTTTTTAAAGAAGTTTTGTACATCAATAGGCATCCCTAGATGAGACTAATTTGGGAGCCCTTATTTTCAAATTCATTTCAGTACAGTGTTGTTTATTTGTAACGTTCCACTGTAAGTTATCTTTAGTAATATTTTGCCATTTCTGTAAAACTTTGCTGCTTCCAGGGTATAATACTTACGCATGTTTAAGCTGGAAGGAACTCAGTTCTTCAGAAGTTAAAGATCTTGGCAGGTGTGGTGGCTCATTCCTGTAATCCCAGCACTTTGGGAGGCTGAGGTGGGTAAATAACTTGAAGCCAGGAGTTCAAGACCAGCCTGGCCAACATGGCAAAATCCACGTCTCCTCTAAAAATACAAAAATTAGCCTGGTGTTGTTTCACACTCCTGTAATCCCATCTACTTGGGAGGCTGAGGCACGATAATCTGTTGAACCCAGGAGGTGAAGATTGCAGTGAGCCAAGATCATGCCACTGCACTCCAGCCTGGTTGATGAAGTGAGACTCTGTCTCAAAAAACAAAACAAAACAAAACAAAACAACAACAACAACAACAAAAACCGAGAAAAAGAAATTAAGGATCTCATTTTTACCTCAAATATTGGCCTTGCTCTCAGGTTCCCTTGATCAACTCAGACAATTTTTTTTCTACATAATGGCACATGAAAAATGAAACAAAGGGGTAGTACACAAAAGTCCATGAGAATTTCCAAAAGCCAAATTTTACATCCCCTGCAACATTGCCATTTACTACCAGTTTCTTTCTGACCCAGTCAGATGTAGGAGGCCTCTAACTGGATCCAAGATGATTAATTCCAGATCCAATCTGATCCTGAACCAAGTCCAGTTTCCATCACAACTTCCAAATCCAGATTAAATCAGAGACTTGCTCAAAGAAACTCAGTTCAAAACAAATCCGTGGAGCTTCAGCATCTGAGGGAGACCTTACCATGATCCTCAACTACTCTGAGAGAGAAACGAACACAATGGGTCCAGCAGATACCTTGCTTGGTCACTCAGCACTCCTGGGGGTCTCGTTAGAGGCTCTAGTTCAGATCCCACTTCTGACACCATCTGATGAAAGAAAAACTTCAGCCAAATTAAATTTAAAGACATTTAATTGAACAATAAACAATTTGTGAATTAGGCAGTCTCCTGACCCAGAGTAGGCCCAGACTCCAGCACAGCCATATGGTGAAAAAGATTTATTGACAGAAAAAGGAAAGTGATGTACAGAAAATGGAAGTGAGGAACAGAAAATGGAAGTGAGGAACAGAAACAGCTGGATTGGTTATAGCTCAGTGTTTGCCTTATTTGAACATGGTTTGAACAGTTGGCTACATTTGATTGGCAGAAACTCTGGGATTGACACAAGGTAGGGTACAGTCTGTTTACACCTCCACTTGCAGCAGTTCATGATGTACAGTAAAACCCTTAGGCCAAACTTAAAATATGTGAGGAGACAGCTTTAGGCTAAACTTGATTTAACAGTAGTGAACTATCACTTCCACGTGACACATATAAGAATAGAGCTATCACAGGCATGCAGAATACAAATGGCAGGTCCAAAAGATATTTAATTGCCATGTTTTTTAAAAAAATTCTTCTCTTACTTTAGATAATTAAAAGTTACAAGAGCCAACAAAAGGTGAAGGCCTTTTCAAAAGAGAAAGACCTGAATTTTTGAGATACTAATCTGAAGAATTTCAAAGAGACAGATTATAGAATTTAAAAATTAAAAACCTCTTGCATTAAGTATAAGTTAATATTTTAATAAAATCTTGTTTTAACCAATTATTTAATTTTGTATTAGCATATTTTTAAATACCAAAGTTCAATTTTAAAAAACTATTATAATTTTCTGTAATTAAAACCAATTAATCACATAATACTTTTATAAGTTCCCTTTTTACTAACCTTATTACAACTTAGACCATTCACAACATACTTGGACCTTCTGGTTTGTCCTAAATATTTCACTTTCTTAAACAACCCAGTCATTTTATTTTAGAACAAAAATTCACTAGGCAAGATTCTTTCTCATATAAAATTACTTTCCTGTTTGCCTTAAATACAAAAAATGCCTCTTTATATTGATAATTTTCTTTACATCTCTTATTTCCTGCTTCCTTTTACCTTGTTTTACACATAACCTTTAAATAAGCTTTGAATTAAATAAACATATTGAACTTTTTTTTTTTTATTTTTTTATTATACTCTAAGTTTTAGGGTACATGTGCACATTGTGCAGGTTAGTTACATATGTATACATGTGCCATGCTGGTGCGCTGCACCCACTAATGTGTCATCTAGCATTAGGTATATCTCCCAATGCTATCCCTCCCCCCTCCCCCGACCCCACCACAGTCCCCAGAGTGTGATATTCCCCTTCCTGTGTCCATGTGATCTCATTGTTCAATTCCCACCTATGAGTGAGAATATGCGGTGTTTGGTTTTTTGTTCTTGTGATAGTTTACTGAGAATGATGGTTTCCATTTTCATCCATGTCCCTACAAAGGATATGAACTCATCATTTTTTATGGCTGCATAGTATTCCATGGTGTATATGTGCCACATTTGCTTAATCCAGTCTATCATTGTTGGACATTTGGGTTGGTTCCAAGTCTTTGCTATTGTGAATAGTGCCGCAATAAACATACGTGTGCATGTGTCTTTATAGCAGCATGATTTATACTCATTTGGGTATATACCCAGTAATGGGATGGCTGGGTCAAATGGTATTTCTAGTTCTAGATCCCTGAGGAATCACCACACTGACTTCCACAATGGATGAACTAGTTTACAGTCCCACCAACAGTGTAAAAGTGTTCCTATTTCTCCGCATCCTCTCCAGCACCTGTTGTTTCCTGACTTTTTAATGATTGCCATTCTAACTGGTGTGAGATGATATCTCATAGTGGTTTTGATTTGCATTTCTCTGATGGCCAGTGATGATGAGCATTTCTTCATGTGTTTTTTGGCTGCATAAATGTCTTCTTTTGAGAAGTGTCTGTTCATGTCCTTCGCCCACTTTTTGATGGGGTTGTTTGTTTTTTTCTTGTAAATTTGTTTGAGTTCATTGTAGATTCTGGATATTAGCCCTTTGTCAGATGAGTAGGTTGCAAAAATTTTCTCCCATGTTGTAGGTTGCCTGTTCACTCTGATGGTAGTTTCTTTTGCTGTGCAGAAGCTCTTTAGTTTAATTAGATCCCATTTGTCAATTTTGTCTTTTGTTGCCATTGCTTTTGGTGTTTTGGACATGAAGTCCTTGCCCACGCCTATGTCCTGAATGGTAATGCCTAGGTTTTCTTCTAGGGTTTTTATGGTTTTAGGTTTAACGTTTAAATCTTTAATCCATCTTGAATTGATTTTTGTATAAGGTGTAAGGAAGGGATCCAGTTTCAGCTTTCTACATATGGCTAGCCAGTTTTCCCAGCACCATTTATTAAATAGGGAATCCTTTCCCCATTGCTTGTTTTTCTCAGGTTTGTCAAAGATCAGATAGTTGTAGATATGCGGCATTATTTCTGAGGGCTCTGTTCTGTTCCATTGATCTATATCTCTGTTTTGGTACCAGTACCATGCTGTTTTGGTTACTGTAGCCTTGTAGTATAGTTTGAAGTCAGGTAGTGTGATGCCTCCAGCTTTGTTCTTTTGGCTTAGGATTGACTTGGCAATGCGGGCTCTTTTTTGGTTCCATATGAACTTTAAAGTAGTTTTTTCCAATTCTGTGAAGAAAGTCATTGGTAGCTTGATGGGGATGGCATTGAATCTGTAAATTACCTTGGGCAGTATGGCCATTTTCACGATATTGATTCTTCCTACCCATGAGCATGGAATGTTCTTCCATTTGTTTGTGTCCTCTTTTATTTCCTTGAGCAGTGGTTTGTAGTTCTCCTTGAAGAGGTCCTTCACATCCCTTGTAAGTTGGATTCCTAGGTATTTTATTCTCTTTGAAGCAATTGTGAATGGGAGTTCACCCATGATTTGGCTCTCTGTTTGTCTGTTGTTCGTGTATAAGAATGCTTGTGATTTTTGTACATTGATTTTGTATCCTGAGACTTTGCTGAAGTTGCTTATCAGCTTAAGGAGATTTTGGGCTGAGACAATGGGGTTTTCTAGATAAACAATCATGTCGTCTGCAAACAGGGACAATTTGACTTCCTCTTTTCCTAATTGAATACCCTTTATTTCCTTCTCCTGCCTGATTGCCCTGGCCAGAACTTCCAACACTATGTTGAATAGGAGCGGTGAGAGAGGGCATCCCTGTCTTGTGCCAGTTTTCAAAGGGAATGCTTCCAGTTTTTGCCCATTCAGTATGATATTGGCTGTGGGTTTGTCATAGATAGCTCTTATTATTTTGAAATATGTACCATCAATACCTAATTTATTGAGAGTTTTTAGCATGAAGGGTTGTTGAATTTTGTCAAAGGCTTTTTCTGCATCTATTGAGATAATCATGTGGTTTTTGTCTTTGGCTCTGTTTATATGCTGGATTACATTTATTGATTTGCGTATATTGAACCAGCCTTGCATCCCAGGGATGAAGCCCACTTGATCATGGTGGATAAGCTTTTTGATGTGCTGCTGGATTCGGTTTGCCAGTATTTTATTGAGGATTTTTGCATCAATGTTCATCAAGGATATTGGTCTAAAATTCTCTTTTTTGGTTGTGTCTCTGCCCGGCTTTGGTATCAGAATGATGCTGGCCTCATAAAATGAGTTAGGGAGGATTCCCTCTTTTTCTATTGATTGGAATAGTTTCAGAAGGAATGGTACCAGTTCCTCCTTGTACCTCTGGTAGAATTCGGCTGTGAATCCATCTGGTCCTGGACTCTTTTTGGTTGGTAAACTATTGATTATTGCCACAATTTCAGAGCCTGTTATTGGTCTATTCAGAGATTCAACTTCTTCCTGGTTTAGTCTTGGGAGAGTGTATGTGTCGAGGAATGTATCCATTTCTTCTAGATTTTCTAGTTTATTTGCGTAGAGGTGTTTGTAGTATTCTCTGATGGTAGTTTGTATTTCTGTGGGATCAGTGGTGATATCCCGTTTATCATTTTTTATTGTGTCTATTTGATTCTTCTCTCTTTTTCTTTATTAGTCTTGCTAGCGGTCTATCAATTTTGTTGATCCTTTCAAAAAACCAGCTCCTGGATTCATTGATTTTTTGAAGGGTTTTTTGTGTCTCTATTTCCTTCAGTTCTGCTCTGATTTTAGTTATTTCTTGCCTTCTGCTAGCTTTTGAATGTGTTTGCTCTTGCTTTTCTAGTTCTTTTAATTGTGATGTTAGGGTGTCAATTTTGGATCTTTCCTGCTTTCTCTTGTAGGCATTTAGTGCTATAAATTTCCCTCTACACACTGCTTTGAATGCGTCCCAGAGATTCTGGTATGTGGTGTCTTTGTTCTCGTTGGTTTCAAAGAACATCTTTATTTCTGCCTTCATTTCGTTATGTACCCAGTAGTCATTCAGGAGCAGGTTGTTCAGTTTCCATGTAGTTGAGCGGCTTTGAGTGAGATTCTTAATCCTGAGTTCTAGTTTGATTGCACTGTGGTCTGAGAGATAGTTTGTTATAATTTCTGTTCTTTTACATTTGCTGAGGAGAGCTTTACTTCCAACTATGTGGTCAATTTTGGAATAGGTGTGGTGTGGTGCTGAAAAAAGTGTATATTCTGTTGATTTGGGGTGGAGAGTTCTGTAGATGTCTATTAGGTCTGCTTGGTGCAGAGCTGAGTTCAATTCCTGGGTATCCTTGTTGACTTTCTGTCTCGTTGATCTGTCTAATGTTGACAGTGGGGTGTTAAAGTCTCCCATTATTAATGTGTGGGAGTCTAAGTCTCTTTGTAGGTCACTGAGGACTTGCTTTATGAATCTGGGTGCTCCTGTATTGGGTGCATAAATATTTAGGATAGTTAGCTCCTCTTGTTGAATTGATCCCTTTACCATTATGTAATGGCCTTCTTTGTCTCTTTTGATCTTTGTTGGTTTAAAGTCTGTTTTATCAGAGACTAGGATTGCAACCCCTGCCTTTTTTTGTTTTCCATTGGCTTGGTAGATCTTCCTCCATCCTTTTATTTTGAGCCTATGTGTGTCTCTGCACGTGAGATGGGTTTCCTGAATACAGCACACTGATGGGTCTTGACTCTTTATCCAACTTGCCAGTCTGTGTCTTTTAATTGCAGAATTTAGTCCATTTATATTTAAAGTTAATATTGTTATGTGTGAATTTGATCCTGTCATTATGATGTTAGCTGGTGATTTTGCTCATTAGTTGATGCAGTTTCTTCCTAGTCTCGATGGTCTTTACATTTTGGCATGATTTTGCAGCGGCTGGTACCAGTTGTTCCTTTCCATGTTTAGCGCTTCCTTCAGGAGCTCTTTTAGGGCAGGCCTGGTGGTGACAAAATCTCTCAGCATTTGCTTGTCTATAAAGTATTTTATTTCTCCTTCACTTATGAAGCTTAGTTTGGCTGAATATGAAATTCTGGGTTGAAAATTCTTTTCTTTAAGAATGTTGAATATTGGCCCCCACTCTCTTCTGGCTTGTAGGGTTTCTGCCGAGAGATCCGCTGTTAGTCTGATGGGCTTTCCTTTGCGGGTAACCTGACCTTTCTCTCTGGCTGCCCTTAACATTTTTTCCTTCATTTCAACTTTGGTGAATCTGACAATTATGTGTCTTGGAGTTGCTCTTCTCGAGGAGTATCTTTGTGGCGTTCTCTGTATTTCCTGAATCTGAACGTTGGCCTGCCTTGCTAGATTGGGGAAGTTCTCCTGGATAATATCCTGCAGAGTGTTTTCCAGCTTGGTTCCATTCTCCACATCACTTTCAGGTACACCAATCAGACGTAGATTTGGTCTTTTCACATAGTCCCATATTTCTTGGAGGCTTTGCTCATTTCTTTTTATTCTTTTTTCTCTAAACTTCCCTTCTCGCTTCATTTCATTCATTTCATCTTCCATTGCTGATACCCTTTCTTCCAGTTGATCGCATCGGCTCCTGAGGCTTCTGCATTCTTCACGTAGTTCTCGAGCCTTGGTTTTCAGCTCCATCAGCTCCTTTAAGCACTTCTCTGTATTGGTTATTCTAGTTATACATTCTTCTAAATTTTTTTCAAAGTTTTCAACTTCTTTGCCTTTGGTTTGAATGTCCTCCCATAGCTCAGAGTAATTTGATCGTCTGAAGCCTTCTTCTCTCAGCTCGTCAAAATCATTCTCCATCCAGCTTTGTTCTGTTGCTGGTGAGGAACTGCGTTCCTTTGGAGGAGGAGAGGCGCTCTGCGTTTTAGAGTTTCCAGTTTTTCTGTTCTGTTTTTTCCCCATCTTTGTGGTTTTATCTACTTTTGGTCTTTGATGATGGTGCTGTACAGATGGATTTTCGGTGTAGATGTCCTTTCTGGTTGTTAGTTTTCCTTCTAACAGACAGGACCCTCAGCTGCAGGTCTGTTGGAATACCCTGCCGTGTGAGGTGTCAGTGTGCCCCTGCTGGGGGGTGCCTCCTCCCAGTTAGGCTGCTCGGGGGTCAGGGGTCAGGGACCCACTTGAGGAGGCAGTCTGCCCGTTCTCAGATCTCCAGCTGCGTGCTGGGAGAACCACTGCTCTCTTCAAAGCTGTCAGACAGGGACACTTAAGTCTGCAGAGGTTACTGCTGTCTTTTTGTTTGTCTGTGCCCTGCCCCCAGAGGTGGAGCCTACAGAGGCAGGCAGGCCTCCTTGAGCTGTGGTGGGCTCCACCCAGTTCGAGCTTCCCGGCTGCTTTGTTTACCTAAGCAAGCCTGGGCAATGGCGGACGCCCCTCCCCCAGCCTCGTTGCTGCCTTGCAGTTTGATCTCAGACTGCCGTGCTAGCAATCAGCGAGACTCCGTGGGCGTAGGACCCTCTGAGCCAGGTGTGGGATATAGTCTCGTGGTGCGCCGTTTCTTAAGCCGGTCTGAAAAGCGCAATATTCGGGTGGGAGTGACCCGATTTTCCAGGTGCGTCCGTCACCCCTTTCTTTGACTCGGAAAGGGAACTCCCTGACCCCTTGCGCTTCCCAGGTGAGGCAATGCCTCGCCCTGCTTCGGCTCACGCACGGTGCACGCACCCACTGGCCTGCGCCCACTGTCTGGCACTCCCTAGTGAGATGAACCCGGTACCTCAGATGGAAATGCAGAAATCACCCGTCTTCTGCGTCGCTCACGCTGGGAGCTGTAGACCGGAGCTGTTCCTATTCGACCATCTTGGCTCCTCCCTTCCATATTGAACTTTTATAAGAACATTAAAAAAAGGTTTTCTGCCAGGTATGGTGGCTCACGCCTGTAATCCCAGCACTTTGGGAGGCCGAGGTGGGTGGATCACGAGGTCAGGAGATCAAAACCATCCTGGCTAACGTGGTGAAACCCTGTCTCTACTAAAAATGCAAAAAAAAAAATTAGCCGGGCGTGGTGGTGGGCACCTGTAGTCCCAGCTACTCAGGAGGCTGAGGCAGGAGAATGGTGTAAACCCAGGAGGTGGAGCTTGCAGTGAACCAAGATCACGCCACTGCACTCCAGCCTGGGTGACAGAGTGAGACTCCATCTTAAAAAAAAAAAAAAAAAGGTTTTCTGTAATTTTTAAATTGGATTGGAAATTACCCAGATCCTTAATATCAATTAATAACCTTAGATTCTAAATTATATGGCAAGTTTGTTTATAAGCATTTATTTCATTACATTTACTTGATTATTTAATAGTTTATCTAGATTATTCACAACACTGTGTGTGATAGTCATTATTTAAAGTTATTTCCCTGTTAACCTTTTTTTTTTTTGAGACGGAGTCTTGCATATACATATACAGCATCGATCAGTATATGTAAGATGTATGTTGGTTTGGTCCAGAGCAGAAGGATTACTGGAAGCAGAAGCAGTGGTGGGGTGGGGGACAGGGTTGGAAGAAGCCTCCATGTCATAGATGGATTCAAAGATTTTCTGTTTGGCAATTGGTTGAAAGAGTTTATCTATAGACCTGGAATCAATAGAATGAAGTGTCTGGGTTAGGATAAAAGGTCATGGAGATCAATATTCCTTTTATGCAGATGAAGCTCCCAGGCAACAGGCTTCAGAGATAATAGATTGTAAATGTTTCTTATCAGACTTAAAAAGGTGCCAGACTTTTGGTTAATTCTCTCCTGGATCAGGAAAAAGACCTGGAAAGGGAAGAGGATTCTGTACAGAATGCAGATATCCCCGTGAGAGACAGCTTTACAGGGCCATTTCAAAATGTGTCAAAGAAATGTATTTTAGGGTAAAATACTTCAATTTCTTTCAGGGCCTGCTATCTGTTATGTGATGCTATAATAGAGTCAGTTTGGCATTTAGTGTCTTATCGTTACAAAGAATCTGTTTGATGTCAGTCTTAGGATGACAGTCTTAAGATCTGTGTCTTAATGTTAATGTTGGTCAGTTGTCCCTGAATTTCAAAGGGAGGAGGGTACAATGAGGCATATTTAACCCCCCTTCCCATCATGGCCTGGACTAGTTTTTCAGGTTAACTTTGGAATGCCCTTGAGCAAGAGGAGGGGTCCATTCCACTGGTTGGGGGGCTTAGAATTTTACATTTGGTTTTGCAAGAGTCTGTTTTTAAGCTGGGAGAAAATAGAATATTTTTATAAAAGGAAAGATCCAGAAACAAAGGAAAGTTGAAGAAATCAGGATGATAACCTAGAGGAAGATTCTTGAAGAGGTTTGAGAGAGGATAAAATTAAAAGTTCTGTGGAGTCTTTTCTATTTCTTAAGGCAAGGGGTGGGGAATTTATCAGAAATGGAGATTCTAAGGATTGACAGCAGAGATTTTGATTTAGTATATCAGGGATGGAACACAGACATTAACACTTTAAACCAGCCCTCCATGTCTTTGCTACATAGGTAGTCCAACAGTGCTCTGAGGCAGTGATAAATGCAGAAAGGGTAAAGTGCTTGGAGTAAAAGGATTTTTGTTATCATCCTTGATTTGCCCTTTTACTTACCATCAGGAAGGCTTTGTGTTTCTCGTTTTGGTTTGGTTTGGTTTATGTTGTTTTAGTGCCCATGCATCATATACTGTGCAAGCCTCTAGAAAAGGTTATTTAATTTCTCCAAGCTTCAGATCTTCATCTGTAATAATATTATCTGCCCCAGAGTAATGCTGAGAATCAAATTAAATTATATATGAGGCTATCTTCTTCTTCTGGCCAAGATGTAGTAACAGAGACTAGATTTACCCTCCTACAGGAAACAACTACAAAAACCTGACAACATACATGAAATAATAGTTTTCAGATATTGGACATCAGGTGATAGAGGACAGCGATCCCTGAGATGGGAGAAACAAATGAGATGATCCCTACTTCTGCCCCATCTTACTGTATGGAAGATACAGCACAGAGAGTGGAAACCCAGGTGGAACCTAGCAGTCTCCCTGAATTTACAAGATGGAATTGGGAGTCTTGGGAGGCAAGGTGGCTTAAGTTTGCAGGGCAGAATGCTGAAGAGGAAAGAGTGCAGAGATAGGGGTGGAAGCTCCAAGATCATGTCTTCAGCTGAGTATACATCAGTGTAAGCATATGAGGAAACTACCTTAGTTTGAGGAAGAGACACTAAAATGATTCAAGGAAATAATTCCTAAACTTCTCAAAGAGCTAGGAATATTTTGCATTTCCATAAGCCAGAAAGGAAATATATATATCATAATTATGTATAATAATTTTATACATCAATTATAATTATTTAAACAGGGTCTTACTCTGTCACCCAGGCTGGAGTGCAGTGGCATGAAATGGCTGACTGCAGCCTTTACCTCCCAGACTCAAGCAGTCCTCCCACCTTGGCAGCCCGAGTTGCTGAGACTGTGGGCATGGGCCACCATATTCAGCTAATTCTTGTATTTTTTGTGGAGACAGAGCTTCACTATGTTGCCCAGGCTGGTCTTGTACTCCCGGGCTCAAGCAATCTGCCTGCCTCAGCCTCCCAAAGTTCTGGGATTACAGGGATGAGCCACTGCACTTGGCATATATATACATAGATATACACACACATATACATATATATATATAATTAGTAAATGATATTGTTTAAAATAATTCCTAAAAGAGTATTTCCTCAGGACTGGGAAAAATTAGTCTTGTAATAAAGGCTGCTCTGGTCCTCCCTAACAAAGTTTAAACATCATCCCCATCCTTGAAAGTAAGTGTTCCAAGCAAGTTAACTGTATCCCTGAAAAAAAGCTCAAGAATATGTATATAAATATAAAAATATCCACCTCCCAACAAGAAAACATTCAGAGCATCTTACATTCAACCAAAAATGCCCAGACATGGAAAAATCAGGAAAATATGACATATAATGAGAATAATCAATCAATGGAAACAGATCTGTAAATGACACAAATGATATAATAACTAAAGGCATAAAAGAGTTACTTTAACTGTATTTCATATGTTTAATAAGGTAGAGAAAAAATGAGCAAGTTAAATAGACTGGAAGGTTTTTAAAGGTCCAAATTGAATTAGAGACTTAAACTACAATGTCTAAAATGAAAAATATGTTATTCATTCAGAGCAAGATTCTGTCTCAAAAAAAAAGTTTTTAACTTCTTTTTTTCCCACTTTTTTGGGGGATATCAGCTCCAGCTTATTGAGTTAATGGCACTTCTCAGTTCCTAGTATACTCCCCTCCCTTTCTGTGTCCTTAACTATAAAATGTTCCAAGTGTGTGATATATGTCCATTTTATTGGAGTATCTTCTCGTGAAATGTGAACTCTTTTATGATATGTATATATTTTTAATTTATATAAATTATGCTATAGGTCTCAGCTTGTTTCTTACTTTTTTTCACTCAGCAGTGTTTTGAAGATCATTCAGGTTGATATGTGGACGTTTAGTTCACTAATCTCATTGCTGCCTAAGGAACCAGTTTGTCCTGACAGTACTGCAGGCCCCAAGGAACCCTTAGAGCATTATCTGTAAAGTCAGATGTTTGTAGGCCCCAGAGCAGATTAACTGGGTGGAGATGCAAGTAGTTGCGGCCATATGGCAACGCAGGACATGTTGCAAGACAACCAAATTCTTCAAGAGAGGCCAGGAATCAGGATTTTTGCAAGAAATCTCCTGATTTTTTCAATGTTGGAAAAACTGAAGGTCAAACAAAATATTTCTGCAAGCTCAATTTAGCCATTTTCTAACCTTCACATTAAAACATTTGAATCAGAGAATGAGATCAGATTTGTGTTTCAAAAATTAAAGAAAAGATGGACTAGAATAGAACAGAGGAGTCCAAAGATCATGAGTTGAGGTATAAATATGATTGAATTGAAGGGCCTATGGGCCGTTAAGGTGAAGATTATTGGAAACACAGACCTATCTTCCTGAAAATGTTGTGAGGAGTGGGGATTTTTTACGATATAAATCATTATTACATAGATTTGGGCATACTGTGATTCAAGTTAAAATGTATAAGTCGGCTGGGCACAGTGGCTCACGCTTGTAATCCCAACACTTTGGGAGGCTGACGTGGGTGGATCACCTGAGGTCAGGAGTTTGAGACCAGCCAGACCAATATGGTGAAACCCCATCTCTACTACAAAAAAAAAAAAAAAAATTAGCTGGGCGTGGTGGCGGGCGCCTGTAGTCCCAGCTACTCGGGAGACTGAGACAGGAGAATTGCTTGAACCCAGGAGGCAAAGGTTGCAGTAAGCTGAGATTGCGCCACTGCACTCCAGTCTGGGTGACAGAGTGAGACTCCGTCTCAAAAATAATAATAATATAATGTATAAGTCATAATGTTGACATTTTAAATATATTTAAAATATTATTTTATATATTTGTTCTTTCATTTAACAAAACATATCAGTAAAATTCATACTCATAACTTTGCACAAGTGAAGTTCTATGCTTAAACACTTGGCACATTTTCTTTTGTAGTAGTTAAAACTGTGGTTTGGTGTCAGACTACTAAGTTAAAATCTCTGAATTATTGACTATATGTATATCTTTGGATAAGTTAGTTAACCTGTCTTTGTTTTGGTTTTATCATCTGTAAAAAAAAGGCTCTTTTAAAAGCTGACTTCTCAGGCCAGGCACGGTCTCACGCCTGTAATCCCAGCACTTTGGGAGGCTAAGGCGGGTGGATGTAGGCAGATCATTTGAGGTCAGGAGTTCGAGACCAGCCTGGTCAACATGGTGAAACACCGTCTGTACTAAAAATACACACACACACACACACACACACACACACACACACACAAATTATCCAGACGTGGTGGCGCATGCCTGTGGTCCCAGCTACCCGGGAGGCTGAGGCAGGAGAATTGCTTGAACCCAGGAAGCAGAGGTTGCAGTGAGCCGAGATCACTCCATTGCACTCCAACCTGGGTGACAGAGCGAGATCCTGTCTTAAGAAAAAAAAATTAGGCCGGGCGCAGTGGCTCATGCCTGTAATCCCAGCACTTTGGGAGGCCAAGGTGTGCGGATCACCTGAGGTCAGGAGTTTGAGACCAGCCTGGCCAACATGGTGAAACCCCGTCTCTACTAAAACTACAAAAATTAGCTGAGATCGCGCCACTGTACTCCAGCCTGGGCAACAGAGCGAGACATCATCTCAAAAAAAAAAAAAAAAAAAGTGACTTCTCATGGTACTAGCATAAAGACAGATATATAGACCAATGGAATAAAATAGAGTCTGAAAATAAACCTTGCATGTAAAGTCAGATGATTTTCAACAAGGTACCAAGACCATTCAATGGGGTAAGAACAGTCTTTTCAACACATGAGGCTGGGAAAACTGAATATCCACATGCAAAAGAATGAAGCTGGACCTCTACTTTACACCATATACAGAAATTAAGTCAGGCCAGGTGGAGTGGCTCACACCTGTAATCCCAGAAATTTGGTAGGCTGAGGCGGGTGGATGGCTTGAGCTCAGGAACTCGAGACCATCCTGGGAAACATGGCGAAACTCCATCTCCACACACACACACACACACACACACACACACACACACACAAATTAGCCAGGCATGGTGGTGTTCACCTGTAGTCCCAGCAACTCTTGCGGCTGAGGTGGGAAGATCACTTGAGCCAGGGAGGCGGAGGTTGCAGTGAGCTGAGTTTGTGCCACTGCTCTCCAGCCTGGTTGACAGAATGAGACCCTGTCTCAAAAAGAAAAAAAAAAAAGTCAAAGTGAAACAAATACCTAAATTTAAGAGTTCAAACTATAAAACCCTAAGAAGAAAACATAAACTAAAAACTTCATGACATAGGATTCTACAATAATTTTTTAGATAAGACATGAAAAGCACAGGCAGCAACAACAAAAATAGATAAATTACCCAATCTCTATTAAAAAAAATACAAAAAAATTAGCCAGGCATAGTGGCGGGCACCTGCAGTCCCAGCTACGCGGGAGGCTGAGGCAGGAGAATGGCATGAACCCGGAAGGTGGAGCTTGCAGTGAGCCGAGATCACACCACTGCACTCCAGCCTGGGCAACAGAGCAAGACTGTCTCAAAAAAAAAAAAATAGATACATTGAACTACATGATAATTTAAGACTTGTGCATCAAAGGACACTATCAACAGAAAAGACAACCTATGGAATGAGAGAAAATATTTGCAAATCATGTGTCTGGTAAGGGGTTACTATCCAGAATACATAAAGAACTCTCCCAACGTAACAACAAAAAACAAACAACCAGAGTAAAAAACGGTCAAATGACTTGAATAGACATTTCTTCAGTAATGACCAATAAACACATGAAAAGATGCTCAACACTACTAATTATTAGAGAAATGCAAATTGAAACCACAATGAGTTACCACTTCACTCCCATTAGGATGGCTACTATATAGATAAACAACAATGACAACAACAAAAACAAAACAGAAAATGACAAGCATTGACATGGATGTGGAGAAATTGGAACCCATGTACATTGCTGGTGGGAAGGTAAAATGGAGAAGCTATTGTAGAAAACACTATGGTGCCTCCTCAAAAAATTAAACATAGAATTACCCTATGATCCAGCAATTCTACTTTTAGGTGTATACCCAAAAAAAGTGAAGGTAAGAATTCAAACAGATATTTGTGTCTGTTCATAGTAGCAGCATTATTCACAACAGCCAAAATGTGGAAACAACCCAAGTGTCCACTAACGATGAATAGAGAGATGAAATGTGGCACATACAAGCAATAGGATATTATTCAAGGAATTAAAGCCTTTAATTTATTTTTATTTTTTATTATTTTTTTTTTTAGAGACAGAGTCTTGCTCTGTCAAACAGACTGGAGTGTAGTGGAAGAATCATGGCTCACTGGAGCGTTGACCTCCTCGGCTTAGGCAATCCACCACCTCAGCCTCCTGAGTAGCTGGGACTAGAGGTGTGCACCACCACCTCCAGCTAATTTTTAAATTTTTCTTTTGTAGAGACGGGGTTTTTCTATGTTGACCAGGCTGGTTTTGAACTTCTGGCCTCAAGCATTTTTCCTGCCTCAGCCTCCCAAAGTGCTGAGGTTATAGATGTGAGCCACCGTGCCTGCCCAAAGCCTTTAATATTATTAAAGAAATTACAGCCTGTAGAAAAAGCAAACTGTTTTCTCATCTGCTGTTTTCACATCTGCTCTCACATCATACCATAAAAGACTTCTGTGATCTCTCATCACCAAGAAATGAATGGAGATTTCTCCCCACCAACAACCAATCAATTAGTTCTGCAGCAGGGTCTTCAGCTGACACCAGCTGAGTATCCTCTAATTCAATTCAATTCTGACGCTGTTTACCTGGAGATGGCATTAGATCCCACCGGTTGAGGGCTCAGTCCCGCAAGACTGCCCACTACTTCTGATGCCAATTGTAAGCTCCATATTGTTTTACTCGTGCTTCTGACCAGTCAACAATACATTGGGCTTCCTAAAACACTCTCAATGGGTTTGATTTATTTGCTAAAGCAGCTCACAGAACTCAGGGAAACACATTTACTAGTTTATTGTAAAAGACATTACAAAGGTTACAGATAAAGGGATACATACGGTGAGTTATGAGGGAAGGCACATGGTGCTTCCATGCCCTCTCTGGGTATGGCACCCTCCAGGAACCTTCATGCATTTAGCTATCCAGAACATCCCCGAAGCCACCTGTTCTGGGTTTTTATCGAAGCTTCATTGTGTAGGCATGATTGATTAAATCATTGGCCGTGAGTGATCAACTTGACCTTCAACCCCCACCCCTTCCCAGAGGTTTGGGGGTGAGGTTGAAAGTCCCAACCCTCTAATGATGCTTTGGTCTTTGCAGTGACCAGCCCCCATCCCGAAGTTACCCAGGGCCTGCCAGTCACCAGTCAACTCATTAGTATACATAAAGACACTGATGTCTTTGGAGGTTCCAAGGATATTAGGAGTTGTATGACAGGAGACAGGGACAAAAACCAAATATATATTTCACAGTATCCCATAAAGCCTCAAAGGAATTGGAAAAGAAATTCTGATCCATGCTACAATATGAATAAGCCTTGAAAATATTTTGCTAAATGAAAGAAGCCAGACACAAAAGGACAAATATTGTATGACTCCTTTATTTTTTTGAGATGGAGTCTCGCTCTGTCACCCAAACTGGAGTGCAGTGGCGCGATCTCGGTTCACTGCAAGCTCCGCCTCCTGGGTTCCCACCATTCTCCTGCCTCAGCCTCCCAAGTAGCTGGAACTACAGGCACCTGCCACCATGCCTGGCTAATTTTTTGTATTTTTAGTAGAGACGGGGTTTCACCATGTTAGTCAGGATGGTCTCGATCTCCTGACCTCGTGATCTGCCCGCCTCGGCCTCCCAAAGTGCTGGGATTACAGGTGTGAGCCACAGCGCCCAGCCCTGTATGACTCCTTTTATATAGGGTAGCTAGAATAGTCAAATTCATGGAGACAGCAAGAACAATGGTGGTGTCCCCAGGGCTGGGGCAAGGGGGTAATGGGATGTTATTGTTTAATAGCTACAGATTTTCAGTTGGGGATGATGAAAAGTTCTGCAGATGGATAGTAGCACTGGTTGTACAACAATGTGATGTACTTAATGCCACTGAACTATATACATTTTAAACTGGTTAAAATGGTAAAATTTTATGTTATATATATTTTAACATAGTTTTAAAAAAAAGAACAACAACAACAAAAAAACAAAGACAGGGATAGTGGCTCAAGCCTGTAATCCCAGCACTTTGGGAGGCCGAGGTGGAGAGATCCCTCGAGGTTAGCAGTTCGAGACCAGCCTGGCCAACATGGTGAAACCCTGTCTCTACTAAAAATACAAAAATGAGCCAGGCATGGTGGGGCATGCCTGTAATCCCAGCTACTCGGGAGGCTGAGGCAGGAGAATTGCTTGAACCTGGGAGGCAGAGGTTGCAGTGAGCCGAGATCACACCACTGCACTCCAGCCTGGGTGACAAACGGAGACTCCATCTCAAAAAAAAACAAAAAAAAAAAAAAAAAAAAAAACAAAACTAATAGCCATTTCCCAAACATTACCAGCCCAATTTGTTGATAGCATGATGCTGAGTTTACTGTTTACCATAGTAAGGAAGAACACCACCTGAACAGAGCTTTGGGAATTCTCAGAAGGGGAAGGTAAGACCAAAATTTATTGATCCAGTAACTGGCCACTGAATATTAAAAATTTTTTTATTGAGAATTAGAAGTTTGGTTTAAGGCATTTCTTTCAATACAGGGTACTAGATAAGGGTTGAGTAGGAATCATAACACAACTGTAGGAGTGGAGGGAATGTTTCCCTCTCCCTACAAAGGTTTGACTCTGCTGAAATTAAATGACAATAGATTAACATGAGAAAAGGCATACAAATTTATTAATGTGCATAAGAATGGGAGTCATACAAAATATGAGACTCAAACAAGGACAAGATTGTTGAGGCTTAAATAACCTCTTCAGGGGTGTGCAGTGGTATACACCTGTAGTTTCAGCTAATTGAGAGGCTGAGGCAGGAGGATCCCTTGAGCCCAGGAAATGGAGACCAGCCTACACAGCAAGATCCTGTCTCAATAAATAAATAAATAAGAAAAGTTGCATGCTGGGCTTAATACCTAGGTTGATAGGTGCAGCAAACCACTGTGGCACACGTTTACCTATGCAACAAACCTGTACATCCTGTACGTGTACCCTGGAACTTAAAAATTAAAATTAATAGAAAAAGAAGGAAAGAAAAAAGCAAATCCTCTTCACAGGGGAGAGGAAAGATGTATAGATAATTTTGAGGGGTGGTAAATGATTTTCAGTGAAACTTAATGAGCCCAAAGAACAGACAATGGTCTGGGACAAAGTTCCTCTGAGTTCTGGGGGAGGTGGTGGCAAATTTTTGGAAGGTGAGGGGCAGAACTGCACTGTGAACAAGGGTTGTCTTATGCAGATAATGCCTCTCAGGTAAGCTCTTGGAGCTGTCCTCAGAAGAATAGAGGAGAAGTCTGTGTAGGTATGGTGAGGACTTTTAGTCTCTTTGCTTTTCTGGTAGTCTTTCCTGGTTGAGATTCCTAGGCTAGGAGGTCTTAAAACAATTGCAGTCCTTTTGGATAGAAATTTCTTCTGGTGGTTAATCTTTCCTGGTTATCTAATGAGATTCCTAGGATAGGAGGTCTTAAGACAATTGCAGTTCTTTTGGATAGAAATTTCTTCAGTCAGGCCAGGTGTGATGGTTCATGCCTGTAATCCCAGAACTTTGGGAGGCGAGGTGGGTGGATCACTTCAGGCCAGGAGTTTGAGACCATCTTGGAAAACATGGCAAAACCCTGTCTCTACTAAAAATACAAAAAATTGGCCAGGCGTGGAGGTGCGTGGCTGTGGTCCCAGCTACTTGGAAGGCTGAGGCACAAGAATTGCTTAAACTCAGGAGTCATAGGTTACAGTGAGCTGAGATCGTGCCACTGCAGTCCAGCCTGGGCAATGGAGCGAGACTCTGTCTCAAAAAAAAAAAAAAAAAAAAAAGTTGAAATGTTCTTATTCAGGTAAAGAAATTCCAGAGGGAATTCCTCTCTGTGCTTGGGGCTGGAGGAACAAGAGAAGGTTAGAAGCAGCTTCTAAGATCTTCTAATTTCTTTTGATTCAAAAGTGCTCAACATACCAAAGCACCTGTGTTAGTCCATTTTCACACTGCTATAAAGAAATACCTGCGAATGGGTAATTTATAAAGAAAGAGGTTCAATTGACTCATAGTTCCACATGGCTGAGAGGCCTCAGGAAACTTGAAGTCATGGTGGAAGGCAAAGGGGAAGCAAGGCACGTTTTACATGGTGGCAGGAGAGAGAGAGCGAGCACAGGGGAAACTGTCACTTTTAAACCATCAGAACTCTTGAGAACTCACGCACTATCTGAGAAAAGCATGCAGGAAACTGCCCCCATGATCTAATCACCTCCCATCAGGTCCCTCCCTCGACACATGGAGATTACAGTTTGAGATGAGACTTGGGTGGGGACACAAAGCCAAACCATATCAGCACCATACTTTAGAATATTGTTTTATGAGTCCCATACAATGGTCTAGGATTGGTGGAAACAGCAAGGCAAGGATTTTAAGAAGGATTTTTTTTTTTTTTTTTTTTTGAGACAGAGTCTTGCTCTGTCACCCAGGCTGGAGTGCAGCGGTGTGATCTCAGCTCCCTGCAACCTCTGCCTCCTGGGCTCAAGCAATTCTCCTGCCTCAGCCTCCCGAGTAGCTGGGATTACAGACACCTGCCATCATGCCTGGCTAATTTTTGTAGAGATGGGGTTTTACCATGTTGGCCAGGCTGGGCTTGAACTCCTGACCTCAGGTGATCCACCTGCCTCAGCCTCCCAAAGTGCTGGGATTACAAGTGTGAGCCACCATGCCCGGCCTTAAGAAGGATTTAAAGAATATTTTTTCAAAAAATAACTTTGAGATGTAACTCACATACCATACAATTCACCCATCTACAGTATACAATTCAGTGGTTTTTAGTATATCCACAGAGTTGGGCAAAAATTGCTACAACAAATTTGAGAACATATTCTTCATGCCAAAAAGAAACCCACTATACGTTTGCAGTCACTCCCCCTTTACCCAAACTCTTCCCACGACCACTACCACCAGGCAGCCACTAATCTACTTTCTTTCTTTTTTTCTTTCTTTTTTTTGAGATGGAGTTTCACTCTTGTTGCCCAGGCTGGAGTGCAATGGTGTCGTCTCAGCTCACTGCAACCTCAGCTTCCTGGGTTCAAGCCATTCTCCTGCCTCAGCCTCCCGAGTAGCTGGGATTACAGGTGTGTGCCACCATGCCCAGCTAATTATTTTGTATTTTTAGTCGAGACGGGGTTTCACCATATTGGCCAGGCTGGTCTCAAACTCCTGACCTCAGGCGATCTGCCCACTTCAGCCTCCCAAAGTGTTGGGATTACAGGCATGAGCCAATGCGTCTGGCCCTACTTTCTTTTTTAAATTAGAGACAGGGTCTAGCTATTTTGCTCTGGTTGGGCTCAAAGTTCTGGGCTC
The DNA here is from genome assembly GCF_000001405.40 of Homo sapiens. NCBI lineage: Eukaryota > Metazoa > Chordata > Mammalia > Primates > Hominidae > Homo > Homo sapiens. The sequence continues at coordinate 125,524,352 of NC_000011.10, read as the reverse complement.
AAGTGATTCTCGTACCTCAGCCTCCCAAGTAGCTGGGATTATAGGCGTGCACCTCTGCACACAATATATGGTCCTTTGTGGCTGGCTTCTTTCACTTAGCATAATGTTTTCATGGTCCATGCATGTTATATTATGTATTAGCACTTTATTCTCTTTTATTGCAAAATAATATAATTCAAAGAATTGTAAGGTGCAGGCTGCCTATTGATGCTTTTTTGATGCTTGCTATTGAAGAGTTGATGGGTCTTTTGAGAAATTCCTGTAATGCAGAATCTAACCATTTGCTTGGGCAAGTCAGGAAAAGTACGAAATGCTAATAAAGACAGTGAAGTAGCAAAGTTTTTTTTTTTTTTTCTTTCCTGTAGACCTCCTCTGTGCTCAGCAGAGTCTTTTTATTGTAGGCAGTCCAGTATGGTTTTGGTTCTCAGTGATCAGGCTGAGGGAAAGAGGAGAGGATTGCTGTTCTCAGCATTCACTTCATAGGAATAATGCAAATAACATATTTAAAATGGTGCCTGAAATATATAAATTACTGAGTAAATGTAAATAGTTATTACTATCCATATCTAACATTGAAAGGGAAATTTCTTTTGATGTGCTTTTTGATATGTAGAGGCATAGCTGAAAACTAAAATGAGCCTATGTTCAAACCTTTACTAAAATAAATGTTTACCCTCTCAATTTAACCGAGAAGGTTTGCAGTGCACTGGAAAAAGTCAAGGTCTAGAAGTGCTTCTTCTTTTACCAGAAACAGAAAGATAATAGTGTTAAAAGATGTTAAACAAAAATTATAGGAGGCTATCATTTTGGACTAAATTCCTCCGCTAGGCCCCAGTAGACCAAACTAAAAATTAAAATGAAGTCATCTAAGCTTGCCAAACCAAAACTGACTTGTTATTTGGTCTTTCGAGAAACTGGGAGAAAAAAATTACAGACTAGTTTCCCAATAGGCCAGTTTCATTTAAAAAAATAAAATTTTAAAAAATTCTTGAGTTTATACTGGAGGAGAACCACCAGCAAAAGGCCAGTTTCCAGTTTCCATCTTCAGTGGGCATGATAATGAAGTTCTCTGTGTGTTTGTTTGTTTGTTTGTTGTTTTTTGTGTTTTTTTGTTTTTGTTTTTGTTTTTTTTGAGACAGAGTTTCGCTCTTGTTGCCCAGGCTGGAGTGCAATGTCGTGATCTCAGCTCACCGCAACCTCCGCCTCCCGGGTTCAATAGATTCTCCTGCCTCAGCCTCCTGAGTAGCTGGGATTACTGGCATGCGCCACCACCCCTGGCTAATTTTGTATTTTTAGTAGAAACGGGGTTTCTCCATGTTGGTCAGGATGGTCTTGATCTCCTGACCTCAGGTCATCCACCTGCCTTGGCCTCCCAAAGTGTTGGGATTACAGGCATGAGGCACTGTGCCCGGCCCCCTCTGTTTTAATTTTTACAAAAAAGAGTAAAGTGAAGTAACCTGATGTTAACCAGTCAATTATCTTTCTATTTTGTCTCCCTGTCCCTGCCTTACAAGGAAAGTAACTTTGAAATAACCACTCCCCCTTTTTTTTTTTTTTTTTGGAGATGGAGTCTCGCTCTGTTGCCCAGGCTGGAGTGCAGTGGTGCAATCTCTGCTCACTACAAGCTCCGTCTCCCAGGTTCAGGCCATTCTACTGCCTCAGCTTCCCAAGTAGCTGGGACTACAGGCAGCCACTACTACGCGTGGCTAATTTTTTATATTTTTTAGTAGAGACAGGATTTCACTGTGTTAGCCAGGATGGTCTCGATATCCTGACCTTGTGATCTGCCTGCCTCGGCCTCCCAAAGTGCTGGGATTACAGGCATGAGCCACTGCACCTGGCCCTTTTTTTTTTAAAATTTATACAGAGTCTCGCTTTGTCACCAGGCTGGAGTGCAGTGGTGTGATCTCGGCTCACTGCAACCTCCACCTTCCACGTTCAAGCGATTCTGCTGCCTCCGCCTCCTCAGTAGCTGGGACCACAGGCGTGCGACACCAGGACCAGCTAATTTTTTGTATTTTTAGTAGTGATGGGGTTTCACCATGTTGGCCAAGATGGTCTCCATCTCTTGACCTCGTGATCCACCTGCCTTGGCCTCCCAAAGTGCTGAGATTACAAGTGTGAGCAAGCGCACTGGGCCTTGATCTTTGTTTTTGCTTTCTTCAGCCCTTTATTCTGTCTATAAAGTGAACCTCCTCTGCTCGACTCATTGGAACATTTATTCTACTTTATGGACTAATGTGTTGTCTGATTATAGAATTGCATAAACCTAATTGAGATCTTTAAATTTGTTGTAATTTTCTCTCTTGACAAGGATAAATTTCAAAGGAGGTAAAATTGAACTATTGTACAGATAGTGAGGAACTCGTCATGAAAAACAAAAGGCATTCCTATCATTTAGGAAATGCCAAGAGTTTTGAGAGTTCTGTGCCAGGAGCTGGTGACAGAGACCACATGTAGCTGATACCTCAGGTTTGCTCTAAACAATGGCTTGTTTTCCACTGAAGAAACCCAATTAATCTCTTTTGCCTATTCCAAGTTTTCTTCCATATGCTAACATAAGTTATTTATTTATTTATTTTTGAGACAGAGTCTTGCTGTGTTGCCCAGCCTGGAGTGCAGTGGTGCCATCTTGGTTCACTGCAGCCCCTGCCTCCCAGGTTTAAGCAATTCTCCTGCCTCAGCCTCCCAGGTAGCTGGGATTACAGGCGTGTGCCACCATGCTGGGCTAACTTTTGTATTTTAGTAGAGACGGGGTTTGAGGTTTCCCCATGTTGGCCAAGCTGGTCTCGAACTCCTGACCTCAGGTGATCTGCCCACCTTGGCCTCCCAAAGTGTTGGGATTATAGGCGTGAGCCACCACGTCTGGCGTAGAACTTATATTTATTATTGTCCCCATTTAGATATGATGAAGTTGAAGCCAAAAAGTAATTGCTTTCCCAGGACAAATGGTGTGATGTTGGGGGATTTCCCTCTTCATGAATGTTTAGGAAAGCAATCTCTCTTATCCCGCCCTTTATCTTGACAACATCCAGGAAATTAAAGAAGAAATACATTCATGGCAGAATTAAAAATAAAGGCTCTGGACTGAATTTGCTGAGCCCAAGAATTGGAAAAGGCTTAAAGGAATTTCTCCTTAGTTAATTACAGGTTCAGGCTAATAGGATTTGTTTGACTTTTCATATTAAGCTATTAGAGCCTTTAGAGTTCAATAATTTGCTGAGACCTAAATACATCCTTTTAATTTTTTATTTTCAGTTTTTCAAAACAGCTTCGTTGAGATATAATTCACATTCTATACATTTCACCCACTAAAAGTGTATAATTCAGGCCGGGGACAGTGGTTCACTCCTGTAATCCCAGCACTTTGGAAAGCAGAAGGATTCCTTGAGACCAGGAGTTTAAGACTGGCCTGGGTAACATAGTTAGACCCTGTTTCCACAAACAATAATAAAAAAAAAATTAATGTATAATTCAATGGTTTTTGGCATATTCAAAGAGTTGTGCAATTATCACTATGATCTAGTTTTATTTTATTTTTTAAAATATGCATAAATACCTTTAATGATCTAATTTTAGATCATGTTTTTTGCCTCCAAAATAGACTGTGTCCATTAGCCATCGCTCCCATTCCTATCTCACTCCCCTAGCCCTAGGCAAACATTACTTTCTCTTTATTTTATTTCATTTTTAGACATGATCTCAGTCTGTCGCATATGCTGGAATGCAGTGGTGTAATCATACCTCACTACATCCTGCAAGTCCAGGGCTCAGGCAACTCTCACCTCAGCCTCCCAAGTAGCTGAGACCCCAGGCACATGCCATCATGTCCAGCTACTTTTAAAATTTTTTGTAGAGACAAGGTCTTGCTTTGTTGCCCAGGCTGGTTTCAAACTCCTGGCCTCAAGTGATCCAGTTGCCTCAGCTTCTCAAAGTATTGGGATTACAAAGGTGTGAGCTACCACACCTGGCCCAAACACTACTTTCTCTATAGATGCCTATTCTGGACATTTTTTAATTGCTTGATGGGGTCACCTTGCCTACTACACAGACAAAACCAATTCACTGAGACTGTGGTATTGTAGTAAAGAAAGAGTTTGACACTAGGCTAGCCATGTGGTAGACAGAGTTATTACTCAAACCAGTTTCCTGGAAGGCTCAAAGGTTATGGTTTTTCAAGGATAGTTTGGTGGGCAGGGGGCTAGGGAATGGGTGCTGATGACTGGTTGGGGAAGCAATCATAGGGGTGTGGAAAATGGCCTTTGTGTGCTGAGTTGGCAATTGGGTTGAGGGCCACAGGACCAGTTGAGTCATGAGTCAGGAGTCTAGGTGGTGTCAGTCTGAAAAACATCTCAAAAGATTCTACAACAGTGACTACAGAAGCAACTGGGGAAGTCACAAATTTTTCAACATCTGGCCACATGACTCCTGAGATGTAAGGGATTATAGAAACTATACCTACATTGCAGCAGATTTTGGGCCCCTCCCATAATCCTAATCTTGTGGCCTTTCATTAGTTTTACAAAGGCCCAAACAAGGAAGGGATTAGTTTTGGGGAGATACTCTTATCATCCTTGCTTCCAAGTTAAACTATAAACTAAATTCCTCCCATGGTTAACTTGGCCTATGCCCAGAAATGAGCAAAAACAGCCAGTCTGTGAGGCTAAAAGCAAGATGGAGTCTGCCATGCTAGACTTCTCTCACTGTCATAATCTTTGCAAAGGCAGTTTCAATTTTATGTAATAGAATTTTATTGACACAGAATGGCTTGGCTCCCGGCTAAATCCCCACTCTTAAGCCTGGAACCTCCATCCTAAGAAGAAGAAGCTGACTCTGTTTTTCCACCCAAATGTTGCTTTTTTGGCCTGCAGTACCCCTATCCTGTGCCCATAAAAAGACTAGCTGGCAGAGCAACACAAGTGGCTGATGCAAGTGGTTGGGGATGCAAGCTGCTGAGCACTGGGGGATGCAAGCTGCTGAGCACTGGGGGATGCAAGCGGCTGATGCAAACTGCCACCTTTATCGCCCAGTAAAATCTTCCACATACACTACCCTTCAATCCATTTGTGTGACCTGATGGTTATTCCTGGATGCCAGACAAGAACTCAGATGCTGAGAGAGTAGGGGCTTGGATGCTGCCGTAGGGCTTGTACAGAGCCTGCTCCTGCTAGGGAGGAGTGACTGGCTGGTTCCAGCCTTCGTTCCCTCACTTGCTTGCATGCTCCCTCTCACAAGGAGTGGTCAGCAGTGGCTGAGTTAAACGAGCCACTCCAGTTCCCACCCATGAAGGGGGTCAAAGTCAAGGGAACAATCCTGTCTCTGTGGTCTTCTATGTCTGCCTTATTTCTGCCTTCTTTCACTTCCATAATGTTTTCAAGGTTCATCTATGTTGTAGCATGTATCAGTACTTCATTCCTTTTCTGGCTGAATAATATTCTTTTGTATGACTACACCATATTTTGTTTATTAATCAGTTGATGGATATTTGTCTTGTTTCCATTTTTTATTATTATGAATAATGCTGTTATAAACATTCATGTACACATTTTTCTGTGGATGTATATTTTCATTTTGGGGGGGTATATTTATACCTAGGAGTGGAATGGCTGAGTTATATGATAATGCTATACGTTTTTTGAGAAATTGCTTTTTTTTTTTCTGGAGACAAAAGCTAGCTCTGTCGCCCAGGCTGGAGTGCAGTGGTGTGATCACAGCTCACTGCAGCCTCGACCTCCCAGGCTCAAGCAATCCTCCCACCTCAGCCTCCTGAGTAGCTGGGACTACAGATGTGTGCCACCATGCCCAGCTAATTTTTATATTTTTTTTTTTAGAGACAAGGTTCTGCCATGTTGCTTAGGCTTGTCTTGAACTCTCGGGCTCAAGCAATCCTTACACTTTGATCTCCCAAAGTGTTGGGATTACAGGCATGAGCCACTGTGCCTGGCCCAATTGCCATTTTTTATTGGCAGCTAATAAAAGTAGAAAGTTCAACATAACAAAATTCCAAATAAAGGAAACTGTGTTTCAAAAATGATGTTCTACAACTATGTGAGACAAACCAGTAACAACAAAAACTGTATATTTTAGAAAGAAGAAATAAATAATTTGATTTTGGAAATGTGAATGATTTTTTCTCTTATTTATTTTATTTTATTTTATTTTTTATTTTGGAGACGAAGTTTTGCTCTTGTAGCCGAGGCTGGAGTGCAATGGCGTGATCTCGTCTCACTGCAAACTCCACCTCCTGGATTCAAGCGATTCTCCTGCCTCATCCTCCTGAGTAGCTGGGATTACAGGCATGTGCCACCACGCCCAACTAATTTTTGTATTATTAGTAGAGACGGGGTTTCACCATGTTGGCCAGGCTGGTCTCAAACTCCTGACCTCAGATGATCCGCCTGCCTTGGCCTCCCAAAGTGCTGGGATTACAGGCGTGAGCCACCATGCCCGGCTACTTTATTTTTTAATTTTACACTAACATATATTTGTTTATATTTGAGAAAAATGAACTGAATTAAAAAAAAAAAAAGTGGCGTGGCCTAAGATAGTCTACCCAGGAAGAAACTCCAGCAGGAGAAAAGCAGTTTCTCTGACAAGATATCCAACTGAGGAGGCAGCAGGGCATGCCTTGCATTTTGCCAGTTTCCTTAATAGACAAAGAGCACAGATGTATTAGTGTATTTATGTATTAACATGATGCTCACAATGCGGTGTCTATGTGGACCCCATACTAGGCGAAACAATGGACTTGAACTAGTGCCAGGCGCCTCTCTCCCTAGGTTTAGGGGAAGGAGAACTTGAATAGATGCAGCAGGATTTGGTTCAAGGTCCAGCCTGGAGATACCAGAGTTAACAAGACCCCTTTTGCAGGATCTCCTGGGCTAAGACCAACTCTGTCCCTCCCCTCCCTTTTTTTTTTTTTTTTCTTTCCCTAGGAGCAATTTAGTTTCCCTTTCTCTTTTGGTAGATAAAAGCTGCCTGTGGGAATGCAGCAGCTCTTCCTAGTAACCATGGGAACCTTATTGGCATGGCAACCTGGCAGCCATAAGAAAGGCAGCTGGGGGGGTGGAGGGAAGGGAAGAGGTGGGAAGTAGTCCTTAGGAATAGGGGAGGGGGAAGCAGCCTTCCTTCCTGCAGAGGAGAGAAAAAGGAGGAAAGGAGGGCAGCTGGACCCAAGGAGAATCCGCTGATGAGTTCAAACCTCACTCCTTAATTCAGCTGAGGTGGGCCTTAGAGCAGGGCTGGGAGCCAAATGTGGAACTAAGATCTAAACCTATTGATATTTTTCTGTTCTGAAGTATAACTCAGGAACACCAAGAAAAGAGTAGGGGCTGGAGACACAGAGTAAATGATCCTACAACACGTGTGCAAATTTTGACGTCAAGCTTTGGTTGCAGGCAAAATACCACCCAGAGCTTTTTCGGGCTCTGGAGCCCAAGAACCTTTTATTAAAGATATCTAGGGACAAGGACATTTCCAAGCAGCACCTAAAGCAAGAAAAAAAAAATCTTTGCAATAATGTTGAGAATGTCTGGGAATATAGTAAAAGCAGAAACAAACAAATGAAGGGACCAAGAAACCCTCAGAAAGATAAAAAGTTTATTTTAAACTGAAACCATTTGAGCTACAGCAGATGCAGATAGAAATCATATCTGGACTTCCCTGATCTGACTAAAGCAGAGCCTCCCAAAATACGACTGCCATTAACCCCCCTTCAGGTTTGGGAGAATCCCCAGATTTGGTCTAATTCAGCTTCCAGCCAGAAAGAAGACTGTACATTAGCATCAGAATAAAAAAGCCCAATAGAATCTTCCATACATTCCCAATGAAGCCTTAACCACCATTCCCTTTTGTTAAACTGATGCAGTCACACGTACCCCTGGCTATTTTTGCCAGGGATTACCCTTTACTGAGTACTCCCCCATGCATGTGTAAATAATCCTTGTCTTTTCTTCTGTGGATCTGTCTATCATCAATTAATTTGCAGTCCCCCAAGCCCCAAACACACACTACAACATAGTTGGTGGAAGAAAAGACTTCCTTCCAACACAGACAAAAACCCATTAGGGAAAAATAACTATTGCAGAAGAAGGAGTGAGCAGCAGCGTGGTTAGCAGAGCCCTGCCAGTACTTGTTTTAGACTCAGCTAAAATCCTTCTCAGCATTTTTTTTTTTTTGCACTGGAGTCTCGCTCTGTCACCCAGGCTGGAGTGCAGTGGTGCAGTCTCGGCTCACTGCATCCTCTGCCTCCCAGGTTCAAGTGATTCTCCTGCCTCAGCCTCCGAGTAGCTGGGATTACAGGCGCCCGCTGCCACACCCAGCTAATTTTTGTATTTTTAGTAGAGACAGGGTTTCACCATGGTGGCCAGGCTGGTCTCGAACTCCTGACCTCAGATAATCTGCTCGCCTCGGCCTCCCAAAGTGCTGGGATTACAGGCGTGAGCCACAGCGCCTGGCTCATTCTTGTTTTTTTTGATGAACATAGTGGGAACGTGGCTATCCTGAACTTTGGAGTCAGATGGCTCTCTGGGTTAGAACTCCTGCCTTACCCCTTCTTAGCTGTGTGAGCCTTGAACAAATTATCCCATCCCTGAGAGCCTGTTTTCTCATTTTCCTAAACAAAGGGTAATCATACATACTTTATAAGGTCATTGTGCAAATAAAATGAGATGAAAAGTTTAACAAACAGTATTGTTAGGTAAAGCTCCTTACATAGTAAGCACATAAATGGCTGCTCTTGTTACGCTGCTTGCTTTTTAGAAATGAATCTGTTTGGGTAGTAGTGTAGCATCACCTGAGACCTGACTAAGCTTTTGTTTGCTTATTTGTTTAAGATTCATTGACTTTTTAAAAAATCACACTTTTACTGAGATATAATCACATACCATAAAATTTACCTTTTCATTTATTATTTAGAGACAGGGTCTTGTTCTGCTGTGCAGGCTAGAGTGCAGTGGTGTGATCACAACTCACTGCAGCCTCTACCCCTTAGGGTCAAGTGATCCTCCTGCCTTCTTAGTCTCCCAAGTAGCTGGGGCCACAGGTGTGTGCCACCCTACCCAGCTAATTAAAAAAAAACTTGTTTGTAGAGATGGGGTCTTGCTATGTTGGCCAGTCTGGTCTTGAACTCCAGGATTTAAGCAATCTTCCTGCTTTGGCATTCCAAAGTGCTGGGATTATAAGCATGAGCCACAGCATCCAGCCACACTTTTTTTTTTTTTTTTTTTGAGATGGAGTTTTGCTCTTGTTGCCCAGGCTGGAGTGCAATGGCGCAATCTTGGCTCACTGCAACCTCCGCCTCCCAGGTTCAAGTGATTCTCCTGTCTCATCCTCCCAAATAGCTGGGATTACAGGCATGTGCCACCCCATTTGGCTAATTTTGTATTTTTAGTAGAGACAGAGTTTCTCCGTGTTGGTCAGGCTGGTCTTGAACTCCCGACCTCAGGTGATCCGCCTGCCTCGGCCTCCCAAAGTGCTGAGATTACAGGCGTGAGCCACCACGCCCAACCAGCCACCCTTTTAAACTACACAATTCAGTGGCTTTTAGTATAGTCACAGAGTTGTGCAACAATCACATAACTACTTCCTTTTACTATCTACCACAATTTAATTTTAGTGCATTTTCATCATCCCACCCCCCGCCACACACACACCCTGCCAAACTAAAGAAACCACACATCCGTTAGCAGTCACTCTCCACAGCCCCTGGCAACCACCAATCTACTTTATGTTTCTATTGTGAAAAGAAATTACATTTTGGGACCCCAGAGTCATTTAGCCAAAGGGAAAAGTCAAAAATCAGATATGCATTTGTGTCTGGCAGGCCTGTACCTGTAAAGATAACCTATCAATTTGCATGCCACAGTGATGTTTTAGCAGCTCACCAGGAATTTCCTTGTGGGCAAAATATGGGGAAATTCCCAGTGAGCTGTTAAAACGTCACTATGGCAATGCAAATTGTTAGGTCATCTTTACAGGTGCAGGCCTGCCAGACACAAATGAATATCTGATTTTTCCCCTACTCCATTTTGTCTGTGTTATCTTATGTAAAATGCAGATTCCCCACATTTTTCCTTTGCCCCTTTTGCTTATGTGAAAACTGTGTGCTTCTCAATATCCCACCCTTTCCCCCTTAAATTTGGAGCCTCAAAATCATCTTCAGAGAAAGGCATAGACCTGTCTCCAGGATGCGTCCTTAACTTTGGCAAATAAATCTAAAATGATTGAGACTTGTCTCATCATTTTCTTCAATTGACACTATGTAGACATTTCATGTACATGAAATTACGTACCATGTGCCTTTCTGTGTCTGCTGTCTTTCACTCAACATAATGCTTTCAAGCTTATCTGTGTTGTAGCATTGTATCAGTATTTTGTTCTTTTTATGGCTGAATGACATTTCATTGCATGGATATACCACAATTTGTTTATCCATTTATCCCTTGATGGACATTTGGGTTTGTAGGAGTGAAAGGAACTCTCCTTCCACCCTTTAAAGGCTCGATAATCTCTGGAATAAACTTGACAGTAGACAGATTAACAGGAGAAAAGGCATACAAATTTATTACATGCATATGTATAGGAGTTCCACAAAATATGAGACACAAAGGAGGGCCAGATGGTTGAAGCTTAAATAGCATTGTGAGCTACAGAAAAAATTAGCTTGGCACAGTGGCTCACACCTGTAATCCTAGCACTTTGGGAAGCTGAGGTGGGAGGATGGCTTGAGCCCAGTAGTTCCAGATCAGCCTGGCCAATGTGGCAAAACCCTATCTCTACCAAAAATGCAAAACTTAGCTGGGTGTGGTGGCATGCCCCTGTAGTTCCAGCTACTCAGGTGGCTGAGGTAGGAGGATCACTTGAACCAGGGAGATCAAGGCTGCAGTGAGTACAGTGAGCTGTAATTGCACCCACTGCACCCCAACCTAGACAACAGAGTGAGACCCTGTCTCAAAAAAAAAAAAAAAAAAAAAAAGAATTAGAAGCTTAAAGACTCCTGGAGGGTGGTGGCAACAAGCTGTGGGAGAGTGAGGGGAGGAAGAGCACTGCAAGCAAAGGTTGTCTTATTATGCAGAAGAAGTCTCTCAGGTAGCTCTCAGAAGCATAAGTGAAAAGTCTGTCTGGGCATGATGTCCTAGATGTGGAGACATTTAGTCTCCTCTCTTAGAGATCATATAGATTCCAGGGAGTGAGTTCATGACACTTCATTTCTTCTGGAGGGATTTCTCTTAGTCAGATAAAGGAAATGTCAGAGAAAGTGCTTCCCTATGCTTTGGGAGAAAAAGAGAATCAAGACATAGTAAGCAGGGAAAGGTCAGAGAGACCTTGGTTCTGAGGCCCTTTCCTTTAAAAAATTTTGTTTTGCTTTTTTTTGTTGTTGTTGTTTTTTGTTGTTGTTTGTTTTTTTGAGACAGGATATTGTTCTGTCACCCAGGCTGGAGTGCAGTGGCACCATTACAGCTCCCTGCAGCTTCACCCTCCCAGGCTCAAGTGATTCTCCCACCTCAGCCCCCCAGGTAGCTGGGACCACAGGCATGTGCCACCATGTCCAGCCCATTTTTAAATTTTTTTGTAGAGACAGGATCTCACTATGTAGCCCAGGCTGGTCTTAGGCTCCTGGGCTCAAACAATTCTTCCCACCTTGGCCTCCCAAAATGCTAGGATTACAGGTGTGAGCCATTGTACTCTGCCAGAGGCTGCTTCTTTAGTTCAAAGTACTCAGCATTTCAAAATGCCATATTTTCTGACCCCCAAAAGGTTGTTTCAACTTTTTTGGTTATGATGAATAAAGCTGCTATGTACATTTGTGAACACGTTTTTGTGTGTATGTATTGATCAAGTTTTATTTAATGATTTATCAGGCCTCATGGCCTACGTGATATGATCAGGTAAAGGAATGGGAAATATAAAAGAGCAGCTGATGCTCTTTTGTTCTTGTGTTTCCAGTTGGAGTGGCGAGCCACTCTCACCACCTCTAGTTTCTTTTTCTTAACCTACTTTGCAAGCCACTCTCATGTCCTGTGTCAGCTGGGGTGTGAGTTTTCATCCCAATTGGTGAGCCACGCTCGCTGCCCCAGCCCCTCTGGGTCGGATTAATAGTCACGCCCCTGGACATGATCAGGCTCCTCTTCTGTCCTTATGGGACAGGTCCTGCCTTGGGACTCAATACTTGACCGTGGTTCCTGAAGCACACTGTTTCTGGAATTGTCCTGTAGCCTCTCAAGTTTTGTTGTGCTGCTGGTTAGGGGTGCCGGGTCACAGGAGAGCTGATTTCCTTTCTGGGCTGAAGTTCTCCCGGCGGCGCCTGGGGTCACAGGTTTCCTTTGACCTGGGGCTCCAGCCCCACAGGCAAAGGAGACAGTAAATCTGCCATCTCCACTCCTCCTGGCTGGCTCTCCAAGAAATGTTGCGGGACACAGAGGACTAGAGAGACTAGTACGGGTGAATACAGGAGGATATTTATTTTAAGGTACGCACTGGCTCAGCTTTTTAGATGTGAATCCACTGAGCCATTGTGTACCTTAAAATAAATACCTCTTGTATTCACCCGTACTAGTCTCTCTAGTCCTCTGTGTCCCGCAACAATTCCTTCTTTAGAAATTTTCTGCTGGCTACACCTTCCTTTTTCTTCCTCCTATTTTCTTTTCTTTTCTTTTTTTTTTTTTTTTTTGAGACAGAGTCTTGCTCTGTCACCCAGGCTGGAGTGCAGTGGGGCGATCTCGGCTCACTGCAAACTCTGCCTCCTGGTTTCAAGTGATTCTCCTGCCTTAGCTTCCTGAGTAGCTGGGATTACAGGTGGCTGCCACCACACCTAGCTAATTTTTATATTTTTAGTAGAGATGGGTTTTCACCATATTGGCCAGGTTGGTTCGAATTCCTGACCTTGTGATCCACCTGCCTCAGCCTCCCAAAATGCTGGGATTACAGGCATGAGCCACTGTACCGGCCTCTTACTCCTGTTTTCACTCTCCCTATAGAGCAGTTGGTTTCAGGGGATATCCAGATGTGACACTCTGAAATGCTCACAGAAGATACTCTTAAAGTGTGGAGGAGAGGGAGAAGAAAGACAACAGCACATAAAAATCAGACTTATTATTCAAGAACAATTAAAATATCATTTAGAAACATTCTTTTTTTTTTTTTTTTTTAGATGGAGTCTTGCTCTTGTCACCCAAGCTGGAATGCAATGGCATGATCTCGGCTCACTGCAACCTCTGCCTCCTGGGTTCAAGCAATTCTCTACCTCAGCTTCCCGAGTAGCTGGAATTACAGGCGCCTGCCACCACACCTGGCTAATTTTAGTATTTTTAGTAAAGATGGGATTTCACCACATTGTCCAGGCTGGTCTCAAACTCCTGACCTCAGGCGATCCACCCGCCTTGGCCTCCCAAAGTGCTGGGATTACAGGCGTGAGCCACTGTGCCTGGCCAGGAACATTGTTTTAAACTTTTTTTTTTTTTTAATTAACACAGGGTCTCACTCTATCACCCAGGAGGGAGTACGGTGGTGTGATCTCAGCTCATTGCAACCTCTGCCTCCCAGGCTCAAGTGACCCTCCCACCTCAGCCTCCTGAGTAGCTGGAACTACGGGTGTGCACCACCACACTCAGCTAATTCTTGTATTCTTTTTGTAGAGATGGGGTTTTGCCATGTCACTCAGGCTGATCTCAAATTCCTGAGCTTAAGTGATACACCTGCCTCGGCCTCCCAAAGTGTTGGGATTACAGGCATGAGCCAGTGCACCTGGCCATGTGTCAAACTTTTTTAGAGACAGAATATATATACTAAAAAGTACACAACTTAATTAATTATCACTGACACAAATTATTTGGGAATTGCATATCTCCACCAAGGTAAGGATAGGTAAAGTGTTACCAGTGCTAGGGCTCAGAAAATGATACCTCAAAATATGAAGCTTTGGCAGGCTGAGTGCTTTGAACAAAAGAGATTGAAAGGTCTTAGAAATAAGACTTAGAACAAAGCTCTCTCTGTGACCTCCTCCTTCCCTCTTTTCCCTTAGGAAGTGCAGTGAGAGGTCATCTCTGAAATTCCTTTATCTGGCCGTGTGTGGTGGTTCACACCAGTAATCCCAGCACTTTGGGAGGCTGAGATGGGTGGATCACCTGAGGGCAGGAGTTCGAGACCAGCCTGGCCAACATGGTGAAACCCCATCTCTCCTAAAAATACAAAAATTAGCTGGGTGTGGTGACAGATGCCTGTAACCCCAGCTACTCAGGAGGTTGAGGCAGGAGAATTGCTTGAATCCAGGAGGTGGAGGTTTCAGTGAGCCGAGATTGGGACATTGCACTCCAGCCTGGGTGACAAGAGCAAAACTCTGTCTCAAGCGAAAACAAAAACAAACAAATAAACAAACAAACAAAAAGGCTGGGTGGTGGCTCACACCTGTAATCCCAGCACTTTGGGAGGCTGAGACAGGTCGATCACGAGGTCAGGAATTCAAGACCAGTTTGGCCAACATGGTGAAACCCTGTCTCTACTAAAAATACAAAAATTAGCAGGGTGTGATGGCAGGCACCTGTAATCCCAGCTACTTGGGAGGCTGAGGCAGAGAACTGCTTGAACCAGAGAGCTGGAGGTTGCAGTAAGCCGAGATGGCGCAACAGCACTCCAGCTTGGGCAACAGAGTGAGACTCTGTCTCAAAAAAAAAAAAAGAAAGAAAGAAATTCCCTTATCTGACTGAGGGGAGTTCATCCAGAAGGAATGCAATTGTCTTGGGCCCTCTTCCTGGGATTTACATTAACTAGAGAAGATTAACTTGTATTGAAGGAAAGAAAAGTAAAAGTTTCTATGCCCAGGACACCATCCTTTGACAGACTTTTCACCTATTCCTTCTACTTATTCTTCTAAGGGCTAATCTGAGATATTTTATCTGCATAATAAGATAGCCTTTGTTCTCAGTGCAGTTCTGCCCCCAAACTTCCTGTAACTTGTTGACACTTCTCACAAAGCCCAGCGGAGTTTTGTGCTGGGCTATCGTCTGCTCTTTGGGCCCACTCAGTGCTCCTAAAAACTCATTTCTTCTTCTTCTAAAATTGCCTACATCCCTCACTTCCCTCTCCTCTATGAAGAGGGTATTTAAGCTTCAACCATCTGGCCCTTCTTTGAATCTCATATTTTGTGGCTCCCATGCACACTTACACATTACTGAATTTGTATGCTTTTTTTCTCCTGCTAATATGTCTATTGTCAGTTTATTTCAGCAGAATTAAGGACGCAAACATTCAGAGGGGGAGGAAAAAATTTTCTTTACCCCTACACCAGATAAAATAGAGATACAGCATGCCAAGTTATATTTGAATTACATATAAACAATGAGTAATTTTTAGTATGAATCTGTCCTATGCAATATTTGTGTGATATTTATTTAAAAAAAATTACTCATCACTTATCTGAAATTCAAATTTAACAGGGTGTCCTATATTTTTATTTGGCAAACCCAGCATCCTAGAATGGGAAATTAAAGAATATCCAATGGATATAAGTCATGAACTTTTTCTTTTTATGACTAAGTAGCAATTGAGGTTTGGTTAGAGAAAATTTCTGAATAAAATGGAACTGAAGTTAATTCATAGATTTCACTTTCTTTGCTTTCTATCTAGGATTTTGTACAACTAAGTATTGTTTTGTCTCACATTCTCACAATATCCCTATGAAATATATAGGAGTCTACAAATTGAAAAACAAAGGCAAAGATATTAAAAAACCATCTATGATACCTGAATGAATTTGGGGTCAATTTAAACAAAATTGGGACAGTTTGGGGATCCGTTTTTAAAGAAAAGAGTTTAGATTCATGAAATTTATAACCAGGAAAGGATTTTATTGTAAGCCCTTTATATTATACCAGAGGAAATTGAGGTTTAGAAAACCTAAGTAATTTTCCCTGGTCACAAAGCTAGCTAATGGTAAAGTTGACACTTAAGTCCGAAACTCCTGACTCCTAGCCTGTGGAGCTTTTCCCAGTTACCAAGGTCATGTATTCTTCTCCTTCTTCTCCCTTACCTTTAGTTTTCCTCTCTTTTAATGCACTAGATATTAGATCTACCATAATCACACAATTATGTGGAACACTAAACTGGGAATTTTTTCTGGTCTTGCAAGTAGTAGAGACCTGGATTACTTAATGTGGATCAATTTTTTTCTGTTCGAAACAAGTTTACAAAAGGATTTAAGAATAATTTCTATTCATTTCTTTTAGCTATAAACAAAGGTGCCACTATTAGACTTTGGGATAATCTTTTCTTTTCTAATAGGTCATGAATGAGCTTTCTTTGATTTATACATTTTGCATTGCATTCATGTCCAAGCATTATACCCAAAGAACAAATTCTTACCCTGGAAAGAATCTGGATTTATTTGACTCTGCCAATCTACAAAATCAGCTGACTTTGATCATAGATGCCAAGCCTCTCAAAGCTTTTGGTTTTATGTTCATTCTCTATCCAACGGCTTTTCTAAGACAGTGGTAAGCACTCCATAGTTCACTTCTCATGTGCCCCTGGGTATCTGATCAATATCCAACAATGAATTTTTTTTCTCTCATAGCTTTCCAAAACCCAGTTTCAATGCCATACCATGTCAAGAGTTTTTCAGGATATCATTTCCTCTACATAGTCTTTTTTTTTTGATATGGAGTCTTGCTCTGTCACCCAGGCTGGAGTGCGGTGGTGCAATCTCGGTTCACTGCAACCTCCACCTCTTGGGCTCAAGCGATTCTCCTGTCTCAGCCTACCGAGTAGCTGAGATTACAGGTGCCCACCACCACACCCAGCTAATTTTTGTATTTTTAGTAGAGATGGGGTTTCACTGTGTTGGCCAGGATGGTTTCAAACTCCTGACCTTAGGTGATCTGCCCTCCTCAGCCTCTGAAAGTGTTGGGATTACAGGTGTGAGCCAGCAAACCTGGCCATTTCCTCTATATATTGGTTTTTTTTTTTTTTTTTTTGAGATGGAGTCTCGCTCTGTTGCCCAGGCTGGAGTGCAATGGCGTGACCTCGGCTCACTGCAACCTCCACCTCCTGAGTTCAAGCAATTCTCCTGCCTCAGCCTCCTGAGTAGCTGGGATTACAGGCATGTGCCACCATGCCTGGCTAATTTTTTTTGTATTTTTAGTAGAGATGGGGTTTCACCATATTGGCCAGGCTGGTCTCAAACTGCTGACCTTGTGATCCACCCACCTCAGCCTCCCAAAGTGCTGGGATTTACAGGCATGAGCCACTGTGCCCAGCCCTTCCTTTATATATTCTTAAGGGAGCTGTTGAAGAAAAAATTATTCAATGATTCTTGTTTTTTTTTTTTTTTTTTTTTTTTTGAGATGGAGTCTAGCTCTGTGGCCCAGGCTGGAGTGCAGTGGTGCAATCTTGGCTCACTGCAAGCTCTGCCTCGCGGGTTCACGCCATTCTCCTGCCTCAGCTTCCCGAGTAGCTGGGACTACAGGCGCCCGCCACCATGCACGGCTAATGTTTTTTGTATTTTTAGTAGAGACAGGGTTTCACCATGTTAGCCAGGATGGTCTCGATCTTCTGACCTCGTGATCTGCCCGCCTCAGCCTCCCAAAGTGCTGGGATTACAGGCGTGAGCCACCACGCCCGGCCTCAATGATACTTGTTAAAGCACAGTAAAGTAAACTTTATTGAGGACCACTGCAATAAGCATAGGGACCACTGCAATAGGATTCTGCAGTGGGGAACAAAGATTGGGCTCAACTCTGAAATAGATGGACAAGTGGGAATTTATAGCCAAAAACAGGACAAGGATCAGTGGATGAAAAATTACTAGGTGGAAACATCAGGGATAAGGGGGATTCTGGCTAAAGCAACCTAACAGGATTTTTGCTGAAGATAGGCCAGGGTGGTCAGACATCACCTGGGGGATGGTAGAGGATGAGGACCCTGATCAGATATTGGGGGTAGAGGGTTCTTGCTAAACTTCACACGGTTCTTGCTGAAACTGGATTTTATAAGGAAGTGCACAGATTGATCTAGGGGAAGGTTCAGGAGCCTGACTAAAGATTTGTCAAGCAAAGAATCTTTGTCAGAGCAACCTGGCTCAGCACACCTCTTCTTTGGGACTTGGTGTTCTGTGTTATTAGGCTCTCACCTCGTAGAATGTGACAACTAGAAGAGATTGGCTTATTTAAATCTTGGCGAAGTGAGACTTTGGGGATAATGTGGGTCCTTTGCTCATCATGTTCACAGGGTTGAAAATGCAGTCATGGCTCAAAGTTGAGGCCTTAAAGAGGACAGAGGTGGCCCTGGGCAGTATTTGCATGGCTTGCTGGGCCCTGGGGGTTTGCTGGTAGTGAAGTGATTTTTATGTGGCTGGACTGGTGCAGTGAAATGCTAATGTTCTTTGGCATTTCTGTTTCCTCAAGGTCACTTCTGAATCACAACTCTGATTACCAGGGCATCCTGGGGATAGCAGAAAATAGAGAAGATTAGTCTGAGATAGAGGGGAGTGGGAATCAGTCCTCAGGGGTTTGCAGAGATAAAGTCCCTGCTTGAACTGGGGGGTCTTAAGAAGAATAAAAATCTAACTTAAAAGTGAGCTCACAGAGCTGAGCCATCTCAAGAGTGCTGCCCTCTGCCCCCCACCATGGCACTGTCGACTGGGCTCTATTTCCTATAGAGTAAGAGACAATAATAGCCTATGCCTTCCCTCATTCACCCAGGGCATATGCTGATCTGTGCTGATGAATCACTTGGTAGCCACAGAGAATTGAAGATTAATGATATGTTTGTTTGCTTGTTTTTCCTGGGCCACTGTAGGTCTAAAAGCTTCCCACAGTGGGGACCTCATTTTCTATTCCTATTAAAATTTGTGGTTCTCTTTTCTTTTTTCTTTTTTCTATTGAACAACCAGATTCCAGAGGGTCTCCTTTTTTGAAATATCCAATTCTCTTCTTGTGTAGAAAAAACAATTGTCAACATATTTGCACTTATGGGAATTTCCAGTTCCTTCTTTTCTTCCTTCCTCTTTCTCTTCTTTTGGTATATATATTTATTTTATTTATTTTTAAAAAACTTTTCATAGAGATGCAGTCTCACTGTGTTGCCCAGGCTGGTATCAAACTCCTGGGCTGAAGCAATCCTCCTGCTTCGGCCTCCCAAAGTGCTGGGACTACAAGCATGAGCCACCACCCCTGGCCCTTTCTACCTCTTTTTCTTTTTGACAAGGTGCACTTATGGGAATTTCCAGTTTGTCCCTCCACTCCTTTCTCCTCTCCTCCATTCCCCTCTACTCCCAGCCTCCCCTCCCCGGGGACCCCCGCGCCAAGCCTTCCTTTCGTATTTAAAGACAAGGTCTCACTATGTTGCCCAAGCTGGAGTGGAGCAGGCATTCACAGGTAAGATCATAGCACACTGCAGCCTCAAACTACTGGGCTGAAGCAATCTTCCTACCTCAGCCTGAAATTCCCAGTATCTTAAGTGATCTCATTCATTTACTCTATTTGTCAACTAGTTTGTGTATTTTGTGTTTTTATCAGGTAACAGAGGTGAGCATTCTGAAATGTATAATTATTCTTGGAGTTGATTTATTGTCCATTTTTATACTACTGCCCATTCTCTTTGAAAGTAATATGATCTTGTTCTTAGTACATGTGGTAGGGAGTAATTACCTGCTGACTGGGTGGCTATGAATAGATTTTGAATCTTGGGGGAATATTCCATTTCCCTTGTGGAAACAAATCAGGGAGTTTAATCAACCCTGGATATTAAGGATGGAAATGAATACAGGCTTGAATTAAGTGTTGGAGTTTGAGAACTACCAGTGACAGAAAAACAGAGTAGTCTTAAAATGTTGGTAGGTATGAGCTCATCTTTATTTGCTGCACTGTGATTGACACAGGTTTTCAATAAAGCCTCAGCAGCTCATTTCCAGAGTCTCATGGAAAACTGGCTTCATCAAGAAGGATCTTTCTAAGGAAGATCAAATAGAATAACCACAATACATATCACACTATCACTGAATTTCTAATCTTAAAAAGCCATTTCCAGACTTGAAAGCCATTTTTTAAAAAGGGACTAGGTGACCCTATGAGGTAAATTTTCTCATTACTGTAGGTGTGTTTCTATTCTCCCAGTCTGGGAGGGATATTGGTTTCTGCATCAGGTTGGTGATCAGGCTAGATGAGCTTTAAATACTCCATATGTTCTAAGGTTCTTTGATTCTATTATCAAGTAAATCAAAATGCCTTGAAATCAGCCCCTAGAATGGTGTTGATGGGATTCCCAGAATGATTTACTCTGTATCCCCAAAAAGCAGCAGTTTGTAGCTATGACTCAGCCTTAGTTTTTCTTTTGTGTGTGTGTGTGTGTGTGTGTTTTAGACAAGATCTCATTTTTTTGTCCAGGCTTCTTTCTCTCTTTCTTTCCTTTTCTTTTTTTTTGGTAGAGACGGGGTCTTATTTTGTTGCCCTGTCTGGTTTCCAACTCCTGGCTTCAAGCAATCCTCCTGCCTCAGCCTCCCAAAGTGCCGGGATTACATGGCACCAGTCCTCAGTTTTCCTTACTTAGCAAATAGTAGCTTGTTTCATTATTAGGCACTAACTAGATTCAAGGCACTCAGCTTGTATCTAAGGGGTTCAACACTCACAAAAACCCCAGCAAAAGAAAATATTAGAGAAGTTAACTAAGAAACATAGCTAATGACTCTGGAATCAAGGTTTATTTGTTTTTGTTTTTGTTTTTTTGAGACGCAGTCTTGCTCTGTCGCCCAGGCTGGAGTGCAGTGGCACGATTTCTGCTCACCGCAAGCTCCACCTCCCGGGTTCATGCCATTCTCCTGCCTCAGCCTCTCGAGTAGCTGGGACTACAGGTGCCCGCCACCACGCCTGGCTAATTTTTTGTATTTTTAGTAGAGACGGGGTTTCACCGTGTTAGCCAGGATGGTCTCGATCTCCTAACCTCGTGATCCGCCCGCCTCAGCCTCCCAAAGTGCTGGGATTACAGTCGTGAGCCACTGCGCTCGGCCGGAATCAAGGTTTAAACTTAGTTATTCAGACCCCAGAGCCCAAATCTCCTTTTGGATGTTTTGGTTCATTCATTTGACAAACATTTACTCAATGTCCACTATCTTTTATTTCAATGCCTAAGTCATTCTATCAAATAATCAGCTTCTCTGTGGATGTGGATTTTTTTTTCCTTTTTTTTATGTGTACACTTTCCCTTAGTGTATATTATTTATTTATTTATTTATTTATTTTTGAGATGGAGTTTCACTCTGTCACCCAGGTTGGAGTGCAGAGGTGCAATCTCAGCTCACTTCAGTGTCCGCTTCTCAGGCTCAAACGATCCTCCTGTCTCGGCCTCCCGAGTAGCTGGTACCACAGGTGTGCAACACCGTGCCCGGCTAACTTTTTATTTTTATTTTTGATAGAGATGAGGTTTTACTATGTTGCCCCGGCTAGTCTCGAATTCCTGAGCTCAGAAGATCCACCAGCCTCGACCTCCCAAAGTGCTGGGATTACAGGGGTGAGCCACCGCACCCAGCTAGATATTTATTTTTGAGACAGGGTCTGGCTCTGTGTCTCAGGCTGGAGTGCAGTGCAGCCATCTCAGCTCATTGCAACCTCCGCCTCTGAGGGCTTAAGCGATCCTCCCACCTTAGCCTCCAAAGTAGTTGGGACTACAGGAGTGTACCACCATGCCTGGCTAATTTTTACTTTTTAATTTTTAGTAGAGAGGAGATTTCACCATGGTGCTCAGGCTGGTCTCAAACTCCTGGGCTTAAGTGATCCTCCCTCCTCAACCTCCCAAGGTTCAGGGATTACAGGCATGAGCCACTGCTCCCAGCTGAAACTTTGTAAAGCTCTAGAAACTTTTAGAATGTATAAAAATAAAATTGGACTAAGTCTGATTGAAGGGATAGGGAGGTGGGAATAGTTCTATCAGCTCTAAGGAGGATCCCTGAAACCCCTAATAACACACAGTCAGCACTTATTGAGCACATACTATATGCTAAGTCATGTGCCAGTGCATGAGTTATTTTCTTCATTGCTGCATCCTTAATTTTGGCACAGTGCTTTGTACACAGGAGGTATTAAAGTATGTTGAATATTGAGTTACATCCTTAACTCTTTCTAGGGTTCCGTACTAGTTTTTTAGGACTGCCTTAACAATGACACCAAATAATTAGATTTCAAGACCACCCTAATGTAGTATGGTCTCATTTTAACTAATTACATCTGCAAAGGCCCTATTTCCAAATAAAGTCATATACTGAAGTTTGGGGTGGACATGTGTTTTTGGGGAACATTATCCATCCCACTACAATCTACCCTGTGGCTCCCCCAAAGTTCATGTCTACTCCTCATGCAAAATACATTAATCCCATCCCAACATTCTGGGTTTTTTTTTTGTTTGTTTGTTTTGTTTTGTTTTTTTTTTTTAGACGGGACTCTCGCTCTGTTGTCCAGGCTGGAGTACAGCGGCTCAATCTCAGCTCACTGCAACCTCTGCCTCCCAGGTTCAAGCAATTCTCCTGCCTCAGCCTCCCGAATAGTCGGGATTACAGGCACACACCACCACACCAGGTTAGTTTTTTATATTTTTGGTAGGGACAGGGTTTCACCATGTTGGCCAGGCTGGTCTCGAACTCCTGACCTCAAGTGATCTGCCCATCTCAGCCTTCCACAGTGCTGGGATTACAGGCGTGAGCCACAGTACCTGGTCACATCCCAACTTTCCTAAGGTTTAACCCATTCCAGCATTAGCTCTAAATCTAAATCTCATCTATTACAAATATAAAATCTAAAAGTTCCAAATCTCATCATTTAAATCAGGTATGGGTGAAACTCTAGGTGTGATACATTCTGGGGCAAAATTCCTCTCCCATTGTGGACCTATGAAATTAGAAATCAAATGATTTGTTTCCAAAATAGAGTGGTAGAGCAGACATTGGATGGACATTCCCCTTGCAGAAGGGAGAAAATGAGGGCTGGGCACAGTGGCTCTTGCCTATAATCTTAGTCCTTTGGGAGGCTGAGGTGGGAGGATCCCTTGAGGCCAAGAGTTTGAGACCAGCCTGGGCAACATAGTGAGACCCCATTTCTACAAAAAAAATTAAAAAAACATTTTTGAAAGAGAGAAAATGGAAGGAAAACAGGGGGTCATTAGTCCAAAGCAAGCTTGTAGAACAGCAGGGGAAGTTCCATTAGGTTTCGAGGCCTGAGAAAAATCCCTTATGGTTCGATGCTCCATCCTCTGGATCCAGGGCAGTGGGCCCCATCCTAAGAGTCATTCTTTCTTTTTCTTGAAGGATAACCCATGTTTGCTGCCAAGAACGTACATCAGCCTATTTTCTGCCTGTGGAATTTCAGAGGTCTAAGACTTGTCCTTCATTTCATCTCCGTCCTTTTCATTCCAGGCTGACAGTGTTTCTGTTGGTATAAAATTCTCAGAAACCATGTTGGTCTCCTGTGTAACTTGCTACTTAGGAGTGAAAGGGATCCACACCATCATTCCTTCTTGCATTTTACTATAAGCAGCAAGGAGAAACCTGGCCAAATCTCCTACACTTTGCCTGGAAATCTCAGCTAAATATACAAGTTCATCGCTTACAAGTTCTACTTGCCTTCCAAGAGCAGGACAAAATTCAGCCAAGTTCTCTGCCACTCTATAACACAGTTTGTCTTTTGTTCAGTTTCTAACAACAGTTCCTCATTTCCATCTTAGACCTTACCAGAATCACCTTTAACATTCATATTCCTATTTGTTATAATAATATATGTATTCTCTATGACCGTAGAAACTTTCTCTACAGTCTCCTCATTTCTGAAGCCTCACTAGAATTGCCCTTAATATTCATAATTATACCAACAGTCTCTTTGGGGCAATATAGGCTTTTTCTGTCATGTGTCTCAAACTTCTTCCAGCCTCTTTGCATTACGATGTTCCAAAGGCACTTCCACATTTTTAAATATTTGTTACAGCAGCATCCCACTTTCTACTACCAAAATTTGTACTAGTTTCCTAGGCCTGCCACGACAAATGATCTTTAAATAGAAATTTATGGTTTCATGGTTCTAGAGGCTGGAAGTCCAAAATCAAGCTGTCAGCAGGGCCATGCTACCTACTGAAGGTCCTGGGGAAGAATCTTTTCTTGCCTCATTCTAGCTTTGGGTGGTTCCTGGCAATCCTTGGTGTCATTTGGCTTGTACCTGAATTACTCCAATCTCTGCCTCCTTTCCTATGCATGCTCTCCTCTTGTATTTTTTGTTTTTGTTTTTGACATAGTCTTGCTTTGTCACCTGGGCTGGAGTACAGTGGCATGATCTCAGCTCACTGCAACCTGCGCCTCCCCGGTTCTAGCGATTCTCCTTCCTCAGCCTCCCAGGTAGCTGGGATTATAGGTATGTGACACCACACCCTGCTAATTTTTTTTTTTTTTTAATTTTTAGTAGAGATGGGGTTTCGCCATGTTGTCCAGGCTGGTCTCGAACTCCTGACCACAGTTGATCTACTCACCTCCCAAAGTGCTAGGATTACAGGTGTGAGCCACCATGCCCAGCCTCCTCTCCTCTTCTTATAAGGACACCAGTCATTGGATTTAGGGCCTACCCGAATCTAGTATGACCTCATCATAACTGATTACATCTGTAAAAGTCACATTCTGAGGTTCTGAGTAGACACAAATTTTAGGAAAATACCATTCAATCCACTGCAGGTTCTAAGCAGCAGAGTTTGGAAATCAACATACTAAACATGGAACCTCTTGAAAGCATGCCTTCATTTTTAGCTCCCCAGCTTCTAGCCTAGGTCATGGAATGCAACCAATGCTTGCTGGAATTTGTACACCGATGTTGACAGCAGCATTATTTTTTTATTCTTTCTTTCTCACTCTAATCCCATGACAGATTAGTAGCATTATTCACAATAGCCAAAAGGTGGAAACAATCCAAATGTCCATGGGCAGATGAATAGATAAACAAAATGTAGTATATACATACCATGGAATATTATTTACCTTAAAAAGAAAAGAAATTCTGACATTGTTGCAACATAGATTAACCTTGAAAACATTGTGCTAAGTGAAATAAGTCAGATACAAAAAACAAATATTGTATAATTACACTTACATGAGGTACTTAGAATAGTCAAATTCTTAGAGACAAAATTAGAATAGTGGTTACCAGGGGCTGGGGAAGGGAGTACTGGGGAGTTAGTGTTTAATGGATACAGAGTTTCTGTTTGGATAACAAAATTTCTGTAGATGAATAGTGGTGGTGGTTACACAGCAATGTGAATGTGTTTAATACCAGTGAATTGTACACTTAAAAATGGTTAAAATAGTAATTTTTATGTTATATATATCTTACTACAATAAAATAAGTGTTTGCTGGAAGAATAACTGGGCTCATGTTCAGGGATTTCTCATCCTAGGTACCTAGCCTAGGCTACTTGTCCTCAGCTTTCAGTTTCTTCATAGCCTCACAAAAATAACCACAGAATCCACTAATTGGTTTCTTATTATATGCCAGGCACTGTGCTAAGCATTTTGCATGCATTATATTACTTAATATGCATAACAACAACCTTGTAGTAGATATTGGCATCCAACAGCAGATATTGGCATCTCCATTTTACAGATGAGAAAACTGAGGTACAGAGAGGATAACTAACAAGGTCACCAGCTGAAGACCAAGTTCTTTATCACTTTCAGTACTTCACAAGCTTCTCTCAAATCTGTTTGTCCCATGCTCTGAAGATCTAGACAAAAGATGGCCTCAAATTAGCCAAGACATATATATATATACATATATATACACATATATATATACACACACACACATATATATACACACACACATATATATATACACACACACATATATAGGACATCTATATGAGACATATATATGGGACATCTATATGAGACATACATGTGGGACATCTATATGAGACATACATGTGGGACATCTATATGAGACATACATGTGGGACATCTATATGAGACATACATGTGGGACATCTATATGAGACATACATGTGGGACATCTATATGAGACATACATGTGGGACATCTATATGAGACATACATGTGGGACATCTATATGAGACATATATGTGGGACATCTATATGAGACATATATGTGGGACATCTATATGAGACATATATGGGACATCTATATGAGACATATATATGGGACATCTATATGAGACGTATATATGGGACATCTATATGAGACATATATATGACATATATATGTGTGTGTGTATATATATACACACATACATACATATAGTGCCTTCTAATAAACCTGGAAGTACTTTACTCATATTCACTCCTTTAATCCCACAACAGGCCACAATAGAGTGGGGCACTATTATTTTCTTTCTTTTTTTTTTTTTTGAGTCGGAGTCTCGCTCTGTCACCCAGGCTGGAGTGCAGTGGCGCAATCTCGGCTCACTCCAAGCTCCGCCTCCTGGGTGCACGCCATTCTCAGCCTCCCGAGTAATTGGGACTACAGGCGCCCGCCACCACGCACAGCTGATTTTTTGTATTTTTGGTGGAGATGGGGTTTCACCGTGTTAGCCAGGATGGTCTCGATCTCCTGACCTCGTGATCCGCCCGCCTCGGCCTCCCAAAGTGCTGGGATTACAGGCGTGAGCCACCGCGCCCGGCGGGCACTATTATTTTCTTCATTTTACAGATGAGGAAATGAGCCACAGGGAAGTTAACTAACCCAAGGTCACAAAACTGGGCATGATCCCAAGAAAGGAGATCTAGGGATCTTTTAACCAGCTACTCTTTGTGATTTATTTATTTATTTATTTACTTTTGAGACAAGGTCTTGCTGTCGCCCAGGCTGGAGTGCAGCTTCAACCTCTTGGGCTCAAGCGATCCTCCCACCTCATCCTCCAGTGTAGCTGGGGCTACCAGGATGGGCTACCAGGATGGGCCCACCATGCCTGGCTAATTTTTTTTTTTTTATAGAGATGGGGTCTCACTATGTTGCCTAGGCTGGTCTTGAACTCCTGGCCTCAAGTGATCCTCCTGCCTCAG
Organism: Homo sapiens; assembly: GCF_000001405.40. Classification (NCBI taxonomy): domain Eukaryota; kingdom Metazoa; phylum Chordata; class Mammalia; order Primates; family Hominidae; genus Homo; species Homo sapiens. The sequence goes on along the minus strand of NC_000011.10, from coordinate 125,497,324 downwards.
CTTTCCAACATGTTGGGATTATAGGTGTGAGCCACCGTGCCTGGCCTTATGATTTCTTACAGGAAGACATCCTCTGTCTATTGCTCCCACAAAGGCAAATAGGCCAACGCTTCTTCTCATCTCATTGGGACATTATTCCTGTTTCCATCCTTCTCATGGTTGAAATGTCTGTGGAATGAATGCATAAACGAGCAAAAGAGACGCTCCCTGCCCCTTCCAGTTGAAGTCCTCAGTTCAGCCCAGAGGTACTTTGCCATCAGACAAAAGTACTTGGGGTTCTCCAAGCCGACATGCTTTTTCCAGTGCCTTCCTTCGATAATTACAGTTCTTGTGCTCTTAGTTGTGTGTATTCGTGAATTATTAGATTTTTTATTGACAACTTCTATAAGCACAGGCCTATGCACAGTAGACAAGATAAATTAATAATTTTTCACAAGACTCCAGGGACCCTTCTCATTTCAGCCTCTTGAATTTTCCTGTATTATCTCAAGTCCTCCTGGGCCTGAAACCTTCTCACTCAGATTTTTCAGCTGGATCCAGCTCCCACCCAGCATCTTTGGGCGAGAAAAGCTCTCCTGCCGGCCTCCTCATTTTTGGCTTGAGGTCCGAACCCAGTTGGAGCTGGGAGACGTCGCTGGGCCTGCCCGCCTCAGCCTCCAGTAGAGGAGAATGGGAAACTCGGAAAGTCCAAAAGGGTCTTTGAGTGTGTCTGCCGGCATCCGCCAGCAGCCATCGCCTGCATTTTATCCAGAAACTAGTGTCAGGCTTTGCGAGGTATCCATATTGGTAGTTATTGCACGCTTTCATCTTGGAGTTTCTGAATATTCATGAGGGAAGCAGAAAGGCCAATGTTAAAGAGGAGAGAAACAGAAATGCATAAATATTAATAAAGGCAAGCCCACGTGCTCGGAGGAAGGCTATGAATGTTAACGAGGGGATGACGTCCAGCTCCCGCGCGTGCCAGTTGGGTGGGTGCCCGAGCGCGGGCGCGCCCCCGGAGCCCGGGCACGAGCGCGGGGAAGGGGTGGGGTGGAGGCGGGAGCGGAGCCGGGCGCCGCCGGAGCTGCGCGGGGAGCGCTCGCTGGCTGGCTGGCTGGCTGGCTCTCCGCTGCGCTGCGCTGCGCTCCGGCCGCTCCCGCGGCCCGTGGATGGGGGTGTCCGGCTGAGCCCCGGGATCCGCCTCCCTCCGCCAGGACCCGCACAGGTGCCGTCGCGGGGGTTGACTTTAGTTAGGACCCGACTCACTGCTGGGGGTGGGGTCTGGTGGGGGTGGTAAGGAGGCCCCGGGATTCTCTGACAGGACGGTCTGGGGTCGCCGCAGCTCCCCTCACCTGGTCCCATTCTGGGATTAGAAAGGAACAACGGGAGGCCGTCGCCTTCCTGCCCAGCCCTTCAGGGAGCGCAGCTGGGACGCCGCGCCAGGCCCTGGAGATGTGGGATGATGGGCACTTCCAGTATCATCTCAGCATCGGCCCTCCAGCCAGGCCTGGTGTGTGTGTGTGTGTGTGTGTGTGTGTGTGTGTGTCCGCGTGTGTGTGCCCGCGTGTGTGCGCGCGTGTGAAGGCAGGGCGGCGAGGTATGGGGGCTGGGGGAAGAAGGGAACGCCGCCCGATCGCGCTGGGGCAGTGGGTCGGTACCTCGTCCCGGGACCGTTATCTGGTCCAGTCACCGTAAACGCCCCAAGATCATCTTTGTCCCTAAAAACTTACCCCCGACCCCGCTCGTGCCCCTCCCCAGAGTGCGGAGCCTTCCCCAGACCGCGCATTCCTGCAGTGTCAGAACCGCTGGCAGCGGCCGCAGACGCCGGGAGAGCGATTGTTTTACTACAGACGGGCGGGAGAAGGGACCGGGGCGGCTGCGCGGTGGCGGGGCGCGCTGCCGTCGGGTGGGCCCCGGGCTCTGGAATGCGGGGAGCAGTGTTTGACGGCGTCGAGGAGGTATCACAGCCCGCTCTTCTTCCCTTTTGCCTATCCCTTCTCTCCTCGCCGCTAGGCATCCCCGACTCTCATCCCTCTCCCGTGTCCGGGCTTGTTTGGCCGGAAGGGCAGTGGAGTGTGTATGCGGCCTGCACGGGATGAGTCCGGCTTCCTCAGAGTGCCAGCCATTGTGCTGCCTGGAGGAGGCTTTCTTTACCCCACCGGACTGGGGGGAGGAGGGGGATCTGAGATGGAGGTGAATGGAGCAGCGGGAGGAGGGGGAGGGGAGCAAGCAGAACCGCGAAGGGGTTGCTGATCCATATGCAACGAAATACTTTTTCTGTCAAAATGTGCACAAACATGCACACTGGGTGGGTTCTGCGGAGGAGCAGTGGGAAATCTGAAGGTGGATCAGTGCAGGGTAGGTTTTAGGGACGGATATGGGGGACGAGGCACGGAATCAGTTGATCTATGGACCAAGTGATGGGAAGAAGGAGATGGAATGGGGCTTGTGTGGAGGTGCCGAGGCCCAGCGGGGTTAGCGTGGTGAAATCTCCACCGCTCCGCTCCACTCGGGTCAGCTCAGCAAAGCAGGGACTGAGCATTTGTACCGCAGCCCCGAGATGCAGCGAGTGCATCATTGTGCTGCAGGGAGACGTTTATGCGTTTCCTACTGGGTCTCTGTTAAGCCCCGTGAGTGTCTTTTCTTTTCCAAATTACACCATCTATTGGGAGTGAAAATAAATGGAATAGATTGTAGGACAATCAGACTATAGTCCTGCGCTCTGTTCTGTGGTAAAGAGAAAAAGAAAAGGCGACCCTCCCATGGTTCCTTCTTTCTGCCATTTTCATGTATGTACGTATTTATTTTTGATCTTGGAAGTCTAAAGGGAATAAGCTATCGCTTGTATTAATCCTACTTTAAGGAAAAGAAGGCTCCCAGATGAGCTATGAATGAGGATGGTGCAAGCTTGCCAGGATGGAAAATAAGGTTGTTTCAGACATTTTAGTTGAAGGATGAAAGCACTCCGTGAAGAGAGGAGGGCGAAAGAAAGTGGGCTAAAGGAAGGAAGGCAGGGTCACCATCTAAGGAAGTGCTGCCAACCCCAATCCACAGAGCCCTCCTGGAGGCTATAGTGGGGCCAGTCAGAACGCCTGACTCTCATCTGTGCCACAGCCTGAGGTCTTTCCACAAATGCTGGATTCAGTTTGGGTGTTGAGTGACTAGTTTCCCAGCACTGGCTTTCACTTTAACTTCATCTCCAGATGGTCATTCATGCAGCACTTCTTGGCTCTTGGATAATGAGTTGACAAAAAACAATCAGTCTATATTATGGACTGTTTCAAATGAGCATGTGTCTGAACCCTAGAGCTGTGATATTCATTTCGTCTTTTATAATTTTCTAGATGAATCCATTTTCTCTACACTCTGCCTGGGCAGAGTGCTTTCAGCACACTCTTCCTGTTGCCAACACTCAAAACTCAGTCTTAGTCCTAGATTCTGGTTGGATTGGCCTCTTGTTGCTGGTTAATCATATAGACTGTGTCATTTCAAATCAGAAACCCCACTGGTGTCACCATCTGCTTCTCCCCTGTCATTCCCAGAGAAAAGTACAAATTTAAAGGCAGTGTAAATACCTGCAACACTATCGGATTGGCTTTCATATCTCTGTAAAATGGAACCCACGATCCAGGAACCTTTGAACAAATAAATTGAAAAAAGAAGCCTTAGTAAAAAAGATGCTAAAATTCTTTCAGCAATAGTTCTCTTGTTTGATAAGCATATTGAAGCATTGCACAGAGAATATCATGGCAGGGATAATTTTTCTTTTACTTGAAGCACTCCCACATCACCTTTCTTTCTTTCTTTCTTTCTTTCTTTCTTTCTTTCTTTCTTTCTCTCTTTCTTTCTTTCTTTCCTTCTTTCCTTCTTTCCTTCTTTCCTTCTTTCCTTCTTTCCTTCTTTCCTTCTTTCCTTCTTTCCTTCTTTCTTTCTTTCTTTCTTTCTTTCTTTCTTTCTTTCTTTCTTTCTTTCTTTCTTTCTTTTCTCTCTTTCTTTCTTTCTTTCTTTCTTGAGATGGAGTTTCGCTCTTGTTGCCCAGGCTGGAGTGCAATGGCATGATCTCGGCTCACTGCAACCTCTGCCTCTTGGGCTCAAGCGATTCTCCTGCCTCAGCCTCCCAAGTAGCTGGGATTACAGGCACCTGCCACCATGCTCAGCTAATTTTTTTTTTTTGTATTTTTAGTAGAGACAGGGTTTTGCCATGTTGGCCAGGCTGGTCTTGAACTCCTGACCTCAGGTGATCCACGCACCTCAGCCTCCCAAAGTGCTGGGATTACAGGCATGAGCCACTGTGCCCAGCCCCCACATCACATTTCTATGTAAGTTAGCTATCCTGGTTTTCCTAGAATTATTTTTAACTTTTTTTTTTTTTTTTTTAAAGATAGGGTCTCACTTTGTCACCCAGGCTGGCATACAGTAGTGTGATCATAGCTCACTATAGCCTCAAACTCATGGGCTCAACCAATCCTCCTGCCTCAGCCTCTCCAGTTGCTGGGATTACAGGTGTGAGCCACCGTGCCCAGCTTTGATTTTTCTAGAATGATTGATATTTATTGGATGCTTTCTATATTCTGCACATTGTACTTAACACTTCAAAGATGATCTCATTTAGTCCAAAAAGTAATCTTCAAGGGAAGCACTGTTTTAAACTCCATTTTATAGATGATGAAATTGAGGCACAGTGAGGTTGATAACTTGCCCAAAGTCTCCCAACTAGGAGTGACAGGACCAGGACAGGAACCCAAAGCCTATGCTCTTAGCCATCACAGAGTACTGCCTTAATCAACACAAATCCCTGGGCTGTGAAAACTGTTTTACTCTCTACTGCATTCTGCCATCTTTTCTAATCTCACTTTTTTGTTGCTCAGGGATTCTTAATCTTTTTTGCACTATGACCTCCTTTGGTGGTATGGAGAAGCCTGTGGGCTCCTTCTCCAAATAATGTTTTTAAATGCATAAAATAAAATACTTAGTCTTGTAAAGGAAACCAATTTCATTGAAATATAGTTACCTTCAAAGAGCCTGCAGGGGTCTATGTACTGAAGATGAAGAACCCCTGACTGGCAATTACTTGTGTTTGCTTTAGAGCTGTGTTGTCCCTTGCGGTAGCCACAGGCCACATTTGACTGTTGAGCACTTGCAATGTGGCTAGTCCAAAGTGAGATGTACTGTAAATGGAAAATATACACTGGATTTCAAAGGGCTTAGTATAAAAAAAGAATAAAAACTGCCTCATTAGTTTTTTTGTGGATTACATTTTGAAATGGTAACACTTTGGATATATTGGATTAAATAAACATATTACTTCAATCAAAATGATTAATTAAATTATTGATTTATTAAAAATAACTCCTAAAGATGTTAACTCTGTACCAACACCTTCCTTATAACAAATGAGGAAATCAGGACCAATGATGCTTGTCACTCAGCCAGCCATTGGCAGATCTGTTGGCTCTCGAGCCTGTCTTCTTTCCAAGATATGGTACTACTTGTATATATTTTTGTATTCAAAGGTCCTATCATGTTGCCTTTGCAAACTGTAAATGCTCCAAATATGTTTTAAAGCAACGGTAATCAACTTAATCCCAGCAAAATCCCGGTACAAACTGGCAGTGTTCTTGCCTGGCATGTCCTTTGCCTTGCTTATTTAGAGTTTTAGTTTTGTAGGTAGAGATGGAGAATGGGCACTCCTAGGGCAAAATCCATGAATTTTGCTGTCTGGTTCCCCTCAGGAAGCGCCTCCAATTTGAGCACCTAACTATATCAATAACCCTATAGACCGAAGAGAAAAGCTTGGTAGCCTTTCTGTTGAGCGTGTAGAGAAGGGTATGATAGTCAGCAATGCTTGTGCTGCCTGAAACTGAAAATGGAAAACTGTATGTGGGAGATAGATCATTTTTTCAACGAGCACATATTGATTGACTGCCTAGCCACAGGGTAGGCAGTGTATATTTGGAGCCAGGGAAGATATCCAGAGGATTTCTGTGTCCTCGAGGAATTTAAGTTAAAATTGAATGGGGCCCAGATGTACACACAGATGGATAAATCACAGTTGGAAGCAGTGCATGAAGATGGCCCGATGAGGGGTAGAGGTCCCACAGTTGGTGGGAACTGAAGGGAGTTCTGTGTGTGCAGCGTTCCAGGGTGCAGTGCCCAAGATGGTTATGGAGTATGGCTTTGGAGCACATGGGTAGTTGGGTCTGTTTCTTACAGGATACAGGATAATAGATCATTTAGTCTATTCCTCTGCTCCTAGGCATATGCTCTATGTGTGGGAAAACCTTGGGTGCTTGTCTGGGCACGGTGGCTCATGCCTGTAATCCCAGAACTTTGGGAGGCTGAGGCAGGTAGATCACCTGAGGTCAGGAGTTCGAGACCAGCCTGGCCAACATGGTGAAACCCCATCTCTACTAATAATACAAAAATTAGCTGGGTGTGGTGGCACACGCAGCTACTTGGGAGGCCAAGGCATGAGGATTGGTGGAACCCAGAGGTGTAGGTTGCAGTGAGCTGAGATCACACCACTGCACTCCAGCCTGGGCCACAGAGTGAAGCTATGTCTCAAAAGCGAAACGAAACAAAAACAACTCAGGCATTTATTGGAAGGTCTCTATTGATGTTTTATTAGTTTTTTTAAAAAAATAAAAATAGAGATGGGACCTTACTATGTTGCCCAGGCTGGTCTTGAACTCCTGAGTGAGCTCAAATGATCCTCCCACCTCAACCTCCCAAAGTGCTGGGATTACAAGCATGAGCCACCACATCCAGCCAATGTTTTATTAGTTTCTACTATTTATTGATAAGGGTAGTAATATCTAGGTATACAAACCCTTATCCAAAACCCCTGGGGCCAGGCATTTGGAATTCAGATTATTTCAGATTTTGGAAAGTAGTAATAGAGTGTACATTCCGCATTTCATCCAGTGGGATCTGGGATAGCAATCTTTGTAATTAAAAAGTTAATATTTCTGCAGCAAAACACACAAAATGGGATAAATTAAAGCCATGAACAGCTTTATATTCATGTTGGTCATGTTTAGTTGCCAGATGAGTTTAGATCATGTCACATTTTGCTGCCAAACAAGTCATGGAGAATTTTCAGCTTTCAGATCACATAGTTAAGGATATGGATCTGTGGTAATAGTAATAGTAATAAAAATAATAATACTAAAACACCAACAGAAAGTATTCAATAATATTGGCACTTATTATCTTCCAGGTACTGTTTTAAGCACTCACCTGTGTTTACTCCTTTAGTCTTCTAACAGCCCTTTGAGGTGGGTTCAGTATTATATCTGTCTTGAGAAGAATAAGAAGCACAGAGCAATTAATCACTTGCCCAAGGTCACAGCTGGTAGGACAGAACAGAATGCAAACCTAGACGATCTTGTCCAGGAGCTTCGTACTTAACCAGTGCCTTGTTTTTTGGAGTAGGGAATTGGAAGCAGGTGTGTCTCTAAAGTTAACTCTATTATTTAGATTAGCCTGGTCTAAACTCACATTACGCTGTTCATTTCTTTTAGATAAACTCATCCTGAAAGTCGCTGTTGTTCTCCTGCTGAGCAAGAATGGAGGCCCCACTGGTGAGTCTGGATGAAGAGTTTGAGGACCTTCGACCCTCCTGCTCGGAGGACCCGGAGGAGAAGCCCCAGTGTTTCTATGGTTCATCTCCCCACCATCTCGAGGACCCCTCCCTCTCCGAGCTTGAGAATTTTTCTTCCGAAATAATCAGCTTCAAGTCCATGGAGGACCTCGTAAATGAATTTGATGAGAAGCTCAATGTCTGCTTTCGGAACTACAACGCCAAGACCGAGAACCTAGCTCCCGTGAAGAACCAGTTACAGATCCAAGAGGAGGAGGAGACCCTTCAGGACGAGGAGTAAGAAGTCTTAATTGCCCTCTCCTGCTTCAGTCGAGAGCCCTGTAGTCCTTGTCTCCTTGACATAGTGCTGGTTTCTGTCTATAGGTTTATGGGCTATTACTTTCATTTTCGTGTTGCCAGCGGAGCAGTGCCCTGGTACTTGCTGTCATAGCTCTATATATGTCCCTTTACAGTCCCCTGAGGAGAACTTTCTTAAATTGAAACCTTAGAGGAATGAAGGTTTTCCTAGATACAAAATGGAATTTCAGGAGCACAGTAAATTTCAGGGTCTGTCTATCTTAAGCTTTCTTTATATCAGTGGAAATCCAGCGAGATATTAGAAATAAAGGCCAGAAAAAATTAATTAACCATGATGGATGAATCTATGTTATTGGACTAATTTGCTTCAAGAAACACCAGAATTTTGAAAATCCCGAATTTTTGACAGCCCCTCAGGCCTGGAGAGTTATCTACAGATGTTAGGATATGTCCACATAAGAAAGCATCTAAACTGAACTGAGAGCACAGCGGGCTACCCTGGACAAAGTAAAGGTGGAAACTAGGTGATGTGGCCTTTGAGTATGCAGATTCCTTGTATCACTTGCTCGCTACTTTCTAGGGTCTTAATAGTAGTCAAGAAAAGGGATCTGAGAAAAGTACTCTTTCAGGAGGGACTAGAAAGAGAAGGGGGTGATATGTTACACAAATTAAAGAAGGATGTCTTAGGCATTTAGTAAAAATTCAGTGGTTCCCCGCTATCCTCGGGGGATGTGTTTTTTTGTTTTGTTTTGTTTTGTTTTTTTTTGAGATGAAGTTTCATTCTATCGCCCAGGCTGGAGTGCAATGGCACAATTTTGGCTCACTGCAACCTCCACCTCCCAGGTTCAAGCTATTCTCCTGCCTCAGCCTCCTGAGTAGCTGGGACTACAGGTGTGCGCCACCATGCCCGACTAATTTTTGTATTTTGAGTAGAGATGGGAGTTTCACCATGTTGGCCAGGCTGGTCTCGAACTCCTGACCTGGTGATTTGCCCGCCTTGGCCTCCCAAAGTGCTGGGATTACAGGCGTGAGTCACCACACCTGGCCCATGGTGGGGGATATGTTTTAAGACCCCCAGTTAATGCCTGAAACCGCTGCTAGTACCAAACCCTAATGTTTTTTCCTGTATGTACGTACATATGATAAAGTTCAGTTTATAAGTTAGGCACAGTAAGAGACTAACAACAGCTCACAGCAAAATAGAGCAATTATAACAATATATTGTAATAAAAATTATGTGAATGTGGTCTCTCTTTCTCTCTCTCTTTCAAAATATTTCATTGTACTGTACAGCAGATAACCGAGCCCTGGGAAAGCAAAACCACAGATAAGGGGGGACTACTGTCTACATGAGTTCCCTGCAGAGATACAATATGCATCCATTGTTCTTAGCTATCACACAAGAAATGTCAAACGTCAGGGAAGTCTGAAGCACCTGTGCTTTTGTTTCCCTTTTTGTGGATTTGAGTGGGAAGAATGGCCCACAAATAATGGGGTAAGAGGCACGTCCTAGAGGATTGGAACCTGACTGTATTTGGGAGAGGGTTGCTTATTTGATGACTACTGTAAGACTCTACTTTTACACATAGAGGGGCCAAATATCTGTCTGATTCACTCTTACAGCCCCACTGTCTAATACAGTGCAATGTGCAAATAATATTTTTGAATGAAATATTGAATATCAAATAAACTAGATGAGTGATAATAGCTAGTAGCCTTGTATGTACATGTAATATATTTCTAAGCCCACACCATTTCCTTCTTTTCTTTTTAATTAATGCTGGCCGGAAGGTATGATCACAGAGAACATTTCATTCTGCTGACTAGTACTATAGCTGTGGGCTATGTGTTTAAATTTTAAGTTTCAAACAGATTCTTTTTAGATTCTGAGCCTGTTATCTGCTCAACATTTATAAGTCAAAAAAGAATGGCTCTGGGGGTTTATTATGCCGAATATTTTTTCGTTCTAGTGCACCAGCCAATGAACTAGAAATACAAAGACTATGAATTCTAATTTTGGTACTCTCTCTAACTCGCTGTGTGACCTTGGGCAAGTCATTTAACCCTGGTTGACTGTGTAGGTCCTCATCTATGAAACCTCCAGAGCTCAATCTTGATGAAGTGAGGCTAAGGACTTGTAAAGAACCTAATTTCTTACCTCACCCAGGATGCCCAGGTGCTCTGAAAATGACATTTCAAGATGCGTCCCATTCCTTTTGCTTCCAACAAATCATTTCCCCCCTATCAAAACCCCTCCTCTGCCTCATTAAGGATGAAGGCCCAATGAGCAGATTCTTACTGTCTTCTAGCACATTAGAAGAGGCCACTCAATGTTAATTACCATCACATGGGATTATTGGCCTCCTCAGCCTGATTTTTCTGACTTGACTGCCTCATTGACTGCCTCAGTTAAGAGACCAAAGATTGAATAATTCCTTCGAGATAAGGTATAATTTGGGGACAGTGTAGCGGGAGGAAGCTGGGAAGAGAAAAATTAACACAACACTTTCTAGGCATTCAGTTCTAACCCCTCTTTATAATTTAAAATAAAAATCAGAATTCTGTTACACACTTTGTTTCATAGACACTATCCAGATATTTCAACTGTGAAATTATGGCTAAGTAAAGGAAAAGGGTGACTTAATATCTCACCTGACTACACTTCTCCTGAACATAGCTCTAATGTTATTGTTATAAACTTGTTCCGGTTTAGTATTTAGAGGGCTGTTTCATCCACAAATGAGTGAAAAGTGCTGTGGATGGGTTAGAGGTAAATAATAGAAGCTTAAAACAAAAGCAGGGAAATACTTGGTTAAACTGCCTCCTTAAAGACAGCACAAATCATAGAGCAAATGTAGTGATTCCCTTAGAAGCTTTCTTTAGTCTTCATTTGGAACTATTTAGCCAAGAGGGGAGTTGGCTAAGATTTGTCAACTTATCTCTGATCTGTCAGGGCATGGAAGTTCTAGGCATTAAAGGAGAGTCAGATTTGAATACACATTTTTTGGTTTTGCATTCAAGAAATATCCCAGAATCTCTTCTTTGTGTATATGTGACCACCCTCTTCCTTTGCCATAAGAGATTGGGCCTGGAGGTCACAGCCTCTTAGGGGTCACTACAAAATGGAAATTGACGGCCCTCAGCTTACCTCCTACGTCACTGGGGATCCCTATCAGCCCTCTTACGAGTACCCTGAAGACAGAGGGGCTAACCATGCAATGGCTGTTTCTTCAGATAGAATTGTTATAGGTGATGTTAAAAATAAAGTGCACACAATAAACTGCCTGTCATCAGATATACTACATGTTGAAGACAAGTAAATACCAAATAGTCAGCTAGGGAAAACTACACATAATTGTGATTTTTAGAAAATTTAATTCTCTTTTTAGAGGTTATAGAAAGCGGATATAGTATTGATTCTATTTAAACATTTGAGGACATCTAGAAAGTTGAGCAAACGCATTAATGTGCTGCTAATAATTTCTACTTTCTTTCTTTTTGAGACAGAGTCTCACTCTGTTGCCCAGGCTGGAGTGCAGTGGCATGATCTCGGCTCGCTGCAAGCTCCGCTTCCTTGTTTCAAGCAATTCTCCTGCCTCAGCCTCCCGAGTAGCTGGGATTACAGGCAAACGCTGCCACGCCGGACTAATTTTTTTTTTTTTTTTGTCTTTTAGTAGACATGGGTTTTCACCATGTTGTCCAAGCTGGTCTCGAACTCCTGAGCTCAGGCAATCCACCCGCCTCAGCCTCCCAAAGTGCTAGGATTACAGGCGTGAGCCACCACGCCCAGCCACTAATTTCTACTTTCTAAACATAAAGTGCAAAGGTGTACTCAAATTAATACACATTTGGGTGTGGATATTGGCATGACTGCACACCAGCAAAACACTAGACAAGGGAAGTAGCCAGGCTTGAGGGAAATGTCAGCAAGTTAGAATTCTAATAAGCCCTTTAAGCTGCCTGCCATATTGTCAGAAATAGGTATATAAGGGTTTACGTGTGCATCAGGACTGAGAGAACCCTGATGGCTATGTTGCCAGTTCCAGGCCCTGGAGTTCTTTGTACACGTGTCCTGGCACCCCCCAGTCTCCACCCTCCTCCACTGGGTTTGCTCATACTCTGCCAGCAGCCTTTCCCAAAGCCCCTGCTCTCTGTGGCGAAAGATACTTAAGTCAATTCTACAGGCACCTAAGCCCAAGCTATAAAATATGCACCTGAAAAAGCCTTTTCTGTTATACAGGGATGGAGAGAGCAAATTGAATCTCAGGTGTCATGGCAGCATAATGATAGGAACTGAGGCAACCTGTTTAATCTTAGTTCTCTGATGAATGATAGAGGAGATAGCTTTCAAAGTCTTCTTTCCCCAAGGTAAGAGTAAATAGCAGGATGCTTCTCAGGGAAGTAAAACTTTACAGTCCACCTCCGGGTACTCACAAAAGGGGTGATGCACACTCCCAAGAACCCTGCTTATGATGGGATATATGATGGGATAGACAGCCCTTCCCTTTCTCTTCCTCACAGAAAGCTGTTTCCCCCTGCCCTGGCTGCATTGGCTCCTCTGTTGCTGAGGCTGCTGGCTGCCAGCATCTGCCTGTGCCTTCCTTGTGCCCTTCCCTGGGCTGGAGATCTACATAGAAAGTGGCCATGCACCCCTGCTACCTTTGCCATTCCTCCTTCTGTAGATCCATGAAAACACAATGTTCAGGATCATCGTACGTATGGGTTTCTCACGCAGAGCCAGTTTCTTTTTTTTTTTCTTTTCTTCTTTTTTTTTTTTGAGACAGAGTTTCACTCTTGTTGCCCAGGATGGAGTGCAATGGCGCCATCTCGGCTCACTGCAACCTCCGCCTCCCAGGTTCAAGTGATTCTCCTGCCTCAGCCTCCCAAGTAGCTGAGATTACAGGTGTGGGCCACCACGCCCAGCTAATTTTCACGCAGAGCCAGTTTCTAAACTGCTCTCCTAGGTTATGATTAGGAACTTGGTATGTTATTCTGATGCCCATACCGATGCCAATTACAGAATTCATAAAGACTTGGAATTGTTAAGTGGTTAGGAATATGGGCTCTGTAGCCGTGCTGCCCAAGTTCAAATCCCACTTTTACCATTACTGGCAGTGTGAGCTGAGACAAGTGAATTAAATTCACTATGTTTCAATTTTTTTCTCATTAGCATCTGCCTTGTATAATTGTTGTGAAGAATGAATGAATTAATCCATGTTTCGAATCTGGTTTAGAGTACTACCTGGCTCATAGTAAGTGCTCAGCAAGTGTTGACTGCTATTGTTATTGTTAAATGGGCACTGGGTAAGTATGGAAAGGGTATACAACTGATTATAAAGAGAAGAAAGCTGCTTTATCTTAAAGCTTGTTTATAAACTTCAAAGGATAAAAAGTATGTCAGCAAGGAAAAAGGAAACCTGGACAAAATGTGAAAGAGAATGAGGATGGCTTGAAATCCTGAGAAGATAAAAGTTTAGGGAATTGTCGCTAAAAATGTAGAATCAGAAGATAAAATTCAAAGCTTATCAGCAAAGGCTCAGATGAGAAAAGCGGGCACTCTAAATGATCCCGAGAGAGCCCCTGCTTATCACTTTAAGGATGTAAATAGTCTCAAGGTCATTGGAAAGTGTGTAGCTCGTTAAAGTTCTCAGCTTCCCTCCAGCCTGGGAGAGATACAAAAGGCTCCTGCCTATTTTGGGCTTTGCTGAATTTCATTTCTGTGGGCACTTCCTGCAGGGACAAATCTGAAGGTCAGTGCCTGTATGCATGTTCATTCTTGCAGCAGAGAATGTAATGCAGTGATGTAAAGAGTAGTCCTGCAGTGACCTTTCCAGCGGGTGTGGTGCCTTGGAGTTTTGTCTTGGAGAAAGCAAATCCTATTTGCTTCTTGGCTCTAGAATGCTAATGGCACTTGGATTTAGAATTAGCCTGGATTAATGCAGCTCTAATAGTGCCTGATGGAGATTAGGGTATCACCCATGGTTTAAGAAGTCTGCTCTGAAATCCTGCTGAGTAGATGGCTAACGAGTACTTGATGAGTTCTCTTCAAAGTGTTTTCTTGTAATGGTAGGAAAATAATGAATAAGCAGATGCCCCAAGCACTGCCATTACATTGTGTTTTCTTGGGTTCCTTCTATTTGTTCCATCACCAATTATATGCATTGTGCACTAAGAAAGTCTTTTTGCTTTTAAAACCCATATATCACGTCGCATTCCTGATACAAACAAAATCAGGAATGTGATGTGATATATGGGCATTTTGTTTAGTTAATAGTGCCCTCATTACTTTCTGATTTCAAGTGTCTGTGCCCTGGTGTATATATACATACTTGCTTATTTTTGAAATCTTGCTGTCACGGGTATCATTTGTGTTTGACATGCATAGGCACCTGAAGGAGAGTGCAGCATAGAGCCCTAATTTATCATTATCTAATATTTTAGTTTTTTTTTTTTTTTTTTTTTTTTTTTTTTACAGTGTCTTGTTCTGTCACCCAGGCTGGAGAGCAGTGACACAATCATGGCTCACTGCAGCCTCGACTTCCTAAGGTTCTTCCCATGGATCAGGCTATCCTCCCACTTCAAGCCTCTCAAGTAGCTGGGACTATAGGCCCATGCTACCATGCCTGGTTAATTTTTGTATTTTTTGTAGAGACAGGGTTTCACCATGTTGGCCAGTCTCATCTTGAACTCCTGGAGTCAAGCGATCTGCCCATCTTGGCCTTCCAAAGTGCTGGATTTCAGGCGTGAGCCATCGCGCCCGGCCTCATTAATATTAATTCAGGTGCCATTGGCTTCCATGGCGGTCATTATCTTAAGGGCTTTGTTTACTGATTTACATTAATCTCTTGGTGTTGAATAATTTATGTATCTTCCTGATGTGTGTTTGTGACTTTGAAATTTTCCCCAACCTCCCTCCTCTTTTTTTGTAAGAAATCTTTCTGAAATAAGTTAAGGAATAAGAATTGTAGAAATCCTTTCTTATAATGTACATATCAGAATTTTAAAAAGAAATGTAATAAATGTAGCTCCATCTTTCCCCACTAAAAACAAATTGTGTAGACAGAGGTGTATTTATTGGTTTCTTTTATATACAGTATTTACCTGAGAGTGTCCGTGATGTTGGAATGACACAATGCAGGATTTAGATTCTACATTGTTAGAGGGCAGGATCTTGCAACCCGTGGGTTCGATAGAACATTTTGGGTAGTAAGTAAGCACTCACTGTATTGGCATTATTCCCTTACCTACATTAGATGTCAAGGAGGGAATTCCTGATCATTTAGATTGTAGGCCTCTGAAACTGAAACGGTTATAAACTAGATAATGATTCTGATCTTAATGAGATTCAGCCAGAAAAACTGCCCAGATCTCTCTTTCTCTGTGTTCCTCTCTCTCTCTCTCCCTTTCTCTCTCTCTCTCTTTCTCTCTCTCTCTCTCTGCCCATAGGAAAAGAAACATGGGCATCTCTTAGATTCAGAAACATGAGCTATTTGGATGAGGGGCAGATTTATTTTCAGAGCCAGAGGCAGTTTGATTATAGATGCTGCCATTTGTATCTCAATGGTAGGAAATTCCTCTTCCCTCAAGCAAACACCTTTCACACTGAAGCCCCTGGCCAAGCTCCATGCACTTTCTCCCCTGGATGTGCCTCTGATTCAGTTTTTAAGCTGCTTTGCCCCTGCATGCTGGAAGGCAGATGATCTCAGCCTGGCACACACAGAAGCCTCTCTCCTCTCCCGGCCCAGCTCTTCCTTCCTCCAGGCGGGGCCAGGCCACAGATGTGTGTTAATGAGAGCTTCTCTTTGTTTACAGGGTTTGGGATGCTCTGACAGACAATTACATCCCTTCACTCTCAGAAGACTGGAGGGATCCAAACATCGAGGCTCTGAATGGCAACTGCTCTGACACTGAGGTACCTCTCCGGGGCCCCTGGTTTAGCAGGGCTTGAGATGTGGAATCCAGTTAGAAAAACATTCAGTAACTCAACAGTCTTCCTCAAAATTGTTGATGGAGGCTCATGCCTGTAATCTCAGCTTTGGGAGACCGAGGTGGGTGATTGCTTGAGTTCAGTAATTTAAGACCAGCCTGGGCCACGTGGTGAAACCCCCATTTCTACCAAAAATACAAAAAATTAGCCAGGCATGGTGGCGCATGCTTGTGGTCCCAGCTACTCAGGAGACTGAGGTGGGAGGATTGCTTGAGCCTAGGAGGTTCAATTAAAAAAAAAATTATTGTTGGGAAGGAGGAGTTGTAGAGGAGGGTGAAAAATAAGGAAGACATCCAGTATATCTGAAATGATAGGAATGGTCATCTATAGAAAAGCAGAAACACAGATCACTTCTATTAGGTTGGTGCAAAAGTAATTTTTTTTCTGCCATTACTTTCCTTTTTTTTTTTTTCTTTTTTTGAGATGGAATCTCGCTCTGTTGCCCAGGCTGGAGTGCAGTGGCACGATCTCGGCTCACTGCAACCTTCGCCTCCCGGGTTCAAGGGAGTCTCCTGCCTCAGCATCCCGAGTAGCTGGGACTACAGGTGCATGCCACTATGCCTGGCTAATTTTTTGTATTTTTAGTAGAGATGTGGTTTCACTGTGTTAGCCAGGATGGTCTTGATCTCCTGACCCCGTGATCCGCCCGCCTTGGCCTTCCAAAGTGCTGGGATTACAGGCGTGAGCCACCACACCCAGCCTGCCATTACTATCAATATTTCTAACCTGTGTACTACAACATGAAAAATAAAGTGGCCTGAAATAAGAGGAGGAAACTGTCATGGCTTCTCTTGGGTTCAAATAATGGTGGTTTAAAAAAATCAGGTTTTCTCATCTTAAATGAACAGTTCAGGCCGGAAATAAGAGGAGGAAACTGTCATGGGCTTCTCTTGGGTTCAAATAATGATGGTTTAAAAAAATTAGATTTTCCCATCTTAAATGAATAGTTCAGGCCCACAAAAACAGTGCTGAGAACAAGTGCTGACGGATCTTGCACTTGACAATGGCCAGAGGTGGGGCCCAGATATTAGCAATGTAGCCACACAGTGGGGAAGAAGTCTCTCTTTTTTTCTCAGACAGGGTCTCACTGTGTCGCCTAGGCTGGAGTGCAGTGGCACAGTCTCGGCTCACTACAGCCTTGACCTCCTGGGCTCAAGTGATCCTCCAGCCTTACCCACCACCCCCTCCCCGAGTAGCTGGGACTACAGGCATACGCCACCATGCCCGGCTAATTTTTGTATTTTTTGTAGAGATGGGATTTTGCCATGTTACCAAGGCTGGTTTCAAACTCCTGAGCTCAAGCAATCCACCCAACTCGGACTCTCAAAGTGTTGGGATTACAGGTGTGAGCCACCATGCTGGCCTAGAATTGTTTATGAAACTCAACCAAGGGGACGTTTATGTGTCTGGACCAGAGTCACACTCCATGAGTTACTGACTCCAAGGGAGAAAGTAGCTTAGGGGCTTCTGAAAAATAAAGATGATATTTATTTTGAGTTGATTTGCAAAGGCCATAAAGGGGGTGACCTTTCAGAAGATCCAAATTGCCCCTCCTATCTGAATCTACATATGGAATGGTTTCTTAGTCAGTTTGGGCTGCTGTAACAGGATACGTTAGACTAAGTAATTTATTAACAACAGAAGTTGATTTTCACAGCTCTGGTGGCAGGGAAGTCCAAGATCAAGGCACTGGCAGATTCAATATCTGGTGAGGACCTGCTTTCTGGTTCACAGACGGCACCTTCTCACTGTGTCCCCACATGGTAGAAGGGTCTAAAGTGCTCCCTTGGGCCTCTTTTAGAAAGATACTTGTGGGCATCCCACCTCCATGATATCATCACCTCCACAAGGTCTCACTGTCTAATACCATCACTTTGGGCATTAGGATTTTAGCATATAAATTTGGGGGGTGGGACATAAACATTCAGAGCACAGCAAAAGATAAAATCATTTAATGGCTCTATGTTAAAAGCAAATTTCTGCCTCACTTGGTTTTCTAGTTTCAGTTGTGAAGGAAATTTGACAATTTATCGTCAGGAAGGGCTGTCACAGCCCTGCAGGCTCAGCAAGTGATAGAGTTGGATGGGTCTAATCTTTCTAAGTGTTTCAGAATTGAGTCCAAGTAAAAGAGCAAGAAACAGATTCCCCTTACTCGGCAATATATTTGTAGATTATTGCTCAAAATAGCACAGCAAAGAGATCAGCAGTTGACTGATTTGTTGAAAATGTAGCCATATATATCCTTCTCCATTTTTCTAGTAATTAGCAATCTAAGGTACTCAAAACCTCAAGGCTTCATTGACGGGAGCAAGTGAGATGATGACTTTGAGACTAAGATTTCCTGCAAGCCTCCTCAGCACAGACATAGGAGGCTGTGTCTCAGGTCCTGTTTTGAACTCTCGGCTGTGCATGTTCTCTTGTAATGCTTACAGGTATGATGCTTAGTACTTACCCAAACCGCAAAGAAGATGGAGGCAATAATGGAATAAATCTAGTTACTGAAATTAAATCAGGTCCGTCATGGTACAAAAGGCAGATTTTGCTTTGTTATCTCTTTTGACACCTTTCCAACTCATTTTGTGAATTAAGCCAAAGGATATATAAGATAGCCTGCCCTTCAAAAGGGCTTTAATTTATCCTCATTTCCAGATTTCCCTCAAGAGGGTTAATATTTCAGGGCAAACTGAATGACCCTGAGAAGGATGATCTTGAGCTCTGTTCCTTGTAGTATTTCTTCTATCTAACCCATGGGAAAAGGACAGGGTAGCAAAAGTAGATGGATTAAGGCTGTTTTATTTCATCCTCTTTTATTATCTGGATTAATTACAGTAGGAGCTCTATTAACTGCCCTAAGTTTAAACGATTTACCAGATTAACCAGTGCTCTGTATTCCTTCTGTAAAACATACGACCAAAAGCGCTTGGCATGCTGAATGTGCACAGCTGTGATGCTTCTCTCTAGTGAGCACTCATACCTCCACTTAAGTGGTCCATTTAAAACAATTTTTTTTATTTTTTGAGATGGTGTCTCTCTCTGTTGCCCAGGCTGGAGTGCAATGGCGCGATCTTGGCTCACTGCAACCTCCGCCTCCCAGGTTCAAGCAATTCTCCTGCCTCAGTTTCCTGAGTAGCTGGGATTACAGGCATGTGCCATCATGCTCAGCTAATTTTTGTATTTTTGTAGAGATGGGGTTTCACTATGTTGCCCAGGCTGGTCTTGAACTCCCAACCTCAGGTGATCCACCCGCCTTGGCCTCCCAAAGTGCTGGGATTATAGGTGTGAGCCGCCACACCTGGCCAAGTGGTCCATTTTTAAGAATCAGTTGTCCCCAAACCTGTTTGTGCTGTCCTTGTGACTGCACTAAGAAATTTAATTAAATATTGTACCAACTATTGAATTGTGACTGCAAAGAGTGTCATTTTTTGTTAAAATCAAAGTAACACGTCTACATAGTTTAAAAAGTTAATTAATGCTTTGAAAGTAATGCACTGTAAGTGCAAGACAAAACAACCACCCAAAACAGTAGACCCCTGCCTTCTTGTCTTTCCCTACTCCATACAGGCAACTGCTTGCATTTCTTTTAGCTGCCTTTTTTTTTTTTTGCATAAAGCTCCACTTTTATAGTGGGGCCATGCGGGGCCACATGGGGAAGCTCCAGTGTCCCCTGGAGGCAGAAGGAGCCAGGGGAGAGCCAGGCCAGTGCCTCAGGAATGGCGAGATGGGGTAAACAGTTTAGGACTGGCTAGTTTGAGTAATTTCTGCAAGCTGTAAACACTAGGGATGGTCCTTAGTGCCTAGTACCTGACTCTGGGATGACTAAGGAAGAGGACTCTGCCTCCTGGGATGTAAAGGTCAGGTAGAGGCGGCAGGGCTTGGCTTTGGTTAGTTTGCATATAGAAGGCTTGCTGAGCCCTTTGCTATCTCTAAGAATTGGCTAATTTTTTGTGTGTGTGTGTGATGGAGTCACACTCTGTCACTCAGGCTGGAGTGCAGTGGCACGATCTCGGCTCACTGCAACATCCACCTCCCAGGTTCAAGCAATTCTCCTGCCCCACCCTCCCAGGTAGCTGGAATTACAGGAATGCACCATGACGCTCAGCTAATTTTTTTTTTTTTTTTGTATTTTTGGTAGAAACAGGGTTTTGCATATTGGCCAGGCTAGTCTTGAACTTCTGATCTCAAGTGAGCCGCCTGCCTTGGCCTCCCAAAGTGCTGGGATTACAGGTGTGAGGCACTGTACCCAGCCAGAATTGGCTAATCTTGAAGGTACAGTCTATCCCCACCAGAAAGATCTTTAAAATGTTAAAAATCATAATTTTCAGAAAATTAAAAAGTATAAATAACACAATGCTTAAATAAATCAGATACTATATTGTGTCAATTCCATGTTTTTTTCTTGAAAACATCCCAGTTAGTACCTTTCATCTTTCTGCTACAAACTGGTCTGGTCATTCGCTAGATCAGCTGCACAGCTGCTGTCCTGAGAACGTCCTTCCCTTCATGCTGGGGATTCTTTTGTCTTCCACTCCTGTCTTCTGGTTACCATATTTTAAAAATCTTTCTAGATATAGTTCCTTGTTTTGGTGAAAAAAACCAACAACAAACCAAACTATTCAGCATATTTTTGAGAAAGGAGTACAGAGGAAATGGTTTTTAGGATATATAAGAATATTATTATTTAGCATTCTGAGGGCTTTGTTCTCTTCTAGCATTAGGTCGTGTTGAGAAACCCCAAATCTGTTCCGATTCCCAGTCCTTCTTTTTAGGCTGACTCTGTTCTCCATCTTTAGATTCCTGCTCCTTTATTATATGACTTTTTTGGTTCTTTCTGGAAGCTTTTAGGATGTTCTTTTCCTTTCTCATTTGAAATTTTACAATAATGTGCTTTAGAATGAATTTTTTCCTTCATTATGTTGTCCTCAGTGAGTCCTTTCAACATAGAAGCTCATGACTTCAAATTGTGACGTTTTCTTATTATTTTTTCTGAAGATTTATTATTTCTATTTACTGCCTCTGTGGAGATGATTATATAGCTTTTCTCCTTTATGATGTTAATGTGATGAATTTCATAAATTAATTTGCAAATGTCAACTCAACCATGCATTCTTGAGATACACACAACTTCATCATGATATATTATCATTTTATTTTATTCTGTTTTTCCCCCCATATCGTAATTGAAAGGTAATTGGCATATAATGAGCTGCACATATTAAAGTGAGCAATGCGGTAAATTTTGACATCTGCATATATCTGCGAAACCATCACCACAATCAAGATATTCAACATATTCCTCATCCCTCTCTCTCACCGCCCAATCTCTGGGCAACCACTTATCTGCTTTCTGTCGTTGTAGATTAGTTTTCATTTTCTAGAATTTTGCATGAATGGAATCATGCAATATGTACATTTTCTTTTGTCTGGCTTATTAAACTCAATGTAATTAGGTATTCATCCATGTTTTTAAGTATAGCAACAGTTCATTTCTTTTTATTGTTGAGTAGTATTCTGTTGTATGGATATATCACCAGCGGCTTATTCATTCGCTTATAGATGAACAGTTTTTTTTCTACTTTTTGCATATTTCAAATGAAGCTGCTGTGAACATTTTTCTGTAGGTCTTTGTGTGAACATATGCTTCCATTTCTCTTAGATAAAAACCTATGTGTGGAATGGCTGAGTCATATGGTAGGTGTATGTTCAACTTTTTTTTTTTAGCTTTTATTTTAAGTTCAGGGGTACATGTGCAGGTTTGTTACATAGGTAAATTGTGTCATGGGGGTTTGTTGTACAGATTATTTCATCACCCAGGTATTAAACCTAGTATACATTGGTTATTTTTCCTGATCCTCTCCCTCCTCCCACCCTTCATCCTCCAGTAGGGCCCAGTGTGTATTGTTCCCTTCCGTGTGTCCATTTGTTCTCATCATTTAACTCCCATGTCTAAATTTTTAAGGAACTACCAAACTGTTGCCCAGTTTGAGAGCTGTAATTGTCCCATATTCTCACTAACACTTGTTATGGACAATCTTTAAAATTTAGACATCTTCATGGGTAGTAACAAAATTGATACCTTATTTCAGTTCTAATTTGCTTTTCTCTAGTGACATAGAATATTGAGCATCTTTTCAAGTGATTATTTACAATGTGTGTGTGTGTGTGTGTGTGTGTGTGTGTGTGTGTATTTTTGAGACAGGGTCTTGCTGTGTTGCCCAGTCTGGAGGGCAGTGGCTCAATCTCAGCTCACAGCAACCTCCACCTCCCGGACTCAAGCAATCTTCACACCTCAGCTCCCCAAGTAGCTGGGACCATAGGTGCACACCTCCACACCCAGCTAATTTTTGTATTTTTAGAAGAGATGAGATTTCACCATGTTGCCTAGGATGGTCTTGAATTCCTGAGCTCAAGTGATCCACCTGCCCCGGCCTCCCAAAGTGCTGGGATTACAGGCGTGACTGTGCCCGGCCTGTATGTTTTCTTTGGTGAAATGCCTCTTCAAATCTTTTGTGCATTTTTTTAGTACATTGTTTGTGTTCTTAGTATTGAGTTGTAAGAGTTTCTTTTTTTCTTTGAGTTGGAGTCTTGCTCTGTCACCCAGGCTGGAGTGCAGTGGTGCAATCTCAGCTCACTGCAACCTCTGCCTCCCAGGTTCAAGTGATTCTCCTGCCTTAGCCTTCTGAGTAGCTGGGATTACAGATGCACACCACCATGACTGGCTAATTTTTGTATTTTTAGTAGAGACGGGGTTTCACCATGTTGGTCAGGCTAGTCTCGAACTCCTGACCTTGTGATCCGCCTGCCTTGGCCTCCCAAAGTGCTGGGATTACAGGCATGAGCCACCGTGCTTGGCCATAAGAGTTTCTTATAAATTCTAGATAAAAATTATTTGTTGAATGTATGTTTTACAAATATTTTCTCCTAGTCTATAGGTTGCCTTTTAATTTTCTTAACATTATCTTTTGAAGAGCAAATGTTTTTTAAATGTGATGAAGGCTGAGTGTGGTGGCTCAAGCTTGTAATCCCAGCATTTTGGGAGACTAAGGTGGGCAGATTGCTTGAGGCCAGGAGTTAAAGACCAGACTGGGCAACATAGTGAGATCCCCTCTCAAAAAGAAAAATTAGGCCGGGCGTGGTAGCTCATGTCTGTAATCCCAGCACTTTGGGAGGCCAAGGTGGGTGGATCACGAGGTCAGCAGATTGAGACCATGCTGGCTAACACGGTGAAACCCTGTCTCTACTAAAAATACAAAAAAAAAAAAAAAAAAAATTAGCCTGGCATGGTGGCACGTGCCTGTAATCCCAGCTACTCAGGAGGCTGAAGCAAGAGAATTGCTTGAACCCGGGAGGCAGAGGTTGCAGTGGGTTGAGATTGCACCATTGCACTCCAGTCTGGGCAACAGAGTGAGACTCCATCTCAAAAAAAAAAAGAAAAGGAAAATTAAATGTGATGAGGTCCAATTTATTGATATTTTCCTTTTTATACTTTGTGTTTATGTTGTATTTAAGAAATCTTTGTTAAACCCAAGGTCACTAAGATTTTTTTCTTAAGTTTTCTTCTAGAAGTTTTATAATTTTAGCTCTTGTATTTAGGTCTATGATCCATCTCAAATCAGTTTCTTTCTGTTTTTTTTTTTTTTTTTGAAATGGAGTCTTGCTCTGTTGCCCAGGCTGGAGTGCAGTGACTCAATATTGGCTCACTGCAGCCTCCACCTCCCAGGTTCAAGCAATTCTTCTGTCTGTGCCTCCTGAGTAGCTGGGATTACAGGTGCCTGCAACCATGCCCAGCTAATTTTTGTATTTTTAGTAGAGGCAGAGTTCTACTATTTTGGCCAGACTGGTCTTGAACTCCTGACCTCAAGTGATCCACCCGTCTTGGCCTCCCAAAGTGCTGGGATTACAGGTATGAGCCACTGTGCCCAGCCTTCAAATTAGTTTTGTATATAGTATGGAGTAAGGGTCAGGGCTCATTTTTTAAAATTTTTGATTCCCAGGTTGCTGTTTCCCAGGTTGGTCTTGAGCTCCTTGGCTCAAGCCATCCACCTGCTTCAGCCTCCCCAATTGCTGGGACTACCGAGGCACTCCACAGTGCTGGGCTTCAAGGTTTATTTTTCTGCATATGGCTATTCAATTATTCCAGTACCATTCATTGAAAATCTTATTCCTTCCCCATTAAATTGTTTTGGCATCTTTGTTGAAAATCAATTGATCATGTATGTGCGGATCTACTTCTGAATTCTTTTTTCTGTTTCAATGATATATATATGTGTGTGTCTTTTTTTATCATCCCTAATTTATTTTAAAATGTGTCTATCTTTATGCCAATCCCACACTGTATTGATTGCTGTAGCTTTATGGTAAGTCTTGAAATAAAGTAATATAAGTTCTCCAACTGTGTCCTTTTTTTTTCTTTCCAAATTTGTTTTAGTTATTTTAGGTTATTTACATTTCCATATAAATCTTGGAATCAGCAGATGAATTTTTGCAAAAAATCTTGCTGGAAATTTGACTTTGATTGTGTAGAATCTACAGACCAATTTATATATGTAGATCAATTTATCATGTTAATGTGATGAATTACATTAATTGGTTTTCAAATATTAAACCAGCATTTTATTTTAAAATAAACCCCACTTAGTTATGATATTTTATCTTTTTTATATAATGTGGGATTTGATTTGCCGATATTTTATTAAAGATTTTTGCATCATGTTCTTTTTCTGAAATTTTATTTTGTTCTAATGTCATAAAATAAGTTGGAAATTATCCTCTCTATCTCTACTTTGTGAAAGAATTTGTATTACATTGGTATTATTTCTTCCCTGAATGTTTGATAGACTATACTAGTGAAAGCATCTGGGCCTAGGGTTTTCTCTGTGGAAGATTTTCAGTTACAAATTCAATTTTACTGAGTCAGGTTTGATAAGTTACATTTCTCAAGGAATTTATCTATTTAATCATTGAATGTATTGAACATTCATTTGTTTATAATTTTGTTTTGTTATTGAAAATGTCTGTAAGATTTATAGTGATGTTCCCTTTTCTATTCCTGACATTGTTAATTTGTGTTCTCTCTCCCTCCATCCCTCTCTCACTCTCTCTTGTCAGCTGGTCTGTGGGATTATCACCTTTATTAATCTTTTCAGAGAACCACTTTTTATTTCTTTGATTTCCTTTATTGTTTGTTAACTTTTTAGTTTATTGATTCCCTCTCTTAGCTTTATTACTTCCTTCCTTCTACTTAGTAGGAGTTTAATTTGCCCTCATTTTTTTAGCTTCTTAAGGTAGGAAATTTGATTATATTTTAAACTTAAAAAAACTTAAAGCTATAAAATTCCCTTTAAGCACTGTTTTAGCTGAATTCTACATATTTTGATTGGGTATGTTTTCATCATTCAATTAAAAACATAGTTTCTAATTTTTTCTTGCAATTTCTTCTTTAACCCATAGGTTATTTGGCAGTTTGCTGCTGAATTTCAAAGTGCTTGGGAGGTTTTATAGCTATCTTGTTAAAAATTGATTTCTAATTTAATTTTGTCAGAGAACATACTTTGTATGACTTAAATCTTTTAAAATACGTTCAGACTGATTTAGGGTCCAGCATATGGTACGTCTTAGTGAATGTAATATATGCCATTGGAAATGATGCACATTCTGCAATTGTTGGTTGTAATGTGCTATAAATGTCAACCAGGTTAACTTGGTTGATAGTATTGTTGAATTCCTGTGTTCCAAATGATATTTTTTGTCTGTTTATTCTATCAATTAATGAGAAAGGTTTATTAAAATCTCCAACCATTGTTGTGCATTTATTTCTATTTCTTTAGTTCTGTTGATTTTTGTTTTATATATTTTGAAGCTCTGAGTACATCTCCCTGATGAGTTGACCCTTTTATCATTATGAAATGTCATTCTTTCTCTGTAATGCTTATCTTAAAATCTACTTTGTTTGATATGAATGTAGCCACTTAAGCTTTCTTATGCATACTGTTTGCAAAGTGTGTGTGTGTGTGTGTGTGTGTGTGTGTGTATCTATCTCAATCCTTTTAGTTTCTGCCTATCTCTGTCTTTTTATTTAAAGTGTGTTTTTGCAGGTAGTGTATACTTGGATCTTGTTTTTATATTCAGTCTGACAATTTATGCTTCTTGATTATTGTGTTTAGTTTATTTGCATAGTGTGTAGTCCATTGACATTTGGCATAATATTGATAATTTGTGTTGGAGCGTATTGTCTTCATTTCTGATTGTCCCATCTGGTTTTGTTGCTGTTTTGTTGTTCCTCTGTTCCACACTTTTTGTCTTCTTTTGGGTTAATCAAATATTCTTTGGCTTTGCATCTTATGTCTTCTGTTGGATTTTTATCTATACCTTGTCGTATTTTTCTTTAGTGGTTTCTCTAGGGGTTACACTATACATTATTAATTAATCATAGTCCATTTAGAATTAATATTGTACACTTTACATAAAATGTAAAACATTTGTCACAGTATAAAGTCTATTCCTTCCATCTTTTGTGCTATAATTGTCATATATTTTATTTCAATCTACATTATATACTCCACAACACAAAGTTATTATTTTTGCTTTAGACAGTTAGTTGTCTTTTAAGAAAATCAAAAGAAGGAAAAAAAAGATACTTTTAAAATATTTACCTATGTATTTATCATTTCTGGCATTCCTTATTTTTTCCTGAAGATTCTGATTTTCTATCATTTCCTTTCAACCCAAAATGCTTTTTATAGCATTTCTTTTGGTGTAGAGCCACAGGTGACAGATTCCTTTAGCCTTCATTTATTTATCTCATTTATTTCATGTTTTTCCCTTCTTTCAAAACACACAGCCTTGCACTGCCTGTGTCCAGTGCCTGAAAACAATTGGCTCATAGATTTTGTCCAGATTGTAGTTGTTTATGGTAGGAGGGATAAGTCCAATACCAGTTACTCTGTCATGGCTGAAAGGGGCCATCTCTTCTGTTTTTGCTTTCTAGAATTCCTTTTATTCAAGTATTGGACTTCTGAAGCTGATCTTCTGAATATTTTTCCCCGCCCATAATTCTATCTGCTTATTTTGTTTCACTCTCCAGGGAACTTTCTCAGCCTTCAGCTCGATGGAAAAGTCTAAATTTTCTATCATACCTTTAATTTCTAAGAGCCCTTTCCAGTTTTTACAGAATTTGTGTGTTTTTAAAATTTTTTTCTGGTCTTAGTAAGTGTACATCTTTGTAGTTTTTAAATGAATTCTGATAAATAGGACACATTTTGAGGAAGCAAGGTGTTCTGTTATCCTTCTGAAGGCAGGTATAGCAGTTTCTTAGAAGAGGTTTCTTCTGCTCTCTCTGTTGCTTTTGATTTCTCTTCTCTATACATTTTCATCTTTCATGTTGGGGGCTATTCTCAAATGTCTGGCAATCCTTGAGCATCTTTTCATATTTAAAAGTGAGGCTTTATGGCCAGGCATGGTGGTTTACTCCTATAATCCTAGCACTTTGGGAGGACAAGGCAGGGGGATCCCTTGATCCTAGGAGTTTGTGACCAGCCCCATCTCTACAACTCTACCAAAAAACAAAAACAAAAAAAACAAAAAGGTAGCCAGGGGATGGAGTGCACTTGCAGTCCCAACTACTTGGGAGGCCAAGGCAGGAGGATCACTTGAGCCCAGAATTTTCAATACCAGCCTGGCCAACACAGTAAGACCCTGTCTCTACAAAAAATTAAAAAAAAAAAAAAAAGCATTAGCTGGGCCTGGTGGCATGCACCTGTAGTCCCAGCTACTTGGGAGGCTGAGGCTAGAGAATCGCTTGAGCTTAGGAGTTTGAGGCTACAGTGAGCTATGATTACACCATTTCACACCAGCCTGGGCAACAGAGCAAGCCCCTGTCTCTAAAAACATTAATTTTAAAAAAAATGGCTGGTGATAGCTCACGCCTGTAATCTCAACACTTTAGGAGGCCGAGGCAGGTGAATTGCTTGTGCTCAGGAGTTTGAGACCAGCCTAGGAAACATGGCAAGTTCCCCATCTCTACAAAAAATACAAAAGTTAGTTGGGCATGGTGGCATGCGCCAGTAGTCCCAACTACTCAGGAGGCTGAGGTGGGAGGATTGCTTGAGCCGGGGAGGCAGAGGTTGCAGTGAGCTGAGATCAAGCCACTCCCCTTCAGTCTAGGTGACAGAGGGAAACCCTTGGAAAAAAAGAAAGTGAGGCCCTAGAAGGCTATGGGGTCAGGGCTTGTTTCCTGCTGGATCACAGTGCCAGTAAGGACCTATGCGTCTTGTTCGGAGATCTTGACAGTTGGCATGTATTTGTAGACTTATAGCATCCATAGAGAGGTGTTCTCCAATGGCTTGATGGACAGAATAAACCAGCTGCCAGTGTCCTTGGAGCCTACTCAGGGAAGGAGGCCAGAGGTCTGTCTGGTGAGTCATTCTGTAGAGTCTTACATCCTCTCTCTGTTTTTGGTGAGAACCCTCACCCTCACTTTTAGGTGGCCTGGTGCTCTGAGTCCAGAACCTCCAGTTCAACCTGCTCAGAGTGAAGTCTACAGTCCTTTTGAGCTGAGAGGATGCAGTCCCTTTTTATCTGGGTTGGAAGAAGACACTTGGGTCTCATTATTCTTGATGAAGAATACCAGCAAATCTTCCTTACATAGCCCCGCCATGCTGCCCCTCGGGGTCTGCAATTCCTGAGCCATTCAGTATCTGCTGTGTGACCCCCTTTACCTTGGGCAGCCTGCTCTCGCCAAGTTTAACCCTGCTGAGCCTGCTGGGCCGGCGTCTGTTTTCTGGCATTTCTCTTGCTGTTGCCTTTTCTCCTGTTCACTTTGTCCCTTTTGGGTTATTCTTTTTTGATCCCTTGACTCTCATTTTAGTAGGGTTTGAGGAGGAAGGGCTGATAAATTTGTGCCCAATCTCCTGTGTACCCACCTTCTACTATAAAGAAATGGAAACAGGAAATCATTTTAAAAATTATGTTATGGGCTGGGTGTGGTGGCTCACACCTGTAAGCACAGCACTTTGGGAGGCTGAAGTAGGAAGATCACTTGAGCCTAGGAGTTAGAAGCCAGCCTGGGTAAAGATAAAGAGGGAGTATTGGACTCAATCTTTACAAAAAAATGAAAAAGTTTGCCATGAGTGGTGGTGTGCACCTATGTTCCTAGCTACTTGGGAGGCTGAGGTGGAAGAATTGCCTGATCCCAGGAAAGGGAGGCTGCAGTGGACTTTGATCATGTCATTGGACTCCAGCCTGGGTGATATTGTGAGACTCTGTTTAAAAAAAGAAAAAAAAAAGTTATTATGTGGATGATGCAAGAGAGACTGTGGAACTCTACTCAGAGTTTCATTGTAAGCTTGGTCCTACACTAGGAACTTGGTGAATAAATAAATGTACATTTACATTTTTAGGTCAAAATAATTTGCTTGAGTTAATATGTCTGTAGGAGGCATTATTATTTTTTTCACAATTTACCACTTTTACTGGGGCTTTCGATTCATCAATCTATTCTATTCCTGTGATGTAAAACACAGTCTCCTTTTACCTTATAACCTTTATTTAATAGCAGATAGTGGTTGTCTGGATAAGAGGAAATTGGAAGTCCAGGATAGTGAATTATGTCTTTCATATTTTTGAGACAGGATCTCACTATGTCACCCAGGCTAGAGTACAGTGGCAACAGTCATGGCTCACTACAGCCTCCACCTCCCTGGCTCAAGCAATCCTCCCACCTCCATCTCCTGAGTAGCTGGGACTACAGGTGTGCACCACCATGCCTGGCTAATTTTGTTCATTTTTTTTGTAGAGACAGAGTTTCACTATGTTGCCCAGGCTGGGCTCAAGTGACCCTCCCACCCTGGCCTCCCAAATTGCTGGAATTACAGGCATGAGACACCATGCCCAGTCACATCTTCCTCTTTTCCAGGTGACTAAATAGCTAAGTTACCTGTGGAAGTGGACTGAATCTAGATGATAGTACTGCTCTCAGTCCTCTCTTTTTCAATTGTTCATTAATTCTTTCAACAAATATGTGTTGGCTGCATGCCCTAGTGCATCTCCCTATGGGAATGCACAGCCATTGACTTAATCCACGCAGATGTTTCCTGGTTGTTCATAAGCATAAAAGGGACATAGTTACCAGGCACAGTGGCTCACACCTGTAATCCCACTCGGGAGGCTGAGGTGGGAGGATTGCTTGAGGCCAGGAGTTTGAGACCAGCCTGGGCAACACAGTGAGACCCCTATCTCTAAAAAAATTCAAAACAAAAAAAATCTTAGTCAGGTGTGGTGGCACCTGCCTGTAGTCCCAGCTACTTGGGAGGCTGAGGCAGGAGGATCACTCGAGCAAAGGAGTTAGAGGCTGCATTGAGCCATGATTGTGCCACTGCATTCCAGCTTGTGTGACACAGCGAGATCCTGTGTCTAAAAAAAAAAAAAATGGGACACAGTTGTTGTGAATTTCTTTTTTTTTTTTTACTTTTTGTCTGAAGGTAAAAATGTATCTTTGTTCTCTTAATTTTTGTCAGGGGGGCAACCACTCATGTCAAACAATAGTGGTAAGGGGAGGAAAATATTATGCAAAGGGCTAAATATGCTGTAAAAATTACCTTTTCTATGAATGGGGTCATTTGAAACACTTTAATAAAATACACTGGTTAATAGTCATTATTGGAATCAAGGGCTCCACATAATTTTAATCATCATTCAGAATACTTCACTGTGCAGCAAGATTTAGCAATGTTATAGGCCTTGGGGAAAGTTTTCTGCATTTCTTTTCAAGTTTCAAGCTTTCATGTTATAGTCCTAGAGACACACTCTTCCCAAAAGCAGGAGGAAGAAACAGCTTGCTGAATGGTATAGCCAGACCCCTTTCTGGATTCAAATCTTCTCAATTCTGGGAATAAATCATTTGGAAGAATGACTTTTCTTGGAAAAGCATAGTTCACGTCAATAGTATCCAAACAGCTAGCAAGGTGTTTTTTTTTTTAGACAGGATCTCACTTTGTCATCCAGGCTGGAGTGCAGTGGCATAATCACGGCTCACTGCAGCCTCACTGCAGCCTCCATCTCCATGGCTCAATTGATCCTCCCACCTCAGCCTCCTGAGTAGTTGGGACTACAGGTGTGCCATCATGCCTGACTAATTTTTCTATTTTTTTAGAGACGGAGTCTTGCCATGTTGCCCAGGTTGGTCTCGAACTCCTGGACTCAAGCAATCCTCTCATCTCGGCCTCCCAAAGTGCTGGGATTACAGGTGTAAGCCACCACATCTGGTAACAACTAGCAGTTTTAGCTGACAAAGAAATTCAGCCCTAAATGACCTGGCCTGAAGTTATTTTTGACATGTATCTTCCCCACTGCTGCACAAGGGGCTAAAGGAACTCTCTACCGTGATATCTATGTCAGTGTCTTATGCTAGGATTAAGAGTATTTATATGCACAAGGGCTGTCATTTTTCAAAAACCTTTCTTTCTTCCTCTGTCATTGTTTCCCCTCCAGCTCTCCACCCTGTGCACAAGATACTGTCCTGGTCAAGGAGGGGAGGGAAGGAGTCTGTAAACAGTGCCCGTAAAGAGGCAAGGGCTTGTGAAGTGATGGATGCTGTTGGAACAGAGCAAAGTCTGGCAGGATGGACAGAAAATGTGGGAACCAGGCCTAGGGAGGGTGGGAAGGGTGAGAGGATCAGAATCAAACGCTGGAGAGGGAGGTGAAGAGGCTGGGGCACGATGGAGGTGGGGAAGCCCAAGGATTAGGGGGTAACCCGCACATAGAGGGAAGGAGCCAGGGTTTTCTTGGCCGTATTTTATGTCTGCCTCTCCTTTTATTTTATTTTTTAGTGGCAGACTTCTGAGAAATAAGAAAATAAGGGATGAGTATGGTTCCCATAAGAGTAGGAACTCACAGTACCTTTCATAAGCTTATAATTGATTTTCCCATCTCTGTTTTCCCAAGCCTGACAATTCAGACCTGGAGGCTTTGCGCCTGAGAGGGGGAGGGGAGAGAAACTCTACTAGTGCATCATTCCGGCCACAGCCCAGGCTTATTAGCATTTGAGCAGCAAGAAGGATCTATCCCTAGAAGCTTCCTCCCTGCCTTCTTCCTGGAACTCCCCAAGGAGTGAGGAACTTGGGGAGGGAGGAGATGATATAGTTGAAAGAAGCAATATTAACAGTCAGGGAGTTAAACCCACTACAATCAGCCACATTTCAGAAAAGGTAAACATGCCATTTTTATATAGACTTAGTGCCCACCACCCCCTACCCCCTGCCAAATCCTGGTTATAGACTAACAGTTGCTGTTAGATGCTTATGAAAAATAACCCTGTTTCCCAGGATGAGCCTAACTTGGGCTCACACTAACTTGGGCTGGGTTCATATTGATACATTTCTTCCTTTTTCTCCCCTAATTTTTGTCTGGAGGAAAAAATGTATCTTCGTTCTCTTAATTTTGGGCTAACTTCTACTGCAGGATTTTCTGGCCTGAAGAAAGTTCTTCCATATGAGTGTAGTTGTGAACAAAGCGTAGCTCCAGGAGTTTTGTTCTGCATAGTGGGGAGCGGTGGAAACCACGAGGCTATCGCAGGTGGTGGACTTGGCAGAGAGAGGAGCATATGGGTTTGACAGCGGAAATAGATGTCACCATCTGGTACCCGGGCCCTTCAGATGATTCCATTACCTCCCTGTCCTACCCCATATCTAGGTTGAGTGCGGATGGCATTTGAGATATATTTGCTTAATTTTTTTTTTCTTTTTTAATGACATAGTCCTGGTTTTAAGCAAATGGAGATAAAAGGTGATGTGCTCTGTTAGGGATGTCTGCCAAGGCAAAGCTCACAGAAGACGGGAGAAGTTTCTGAGGATAGACTACCTCTGACATTATTGCTTGGATTGGAGCTGGGCTGTTTCCTGTTAGAAAAGGCAGAATACAAGCCCCAGGGAAGGGGCCAATCGGTGTGCCAGCTACTGGAGCGCAAGGAGGATTCATTCCTGGATGAGAGGTGACTCAGCAGAGAGATTTCCTAGAGACACCTCCTGCCTCCTCCTTGTATGACGTTCAAATCAGACTTCTAGACATACAGCTTGTTAGGTGTTTAGTGATTAACTTTTCTGTGGGACTTGAATGTAAATGCCAGACTATGGCAGTTTGGGATATGGTCAGTTAAGCCAGATATGCTTTGAATAGCTTGTTAGATTTAAACATCTAGAATTTTGATGGCTGTGAACTTTGAGGATCTTACTTGGGATTATGGAATTATAGAGACACAGGGCAAATGAGATAAATGGGGTTCTCTTTTGTAGTTTTGTTGTTGTTTAGTTCATGTGGTCAGGTTATTCAGTGGCATGTCCCATGCAGATTTCTTACATCTGCCATCAGCTATGACATCATGCCTGGATTCCAGTAACAGGATGGCATTTCATCAAATTCTGAAAGTCATCATTATTTGGACTAGAACAACCTATTCCTTAAAATGCCTAGTAAGACGAAATCTGGAAACAACCCCCCAGGTTGGAACTCCTTAACAAAATCAGGGCACCTTTGCTGCAGTTGGCTGCAGTGTCACTTACCTGGAGAAGGCGCCTTGTTCACCCCAGGATGACCTGTCTGTGGGTTAAAAAACGGTGCTGTCCCCTTTGAGTCAGAATGGTGCTGGCCATTCCCCTGTCGTCTTTTCCTGCCAAGTTGGATTCAGTGCTGCATGCTGGATTTCTGGCATGCTGGAGTTAGTGATGGGGCAAAGATATGTTTGGAATTGGATGAAACTCTGGACACCTCTTCAGCTCCACTGTTTAGACAGCAGCTGGCTGGAGTGGCCTCCCAGTCAGTATCATCCATTCTCGAGACTAGAGGCAATCCCACTTCTGCTGATGGTCACCCAGAATTCCATCTCCCCACCTCCTCTCCAGATCCATGAGAAAGAAGAGGAAGAGTTCAATGAGAAGAGTGAAAATGATTCCGGTATCAACGAGGAGCCTCTGCTCACAGCAGATCAGGTATAAGTATCTCTCCAGGTTATCGGGACCTTTTGTTCTTTTGATGGAGAAAAAGTCCAAGAGAACACACTTGCCACATCCATTTAAGGCAGAAGAAAGATATGTGGTCATGTGGTGCC
Organism: Homo sapiens; assembly: GCF_000001405.40. Taxonomy (NCBI): domain Eukaryota; kingdom Metazoa; phylum Chordata; class Mammalia; order Primates; family Hominidae; genus Homo; species Homo sapiens. Next base: position 125,463,364 of record NC_000011.10, on the reverse strand, counting down.
TGTGCTCATGACTCAGAGTATTTTTTGTTTCTTTTTTTTCTTTATATATATATACTTTTGAGACAGAGTCTTGCTCTGTTGCCCAGGCTGGAGTGCAGTGGCGTGATCTTGGCTCATTGCAACCTCTGCCTCCCGGATTCAAGTGACTTTCCTGCCTCAGCCTCCCGAGTAGCTGGGACTACAGGCATGCACCACCATGCCTGGCTAATTCTTATAAAAAATTTTTTGGTAGAGATGTGATTTCACCATGTTGGCCAGGCTGGTCTCAAACTCCTAACCTCAAGTGATCTGCCCACCTCAACCTCCCAAAGTGCTGGGATTATAGGCATGAGCCACTGTGCCTGACCTTTTTTTTTTTTCATTTTGAGACAGGGTCTCACTTTGTCACCCAGGCCAGAGTGCAGTGGCAAAATCAGGGTTCACTATAGCCTCAACCTCCTTGGCTCAAGCGATCCTCCCGCCTCAGGCCCCTAAGTAGCTGGGACTACAGGCATGCATCACTATGCCCAGCTAATTTTCTGTACTTTTAGTGGAGATGAGGTTTCACCATGCTGCCCAGGCTGGTCTCAAACTCCTGGACTCAAGCAGTCCACCCGCCTTGGCCTCCCAAAGTGCTGGGATTACAGGCATGAGCCACGGTGACTGTCCAACTCAGAGTATTTTTGATAAGGGATTTCATCTCTCTTTCTGCCTCAGGTTGCCCACCTGCAGTGAACATGAATGTCATTCTTGACACTTGGGATAGTTGGGGTCAGTCTCTGATAGGAGCCAGAGACAGGCATAGTGTTTAGTAGCTACAATCCTGCTAAGCCTTCTTATTGAAATTCGTTGTACTCGGAGTCAAGACACTCAAACAAGGGTCCCAAATACCTGTTTTCCCAAAAAGAGAAGTGACAGATGAGGCTTTTGTGTGATGGATATTTTCTTACATTTCATAGAACACTCAAAATTTTGGGCCTTCCGAAAGGAGTCTTAGAGCCACTTCGACTTTGTGAAAAAAGATAGAGTGCTTCGCATTCAATTGAGATCATCATAGCTTTAATAATTTATTACTTAGAGAGGATAATGTTCAGTTTCTGGATTCCTTATTTAATGTTTTAGTCAACAAATATTTATGGGTGCTTATTTTGAGCTAAACACTACATAAGTTTCCACAAAGTCTTTCTGCAAAGCTCCACTGGCAGCCTTCGGTGCCAGAAAGTGCTTTTTTAGCAGCAATGGTGCTTTTTCATATCTGTGATAGAAAGGTGGGAATTGAAACACGTGAGGATTAGGAGACTGAAGAGAACCAGATTTTTAAAAATAGGGGCTAATAGCTATTCTTGTGACTTGTAGGAGGATCTACAATTCAATGATATGAACTCAATTATAACTCCTCTTAGAGAAAAGGACATTCAGCCATAAGACCCTGACAGGGACTTGTGTCATTTGGTTGCATTCTGTAAAATGGCTTTCAGTAGTCAAAGACTGGGTATTTCCTAAGTTTGTGAGTAGAGGTGAAAAGGTTTGGGAATAAGAATGGAAATTATTCTAAAGGAGGAGACCCTGAAACCCCTTACCTTTGGTCCAGCCCACTGTGAAGAAACCACCTCAAAGAGTACAATGCTGGCCTCGGGGACTTTAGTCCATCCATGGAGAACAGACAAAGGTGAAGGTTGGGACAAAACTCATCTAAAGACCTGCTTTCAGCAGCAGTCTTCTTTATTTGTAAATAATTAATGTACAAAGTAAGTCACTCTTTTTTTTGTTGTTGTTGTTGAAACAGGATCTGGCTCTATTGCCCAGGCTGGAGTCCAGTGGCCCAGTCTCGGTTCACTGCAACCTCTACCTCTTGGGCTCAAGCCATCCTCCCACCTCAACCTCCCAAGTAACATGGACTACAGACACACGTCACCACAACTGGCTAATTTTTCTGCTTTTTGCAGAGATGGGGTTTCGCCATGTTGCTCAGGCTGGTCTTGAACTCCTGAGCTCAAGTGATCCACCTGCCTCGGCTTCCCAAAGTGCTGGGATTACAGGCATGAGACACCATGCCCAGCTAGTAATTCACTTTTGTTCCTTTTGGCAGATATCTAATTTTCCCTCCACTTCTGGGAGCTGGCTCCTGTCAATAGTCTAGATTAGAGCTGGGGTTCTTATCTATTTGCTGCTCTCTAGACTCCACCTATCCTTCTATTATTTCATTATCTCTATTTTCATTTGTTGCTGGGCAGCTTCAGTTCCTGTCTAGGTGAATTCTGGAGAAATAGTTGTTTTCCTCCCCATTTTGTGTTGTTCTAGGAGCACGCTATTTTTTACAGTCACGTGTATTATGTCAATTAATGGACTGGGTTTTGTGTTAAAGTTGGGTGAATGAAATATTTTCCCACTTAGAAATAGCTCAGCACATTGAAGTAAATGTTCCCTTCCAGGCAGCTCTGCCTTGCTTCCTGAAAGAGCAGCTTATTTCCAATAAGTCATTTATCTAAAAGGAGCTCTTGGAAGAGGTTTTACATTAAAGAGTGCCTTACATTAAAGAAAGAGTGTATGCAAGCCTTTGGTTGGAACTATTTTTATTATTCAGTATTTATGTAAAAACAATATTGCTTTAGAAATTTTCAGATAGCTAATTAGGAACATCCTTAACTGATCAAAATTCAAGCCAGAATGCCCCTCTAGCAGAGAACAGAGTTAGCACTCTCTCGTGTACCTTCTTCAGGTAATTGAGGAGATTGAGGAAATGATGCAGAACTCCCCAGACCCTGAGGAAGAAGAGGAGGTTCTGGAAGAAGAGGATGGAGGAGAAACTTCCTCCCAGGCAGACTCGGTCCTCCTGCAGGAGATGCAGGCATTGACACAGACCTTCAACAACAACTGGTCCTATGAAGGTGAGGGCCCTGGGCGCTGGGCTGGCCGAGGAGGAAGCACCTGCTCGGGGCCAGGCTCTGGGCTGTGTGCTTTGTACATGGCTAATAGAACCCTGACTGCCTCAGAGCAGAGCCTTGCAGATCTAGGTGGTCAGCAATACCTTTCTTACTCGGCATCAGGAGAGAAGTTTGCATTTTTGAGAAAAGAACAAGGTAGTCGAGCAAAATTTAAATGTTAAAACTAACCAAAGAACAAGACTAAGGCAGAATAAGCAGAAGAAATCTGAACTACTATATAAAAGCAATGAATGATGCTACCATAAAATCAATGAATAAAAAAGGTAATAGTAACAGCTCATATTTCTGAAGTGCTTTCTATGTGCCAGACCTTATTCTAAGACTTTCTTTCTTTTTTTTTTGAGACAGAGTCTCTCTCTGTCTGTCACCCAGGCTGGAGTGTAGCGGCATGGTCTTAGCTCACTGCAACCTCCACCTCCCAGGTTGAAGTGATTCTCAAGCCTCAGCCTCCTGAGTAGTTGGGACTACAGGCACGTGCCACCACGCCCTGCTAATTTGTGTATTTTTGTAGAGACGAGGTTTCGCCATGTTGGCAAGGCTGGTCTCAAACTCCTGGCCTCAAGTGATCTGCCTGCCTCAGCCTCCCAAAGTGCTGGGATTACAAGTGTGAGCCACTGCGCCTGGCCTTATTCTAAGACTTCCTATGCCTAATCTCATTTCATCTTCACACCAACCCCATTTGGATCAAGCTAACCGAGTCTTTCAGAGGTTACATGACTTGTCCAAGGCCACTGTTAGGGAAATATGATTAGAAATGAGATTTCCTTCCTGTTCAGAAAACCTCTCCACAAAGACAGGTGAGAAAGAAAACTATTTTGTTACTATTTTTATTTATTTATTTATTTTTTAGAGATAGAATCTCGCTCTGTCGCCCAGGCTAGAGTGCAGTGGCATGATCTTGGCTCACTGCAGCCTCTGCCTCCCAGCTTCACGCGATTCTCCTGCCTCAGCCCCCTGAGTAGCCGGGATTACAGGCATGCATCACCATGCCCAGCTACTTTTTGTGTTTTTAGTAGAGATGGGGTTTCTCCACGTTGGCCAGGCTGTTCTCAAACTCCTGACCTCAGGTTATCCGCCTGCCTCGGTCTCCCAAAGTGCTGGGATTACAGGTGTGAGCCACCATGCCCGGCCTAGAAAACTATTTTATTATTGAATAAGCACTAAACCAGGATGGGAGCCACATCACAGACAACTCTCTGAAGAGACTGCAAAGACAGAAAGCAGTCTCACTCTTGTGTAGCTAAGTGGATGAATGGAACCCATTACATTGAGTAGGTTTTGCAATTTGGAGTCGGAAGGGAGTTAGGCCCCTCTGCTCAGAACAATGAGAGATGATTATGTTTCTTTTTCTTTTCTTTCTTTCCTTCTTTTTTTTGAGACAGAGTCTTGCTCTGTTGCCCAGGCTGGAGTGCAGTGGCATGATCTCTGCTCACTGCAACCTCCGCCTCCCAGGTTCAAGCAGTTCTCCTGCCTCATCCTCCCGAGTAGCTGGGATTACAGGCATGCACCACTACGCCTGGCTAATTTTTATATTCTTAGTAGAGATGAGGTTTCACATGTTGGCCAAGGTGGTCTCGAACTCTTGACCTCGTGATCCGACTGCCTCGGCCTCCCAAAGTGCTGGGATTACAGGCATGACCCACTGCGCCCGGCCCGATGATTATATTTCAAAGCAGTAACCTCCAGGCCCTTGAAGAAAGCCTCCTGAATTATAAGAATGACAAGAGGCTTATTTTAGCCATGACAATAATTTAATGTAAATGTAACATATGTTTATTTTAAAGATTTAATCTAAATCTTTGAGAGATTGAAAAGGATAGGTAGAAGAAATTCTGAAAGAAAAGGGAGGTGGGGGAGAGGAAAAGTCTCTTCCCTTATTTTCAACGGGGAGAATCAAGCCTCTCATTTAAAATTTGTATTTGTGCTTAGTCCATGCAGAAGCCATAAGGGGTGAAGCTAACATTTGAAGCCAGGTAGGTTAACTCCAGAGGCCATCCTCTTAACTCTCTGACACAGGTTTATAGTAATTATGACTGTGCACAAGAAACGGCTGGATGAAGCATGAAATGAAAAAGTGTAACACAGCAAAGGCAGAACAATTCACCAGCCGTAGGGTATCAAATGCCCACGCTGCAGAAGGGGCCCCATCCTAGGAGTTGATCCACCCATGGGGAGATGGGAACTTAGAAACAGGGGAGGGAGAAGGTGGGTTGGTCAGGGTTCAAAGGTCAACTGCGGGTTAGAAGTGGTGAAAGCAGAGGCAGAATCTGGAGGCCTGCATCCTGCAAGTCAGACTTTGGCTTTGAATAGCAGCGGCAGGAGGTGGCCGGCAGAGAGTCTGCTCGGTGCTGAACTGGACTTGGCTGCCTCGCTGCATTCCCGACTGCCCTTGTCAGGCCCTTCCCAGCCACACAAAGGTCCCAAAGATAGACGCGTTCAGCAAAAGACTTGTGAAAACAGCTGAAATGCAGAGTGAAATGGCAAAAAAACAGAAGGGGGAGAGGGCAGCTCCAAAGAGCAGAATAAGGGGAAAGCCCAACCAAGTCAGCAAATATCCGGGCAAAGCAGAAACAAAGAGGAAGAGGGAAATGGATTCTGAGGTGAAAGTGAAGGACACCATTAGACGCTGTACATTTGAAAATAACTAAAAGAGTATAATTGGATTGTTTGTGACATAAAGGAAAAATGCCTTAGGGAGTGGATACCTCATTCTCCATGATGTGATTATTATGCATTGCATGTCTGCATCCAAACATCTCATGTGCTCCATAAACACATACACCCCCTATGTACCCACAAAAATTAAAAATTAAAAACCAGTCAATCAATTAATTCTTCCTCCCCTGCCGCAAAAAGATACCATTAGATGGAGACACATTTTAAAAGATGTTTCCCAAGTATATTTTATTTTTTCAAATTATATATATGTGTATATATATACATATATACACATATATGTGTATATATACATATATATGTGTATATATACATATATATATATATATATATATTTTTTTTTTTTTTTTTTTTTTTTTTTAAAGTAGAAACAGTTTCACCATGTTGGCCAGGCTGGTCTCGAACTCCTGGCCTCAGGTGACCCACCCACCTCAGCCTCTCAAAGTGCTGGGATTACAGGTGTGAGCCACTGCACCTGGCCTAAATTTTTTTTTAAGTGTTTAAAAGAATTTTTAATCAGAAAATGCTTAAAGGGTATAAAGTTTTTATTTATTTATTTATTTATTTATTTTTATTTTAAGATAGAGTTTTGCTCTTGTTGTTGCCCAGGCTAGAGTACAGTGGTGTGATCTCTGCTCACTGCAACCTCCGCCTCTCAGGTTCAAGCGGTTCTCCTGCCTCACTCTGCCGAATAGCTGGAATTATAGTCAGGCACCACCATGCCTGGCTAATTTTGTATTTTAAGTAGAGGCAGGGTTTCACTATGCTGGCCAGGCTGTTTTCGAACTCCTGACCTCAGGTGATCCGCACATCGCAGCCTTCCAATATGCTGGGATTACAGGCATGAGCCACTGCTCCTGGCCTAAAGTGTATAAAGTTTTAAAGCATGATTTAGACCTGTATACAAGTATAATCTCAACTATGAAAATATATAACATGTAAACAGAAAAATTTGGAATAAAATATCCAAATCTATTTTAAATGAAAGAAGTCTTAGGAGACTTCTTAAAGTTATATATTTCCCATGATCTCAGCTTCCCTTTTCTTTCCTTTGAAAGTAGCTGACTGCCGTATGCTAACCCGCTAGGCTTTATTTTTTCATGCATAGTCACCAATCTTCCAGGTTTCACATATTTTTGAATACATGCACTGCGACACAGGACCAGAGATGTAAAGAAGGGCTCAGATGGTCGGCTTTTTTGTTGTTGTTGCCGTATGCTATATCTTGATCAGTTCTTGGGAATAAGCACCAACGTCTCTATTGCTCTTCAGTATGGATGACAAAAACCTCCCTCCCATCACTTTTCCATCCCCAATTCTTGACCCATTTCACACAAGGAATCTTATGGACACAGATAGAAAATAGAAGGAACAAACCATCCCCATTTTTGAGAATAGAGTCCACAGACTTCCTCGTGGGCTGTTTCTTCTTCCTCCTTTGTTTCCTGAGAGGGGTGTTCTCTTCTGCAGTCAGTACACAGGCCCCCGCCTTCCTGGCGTGCTCGTAAATTGTGAAGGTCTTTCTTGGATCTTTAAGGAGTTGGAAGGGATCTCCTCTGAGGGGCAGTCCCATCTTGATTGGTGGTGGCCCCAGGAGCCTCCCCAGCGGGCTCTGGTGTGGATGCAGGTGTTATGCGGGAGACGGTCTTCCCCTGCAGGGCTGAGGCACATGTCTGGGTCTGAGCTGACCGAGCTGCTGGACCAGGTGGAGGGTGCCATCCGTGACTTCTCGGAGGAGCTGGTGCAGCAGCTGGCCCGCCGGGACGAGCTGGAGTTTGAGAAGGAAGTGAAGAACTCCTTTATCACGGTGCTTATTGAGGTTCAGAACAAGCAGAAGGAGCAGCGAGAACTGATGAAAAAGAGGCGGAAAGAGAAAGGGCTGAGCCTGCAGAGCAGCCGGATAGAGAAGGGAAACCAGATGCCTCTCAAGGTAGGTGAACAACCAGGTGGAAGACTGGGTGCCTCCAACCTCCAACCCTGCCCGTTTCAGTGCCCTACCAACCCTGCAGGGGACTCATCAACGTTTACCGAGCAGTGGTGGTGAGCAGCACACTGTGACAGACAGGGGGTCAGAAAGGGAGAAGATATCACCTATCTCCTCCACTCCCCCAAAGGGCTCACAGTCTAACCCAGGAAGACAGTGTGTACATTAGGAAATAATTGAATTTGGCTTGTGTTCTCTGTAGGCAAGACCTTAAAGAAAGTGGAGTGAGGGTATTTCGTGTTGGGAGTCTTGAGATGGGCCTCAGAATTCTGGGTCCAAATCCCTCCTTGTGTCCCAGGTTCCAGTCCTGACTGGTCTCTTTAGGGCGTGCTAAGGTGTTTCAGTGATTGAAAATGATCAGGTGCCTTATTATTATTGTTATTATTTTTTGAGACAGAGTCTCACTCTTTTGCCCAGGCTGGAGTGCAATGGTACCATCTCGGCTCACTGCAACCTCCGCCTCCTGGGCTCAAGCAATTCTCCTGTCTCAGCCTCCCTAGTAGCTGGGATTACAGGTTCATGCCACCACTCCTGGATTATTTTTGTATTTTTAGTAGAGATGGGGTTTCACCATGTTGGCCAGGCTGGTCTCAAACTCCTGATCTCAGGTGATTTGCCCATCTTGGCCTCCCAAAGTGTTGGGATTACGGGCATGAGCCACCGTGCCTGGCCCCAGATGCCTTATTGTTCTATTGTTCTATTTTTGGGTTTAACCCAAACCCCTGGTTCTCATGGTTCATTTTTTTTTTCTTTTTTTTTTTTTTGGTGAGATGGAGTCTCACTCTGTTGCCCAGGCTGGAGTGCAGTGGTGCGATCTCGGTTCACTGCAATCTCTGCTTCCCGGGTTCAAGCGATTCTCCTGTCTCAACCTCCTGAGTCGCCGGGATTACAGGTTCACACCACCACGCCTGGCTAATTTTTGTATTTTTAGTAGAGACGGAGTTTCACCATGTTGGTCAGGCTGGTCTCAAACTCCTCACCTCGTGATCTCCCCGCCTCGGCCTCCCAAAGTGCTGGGATTACAGGTGTGAGCCACTGCGCCCAGCCACTCATGCTTCTTAATCAGGGGAGCTCAGTAGAATTATCTAAGGAGTTTTTTTCAAAATGCCTTTCCCTAGGCTCTATCACAGACCTATGGAATTAGTTCTCCGCATGTACATTTTGAAAAAAACTTCCCCCATCAGGACAGTTGCTTTAAGACAGCCTCTTCTGATAGCTGAACATTTTGTTTTCCCCTAAGATCTTTGCATCATGGTTCATTTAAGTTTGACTGAACTGCTTTATTTTTCTATTTGCATGATGGAGGATAAAAGGAGGAAAACTGGGGGATGCAGAGGGGTCTTGTAGCCCTGAGGGACTTACTAAGATAAGAGTTCTTGAGACTCTGTTTATTCTTGCAAAGCTCAGGCTTCAATTCTGGCCTGTCTCTGTAAGCCAGTGTCTTACACTTACTGTCTAGTCACAGAACCCTGGGGCGTTATCTGGGACAGCCTGGTAGCTGAGAGGTCCCTGGGTGTGGTGACAGTGTAGCAAGAAGCATTTGCCCTTCTTGAGTCTCTCTCCCCCACAGCGCTTCAGCATGGAAGGCATCTCCAACATTCTGCAGAGTGGCATCCGCCAGACCTTTGGCTCCTCAGGAACTGACAAACAGGTACGCGTAGTCTCCCTGCTCCAAGCTCTCTTCCTAGACTCCTGCAGCTTGGCCTCCCCAGCAACGCAGGGGGACAGTGACTCACCAGAATTATCCCAGCATTTATTTAGGGGGTTAGGGGTCCTAACACTTTTTTCTCCTCTTAAGGAGGAACAGAGAATATCTTTTTAAAAGGCAAACTTTTTTTTTTTTTTTTTTTTTGAGCTCTAGTGTTCTAGGACATGGGCAAGACTTAAAACTCAACACTGCTTGTAGGTCTAAGAATTAAGTTGTTTTAAGGATGAAATGCATTAAGAGGGAGTCCATTTGATGATAGATCCCATCCTAGAGTTTAGTTAACTTTCCACCACACTGGATCACCTGCCAAGCCATTCCCACTAAGACTGCCTCTGCAGCTTCCCAGCTCTGGTTGGAACCCATGCTGTGGCTTTTTGTTGGCTCAGTAATTTCCCTGTGACATAGCTTGCATTTCTGGTTATTAAGACAGCATTCACAACTTTTATCAAGCGCCTGCTATGTGCTAAGCTCTGTTGTTAAGCCCTCAGGTGCAAAGGTGAAAAGTCCTGACCCCTGTCCTCATGGAGTGTATAATCTAATAGACATGGCTGGCACGTGAACAGAAAGTTTGAGATGGTGGAATGAGTGTACATGAAAGTGTATATGTTTTAAACATATTTGTAGCTGAATTCTAAGTGCTAGAATTCTAGAACTCTAGAATTCTAGAGAGTCTAGAGAAGGGGAAGAGATTTTAGCAGCATCGATCCCAGTCCTCTTGTTTTATGGCAGTGAGAACTATGGCCTGGAGATTCAAGGCATTTTTCCAAAGCCACACACACTGTCAGTGGCAAAGCCAAGACTAAAATGTGAGCTTCTGGCCGGGCGCGGTGGCTCACGCCTGTAATCCCAGCACTTTGGGAGGCCGAGGTGGGCAAATCACCCAAAGTCAGGAATTCGAGACCAGCCTGGCCAACATGGTGAAACCTCATCTCTACTAAAAATACAAAACTAGCCAGGTGTGGTGGCAGGCACCTGTAATCCCAGCTACTTGGGAGGCTGAGGCAGGAGAATCGCTTAAACCCGGGAGGTGGAGGTTGCAGTGAGCCGAGATCAAGCCACTGCACTCCAGCTTGGGTGACAGAGCGAGACTCTGTCTCAAAAAAAAAAAAAAAAGTGAGCTTCTTAGCTTTGATCTAGAGCTCTGGCACTCACCACCTCAGGCTTCCTTGAGACTCCTTTGACAGCCCACTAGGCCCTGATGCTGGTTTTGTTGTAGGAGCACCTGACATCCAGCAGAGGGAGCAAATCTGACATCAGAGACCCTGGGCGGGGTTGAGGTTCTCTTGCATATCTTTTTTGACAAAAGACAAACAATTCCTTCTCAAATTGCACTGCAAAGAATAAGAAAATATAATCCCCTTGGATTTATTCTCTGCTTTCAGTCTAAAGGAGAAAAAGCTCCCCAGGATTCCTAAATAACAGAGAAGTTTGTAGTGTAGGAAGAATCTAGAAGTTGGGATGGAGAGAAATGTGGGAAAGTCTTACTTTTAAAGAGACATTCCCTAAAGAGGGGTAAGAAGTTCTGAAACAGTGACGTACCAGTGACCATGAATGTTTCAGAGAAGGTCAGATTTGCAGTGTGTGTCTTAGAGAAAGGCTAAATCTCAACCCAGAGGAAGCATGTCTTCTGTCTCAAGCCCCCTGCATGCTGTTTGTCTTGCAGTATCTGAACACAGTCATTCCTTACGAGAAGAAAGCCTCTCCTCCCTCAGTGGAAGACCTGCAGATGCTGACAAACAGTGAGTTCCTCTTGTTCTCAGCCAGATCAGTGGCTCCTTTTTCTCCCTTCCTGCCTGTACGTTGTACCTCCGTGCCGCAGGCCCGAGACTCCTCAAAGCAGGTTTACATGGGCCAAAATACCCTCCAAATTACTGCGTCACATCCTCCCGCACAGTGTAAAATTAAAATACTCTGCAGTGATAACCAGAGCTGTTTTTTCTTTCTCCTGGTTCCCATAAGGGAAGAGGCCTGCTGGGGGAAAAAAAAATGAGCTGGTGAAAGAGGTTGGGGTGCTGGTGCAGGGGACTTTTTGTTTTCCCCTGCAGTTCCCAAGGCTTGGCATCCTCTGCCTCCCTGTTCTCTCTCTCCCTGCAACTTGAGGTTGCCTGGTCGGCACTTGTGCCCCTTGAAGCAGGGCGCCTGGTCTCTGGGTCTGGCTGTATTTTTAATGAGAAGCAAGGTTTCTTGGGTGGGGTAAGGCTGACTGGAAAAAATAGAGTCCAGCTTTCCTTCCAGGAAGTGACTGCCTCCTCTCCTCCACTTTGCTCTATTGTCAAATATTAATAAACATTCTGAACTATGAGGGAAAACAGTGTGTAACAAAGAGCCTTTTGTAGACAGTAACTGTTTATATACATCAAACAGTACGACCCCCAAAGGGCTGGGGGGCACATGGTGTTAGCCATCAGTGTCAGCTTGGCCCTCTTAGGACGAGAAAAATCCTAGGCTGAGATGTGGTGACAGGCCCAGAGGATCACGAGGGAAATTCCATTTCCTTGGCAACCGTGCCCTGCAGAGAGTGACAGCTAACGAGGCCCCGCCCACTGCAGCCTGTTCTGGAGGGAAGGGGCCAGTGCGGGGCTACTGGATACCCAAGGAGAGGGGAAGTTGAGCTTCTGTTCAGCTGAGGAGGATGGATACCTGCTGGGGCCTGGTGCTGAAGGTGACCAAACGTTTCATTTTTTGTCAATTTGGAGAGTGAAAGCAGGAGGTTCTGGCAAACAGAAATCCTGCCTACATCATGCCTGCATCAATAGACACTGTGTCCTTGAGAATCAGGAATTTTAAAATCAAAGTACAGTGACTTGTCCTTAACTCATTGTAAACTCCTTTATTTGCATAAATATGCACTAAGTTTCTTTTTTTTTAAGGGAGAAAATAGAGATGAACTGACATTTATAGATGTTTGTGTTTTCACACAAGTTACATTTGGAAAGTAATTTGGACAAATTATGAAGGTTGATATATGTAAAGTATTCTATCATAGCTCAAAAAAATAAATAGCTATTAATTTGTTGCAGATACCCATTCAGGAATTCAGTGTGAAATCTTTTCATTTTAATTAAGAAACAGACTTTTTTCTATTTTGAGTGGTTTTGTTTACATTTTTTAAGTTCATTAAAAAAATTATAGCTAGAGTATATCCATCATTTAGACTACTTTGGAAATAAGGAAAAGCAAACAAAGAAAAATAAATAACTCATTGTCTACTCCACTATGGTTACCATTTTGGTGCTTTTCAGACTTAATATTTTGTATCTTTTCTATATAGTTGAGATTATACTGGCTGTAAAATTTTGTGTCATGATTTTAGTCACATTAGTTAACACTTTGTTAATGTTCTTTTTATGGCTATCTCTTCTATCATGTGGATATACTACCTTCCAACATTTTATTGCTTTTAGAAAAAAAACCTGCCATCTTTTCTGAATACCAATTCTCCTGTAGGTTATGAAGCCTCTCTTTTTTGGCAGATCCTCATATGAATTTGTGAACAATGCCTCTTCTCTCTTCTACTCTTTGAACTAAGTACATAGGCCAAAGACCAGCTCCTGCGACTAGCCAATCCTTGTAAATTTTAGATTTTGGAGATTAATTTAGATACGTATTGGCAAGAGCAATTATTGTATTTTTACGTGATCTTCGTGGTGTGGCATTTAGTCTGCTTATGCTCAGTTGCAAAGTGTTCTTGACAACTAAGCTGAAATGAAGGCATGTCTAAAAATGCAGAAAAAAATAAAACAGGCCGAGTATGGTGGCTCACGCCTGTAATCCCAGCACTTTGGGAGGCCGAGGCGGGTGGATCACCTGAGGTCAGGAGTTTGAGACCAGCCTGGCCAACATGGTGAAACCCCCATCTCTACTAAAAATACAAAAAATTAGCCAGATGTGGTGGTGCACGCCTGTAATCCCAGCTACTTGGGAGGCTGAGGCAGGAGAATCGCTTGAACCCGGGAGGCGGAGGTTGCAGTGAGCTGAGATCGCACCACTGCACTCCAGCCTGGATGACAAGAGTGAAACTCCGTCTCAAAAAAAAAAAAAAACCCAGAAGAAACCAGGACCCCCTAGAATCCACTTAAGCTGAGATGAATACATGTCTAAAGATACAGAAGAAATAAAACAGAAACAAACCAACCCCTCAATGGCCTCAGGTTGAGTCTCTTTTTCTGGACCTGGCTGCTGACTCACGCCACCATTGGATTTTCTTCCTCACTCACTCCTAATTCTTGGATTCAAGTTTCATTACCCTGTCTTGAAACTAGTCAAGGTAATCAATCAAAGGAGGACAAGGATATCGAAATGAAGTGGCAATCCCACTGTTGCAGCTGCCTTCTGACCCTAGCTATCAGTGCCAGTTGATCTTTAGTGTTTTCTTGGCTTACAAAAGTAATACATGCTCATTGAGAAAAGCCAGACCCCACAGAAATGCAGCATAGAAAAGAACATCCCCTATTGTCTTACACTCAGAGATAACTACTTAACAGTTTCATGTATTATTGTTCTAGATTTTTTTTCTATGAACATTAGCATTTAATTATAAAGTTAATAAATGTTCTGTAACCTTTCTTCACTGATAACTATGTCTTGTACATATAGCTCTCTCTTATTTTTCTTTTCTTCCTCTTCTTCTTTTTTTTTTTTTTTTTTTTTTTTTTATAGAGACAAAGTCTTGCTATGTTGTCCAGGATGGTCTTTTTCTTGTTTTTGAGACAGAGTCTCACTCTGTTGCCCAGGTTGGAGTGCAGTGGCATGATCACAGGTCACTTTGGGAGGCCAAGTGGGGAAGATTGCTTGAGCCCAGGAGTTCAAGACCAGCCTGGGCAACATGGCAAAACCTCATCTTTACTAAAAAAAAAAAAAAAATTAGCTGGGCATAGTGGCACGTGCCTGTAAGTCTCAGCTACTTGGGAGGCTGAGAGGGGGAGGATTACTTGAACCCAGGAGTTTGAGGCTGTAGTGAGCTGAGAACACGCCACTGCACTTCAGCCTGTGTGGCAGGGCGAGATCCTGTCTCAAAAATAAAAAAGAAAAGAAAGTCACCAGTAGGTCCACTACCTAGAGACAAACACTGTGGCTCTTGCTGTGTTCTCGTCTATCACCATGTGCAGGTTTGTTACGGGGGCATATTGCGTGATGCCTCTCAAGTACTTTGGACTACAGGCGTGTGCCACCACACCCAGCTATCTTTTTTTTTTTTAATTAGAAATGAGGTTCTGCCATATTGCCCAGGCTGGTCTTGAATGCCTGGGCTCAAGGTCTGGGTTACAACTGAAACTAAACCTGTCACCCAGGTAGTGAACATAGTACCGGATAGGTAGTTTTTTAGCCCTTGCCCCTGAAATGCTGACCCCTGATAGAGCCTTCTAGACTTTTGCTCAATACTCAATAAATGTCTGGTTCTTTTGAATCATTTCTCTCTCACTCTGGGCTGGTGGGTCATGTGGCCCTAGAAGTGAACCTCTGACCAGATGGTATCTTAGTTCCTCTCTCTGTCTCCTTTCCTAGTTCTCTTTGCCATGAAGGAGGATAATGAGAAGGTGCCTACTTTGCTAACGGACTACATTTTAAAAGGTAAGAGCAGCCCCAGGCCTCCTGGAGCAGAAGGGGTTCTCTGGAGCTCCTGCTCCAGTTAGGGAACCTTCCCAGCTTGCCCATGCCAGACCAGACCAGGCAGGGGCCAGGGAAATCAGGGACAATTGAAAGGCTTTGGAGTAATAGGTTTTCCCTTTGGGTGTTGCCAGGAGGCCGCAGGAGGAGATTCCATCACCCCCGAGTCACCAGTGACTTTCCTTGGAGCAACAAACCAACAAAGGACTTATTGTGAAAATTCTGCAGAGTTTGGGCTACTTAGTATTTAGTTGGGAAAAACAAAACCTGATGATAATTTAATACTTTTCAAGCACTTGAAAGGAAGCTGGAGACATAATTGACTACACCCTTTCATAACTTTTTAACCTTGTCTTATGGAAACTGGTTGTACATACAAGAGTAGAGGAAATGGCATAATACACTCTCAGGTACTGATGAGCTGGCATCAACAGTTATTAAGTCCCGGCCAGGCTTATTTCATTTACGCCTCTACCCAACTTCTCCCCTCCCATGTTATTTTAAAGCAAATCTCTGTCATAGTTTTCATGCATAACTATTTCGGTATGCATTTCTAAAACATAGGAACTCTTGAGGAAAACATAGCCATAATACCATTTCACAACTAAAACAAATGAAGAGTTTCTTTCTTTTTTTTTTTTTTTGAGATGGAATCTCGCTCTGTCACCCAGTCTGGAGTGCAATGGCGTGATCTCAGCTCACTACAACCTCCGCCTCCTGGATTCAAGCAATTCTCCTGCCTCAGCCTCCTAAGTAGCTGGGATTACAGGCGCCTGCCACCATGCTCAACTAATTTTTGTATTTTTAGTAGAGACGGGGTTTCACCATGTTGGCCAGGGTGGTCTCAAACTCCTGACTTCAGGTGATCCACTCGCCTTGGCCTCCCAAAGTGCTGGGATTACAGGAATGAGCCACTGTGCCCAGCCAAGAGTTTCTTAGTACTGACTATCCAATCAGTATTCCCTGTTTTTCCCATAAAGTATTTTTCAGTTTATTTGTTTGAATCAGGGGCCAATAAAGATCAGTAGGTTGCAATTAGATAATAATATGTCTCTTACATCTCTTTGATGTATATAGGTTCCCCTTTTCTTTCTCTCTTCCATTTCTTGAAATGCATTTGTTGGAGAAACTAGGTTGTTTGTGCCATAGAATTTCCTCATTGTGGATTTTTGCTAATTTCATCCCCATGGTGTAATTTAATATGTTCTCCTGTCTTCTTTATTGCCTGTGAACTGATAGAACTGGAAGCCTGATCAGATACAGCTTCCGATTTTTTGATAAGCACTACATTATAGGTGGTTATAGGTTTCCAGACTTCCATGGGGTGACATATATTGTCTGATTGTCTTTCCTTTTGTGATGTTAATAGTCCTTGAGGATTGCTCACTGTCTAGATCTATTATTTTATTGTTTTTTGTCCTGCATGCACACAAAACTATGTACGGTTGCAGAGGGACCATATTTGTGGGACCTATAGCTAAGAAATCCTGAGATATATTGTTTCTATAAGGATCAGAAGGACTAATCTTAAATTTCAGCAGGAGGAACTTAGAGTAAACATTAAAAATAACTTGTCCAGCCTGGGCAACATGGTGAGACCGCGTCTCAATTAAAAAAAAAATCAGCCAGGTGTAGTGGTGCGCGCCTGTAGTCCCAACTACTCAGGAGGCTGAGGTGAGAGGATCACTTGAACCCAGGAGCTGAGACTGCAGTGGGGGCTGTGATCACACCACTGCATCCAGCCTGGGTGACACAGCAAGACCCTGTCTCAAAAAAACAAACAAACAAACCACAAAACAAAACAACAACAACAACAACAACAAAACACAAAAAACCACAGAAAGGGTTTGTGACTCAAAGATTTTAAAAGAGCAGCACATTTCTCAAAGGAGGTTCTCAAAGGAGGATTATAGAAACAGGTTATATAAATTTGGTAGTCGGAGGGCTGGACTTTACCCCTCACGAGCCACTGAGTTGTCACTGAATTTGTACAAGTGATTAATATTTACTCAGCACTTGCCACATGCCTCTCAACAACCCTGCGGGGTAGGCGCAGGTACGTTCTATTGTATTGATGAAGAAACAAGCATGGAAAGGTGAAGTTAATTTCCCTAAGGTCATGTAGTTAGTAATGGCTGGATCCAGGATTTGAACTCAGGCCCCGGAGACTACACGCTTAGTTATTATAACCAGCAACCACCTGCCATTGTCTCTCCCTTATTCTAGGCACTAAGTGGGGGCTGTCACCACTCAGGAGCTGGTGTGACTGCTCTCAGCTAGGGCTATCCAGGGCTCGGAGGTCCCCACCTGCAACTGTGTTCTGACCGCTCTCCCCTCCTCTCTTCTCGTTGCAGTGCTCTGCCCTACCTAACCTTGCCCTTTGGAGCAGCCTCGCTGCAGGAGGTCACTGAGCAAGAGTCATTCCATCACAGGGACTGCATGAGACCATGTAACCTCCGACATGTATTTAAACGTGTATAGCTTAACCTGGATTAAACACGAGCAAGCGCGCGGGGTCCTTTGCCGTTGGCTTCTAGTGCTAGTAATCATTGGATGCATGATGGGGCAGGGCCGGTGATGGTGCCTCCCCCTTGCTGGTGTCAGGAGAGGGGAAGGCAGCCGCTTTCACCGCTCATTATGTAGTCTGGCTACAGCCCTCAAAAACAGCTTATACTCTTAAGACTAATTTTGAAATAAAACCTTCATTTAATTAATATTCTTCATGTGCTTTGGAGTGTGATGTCCATTAGCCCTCTGCTCCAGACTCCAGAGACGGGCTGTATAGCATTCTTTGCACGCCGGCCTGTGGCCTGTGGCAGCCAGTGCTGTGTTTAGGGACCGGGCGCATGTCCTGTTGTGGGTCGTGGTGGGATCATGGGACACAGTGGGGCTGCATACAGCATAGGCAGAAGGAGACCCTCTGCAACCTCAGTTTTTGCTGCTCAGCCACATGCAAGGGAGCTGCACCAGGGGCTGCAGAAAGGAGCTGGTCAGAGTGGGTGAGACGGGGGTGAGAGTGTGCAATTAGCAGATAGAAAGTGGGCCTCATGGAGGAGCCACACAGCTGCAGATCTCCTGGTGGGATGGCCAGGCTGGCCCTGGAGACCCTCCCCAGGCTGTCCACGGGGACCTGGAGGCTCAGGGCCTGCGGGAAGTCAGCTCTGCTGAGCTTTCCCAACGTAGGGGACTGCAACTTGTTTCCTGTACTTGACGAAACCACCACTCCCTGTTTGTCCCCAACGACCCCTGGCAACAGTGTCCTTTGACTTTGCAGTGCTGTCCTGGCCCTTCCCGCGGCCCTCCATGAACAGCAGCTCTGACTCCTCGCACTGTCTCCAGCATTGATGGCAGGCAGCTGCCAGCCTTGACCAACCAGCAGGCGAAGGTCTCCTCGTATCCCGGATGCTGGCTCGATCTCACCACAGTCTGAATTCTGTTGGCTTCCGTCTTCTGGCTTGAAAGACATTGAGCCTGCCAATTCCCATATCCTCCTCTGAAAGCAAAAACTTGTACTGGGCACTTGCTGTAGCCTGCACTGGCTTCATCGTGCATTAGCACACATCACAGCATCACCACGTGTAAACAGGTGCTAGTATGATCCCGATTTTGCAGAGGAGGAAACCAAGCAGCAGAGATGTTCAGTAGCTCGCCCAAGGCTGTGTAGGAAGTGGTAGAGTCAGGCTGGCATTTAGGTTTCTTATCCAGTGAGACTTCCATTGATTCCCAGGAGTTTAGTGTCTGCTTGAACTAAGCATGCCACAGAGAAAGCCATACTTTATCACATCAGCAGCTCCACAGAAGGCCACAGAATCCATCTAGGGGACACAGAAGGCACTCCCAGTGCCCTGCCTCCCTTCCTGGGCCTCTGCTTTTTTTTTTTCAGACGGAGTTTGACTCTTGTTGCTCAGGCTGGAGTACAATGGCGCTATCTCAGCTCGCCGCAAACTCCGCCTCCCACGTTCAAGTGATTCTCCTGCCTCAGCCTCCCGAGTAGCTGGGATTACAGGCATGCAGCACCACACCCAGCTAATTTTATATTTTTAGTAGAGACCAGGTTTCTACATGTTGGTCAGGTTGGTCTCGAACTCCCGACCTCAGGCGATCTGCCCTCCTAGGCTTCCCAAAGTGCTGGGATTATAGGCGTGAGTCACCGCGCCTAGCTCGGCTTCTGCTTTTCCAGAAGCAGAACACTAGCAATCTTAGCTAGGGGTGGCGGAGACTTATCCCCCCAGGAAAACTGCTGCAATGCCTAAAGCTCTAGTCCAGGCATCTGCCCAGAGCAGAGCTTCTCCATAGATAGAGCCCCGGCTGCCACAGGAGCATGGAAGTGACAACTCGTCCTGTGATAAAAGGGCATGGATTCAGTTCGGCAGTTCACTGGTGCTAAGGCTGAACATGCCCAGGGTCATTAGTGGTGTGAGGTCATTAGCATGTTTAGCACTCTGCCGGCGACGGGGTTTTTCACCAGCCTCAGCAAAGGGGAAGCAGTGAATTCCTGAGAGCTTTTCTTCCTGCCTTGGATTTGTCAGATCTGGGTCAGCCACTCCTTTCCCCCAATTTATCCTGCCAGCAGGTGTCTGAAGCGGCAGAGACAAGCTAATCAAAGCTGCTGGGAGTTAAAAATAAATCTCGAGTGTTGGGGATACACTCTGGCTAGGAGGAGGTGAGCAGGGCAGGCTGAAAACAGTGGCTCCTCCTTTCTCTCTTGTTTGTCCGTCTATCAGGAGTTTAAGGGGAATATGAAATCAATTCCTCATGGTTTTGCATTGCCCTTCCCTGTGTTCTTCCTATTCAAAGTGTGCTTTCCAGGCCAGCAGCACTGACCGCACTTAGAAGCTTGTTAGAAATGCAAAATCTCAGGCCCCACATCAGGCCTACTAAGTCAGAATTTGCATTTTAACAAGGTCTCCCTTTAAAAGGGAGGCAGCTCTTCTCTTAAAAGGAGCCTGGGTTTTGTGCCTTGAGTTCAAATGCAGCTCTACTACGTATTAAGCTAAATCTCCCTGCAACTTGTATTTGCATCAAGGATTAGAGAAACTCTGCCCTAGGTTTTCAGAGTTGCTGAATCCTTGACTCTTCAATGCTGAACCTAGGGAATTTGTGGCTAGTGTGATTATCAGGTGAACCCAATTGTCTTCCCTCAGCTTTTCCCTCTTCTGGTCTTTCTGGATTGTAGAAACCTCACAGAAGAGTCCCAAGAATTAACTGATTTTCAGGCCTGAGTCAATCCTGATTGCAAAACTCAAGTCCTGTCTAGGATGTCCGCACTCCGCAAAGTGTGCCAGAGAGCCACGGTCTGCAGGGAGCCCTCCTAGGTAGGTCAGAGGTCTGTCTGGCAAATACAGCCTATAAATGAGGTATGTTTCCATCAATTAAAGGATTTTGCTAGGCCTAGTCTGGTCAAGTTCTGGTAAGAAAACTCCACCACAGGGCCGGGCGTGGTGGCTCATGCCTGTAATCCCAGAACTTTGGGAGGCCGAGGTGGGCAGATCACCTGAGGTCAGGAGTTTGAGACCAGCCTGGCCAACATGGTGAAACCCCCTCTCTACTGAAAATACAAAAATTAGCCAGCTGTAGTGGTGCACGCCTGTAGTCCCAGCTTACTTGGGAGGCTGAGGCAGGAAAATCACTTGAACCCAGGAGGCGGAGGTTGCAATGAGCTGAGATTGTGCCACTGCACTCCAGCGTGGGTGACAGAGCAAGACTTTATCTCAAAAAAAAAAAAAAAAAAAAAAAAAGGAAAACACCATGGCACCAGAGGCCAGCCTTTATTTATGTGTAATTGAAACAAATGGTCATGCGGGAAAAACTGTTTTTCAAATGGAATATTCCAACAGTCTCTATCCTTTCGTCTCTACTTCAGGAGACCAATGTGATACTTCAGAAAGAAAACCCAAAGGGAGCATTTTGTGACCCTAAGTTTGTGGGACAAATTGGATTTTTAAAGTTAAATAAACCCTTTTCATACTTGCTGGACTAATGTCTGGAGAATGACTATCTTCCACTGGTGGTCAGGGAAGAAGGGATGGAGACCGTTAATGAGGAGACCTGGTCCTCCAGGTGTCTTAGGGTTCATTATAACCCAAGTCTTAATGGACTTCACCGAGTCCATGCCCAAGCCTCTTTTGAGCACCCACTATGTCCCAGGCACTCCCACCACAGCCCGGTCACTGAGAGGTTTAGGGGTCTCACCAGAGGTCAAAGGCAAAAAGCACCCCAGGACGCCCAGCTTTCTTTGCAGCAGAAGCAAGAAATGGGGAGTGGCAGCTTCGTTTCCAGGGAAGCCAGGAGAGGTGACTCTCATCACCCAGTCAGCCTCCGTAATTAGTATGCGTGGAGTGGAAAGTAATTAAATGCTACTCTTGGAGAAGAGATACTTGCGTTCTTGATGGCGCCTGATTATTTATTTCCTTGAGAGGATGAGAGAATGGTCGTTAGGGTTTCTGTCTGAGCCTGAGGTTTGCTCTCTTCCCTTCATCAGGGAAGGGAAGCCAAGGCCACTTTGCTCGCTGGGAAAGTGCTTTGGTTTCTTACTAATGCCTTTCTTCTAAAAGAACAATGAGCCACCTTAGCCCACAGCCCAGCAGCTCTGCACCCCGCCCAAGCCCTCATGCATATTCATCCTGCTTCAAAGAGCACAACATGGAATATGCAAATTAGCCATGCAGGAGCTGGTTGGCATTTTGATAACAGCTTTGTCTGAAAAACCCCAGAGACACATGCACATCTAGTTTCTCTCTTTCTCCCTTTCTCTTTTCTCTACCCCTGTGTCCTGCTTCTCACTCTCTTCCATTCCCAGCCTCCCAGAGAACAGGAAAATGAATCACAGAACCAAAGAAGCAAGTTATGGAGGAGCCCGGTGTCTCTATACCAGTCCAGTGTATTTCCACTTCTGCCTCTCCTCTCTCCTCCTTCAACAGAGTCGTTTTATTTTTTCCTACCAAAGTGTTGCCTGATCTGACAACATCCCAAGGTTTCCGGCTTGTCCTATGCTCTCCGTTGACTCCCCCGACTCTTGCCTGGGGACCCATTCTATGCCTGTCTCTCAGGGATTAACTTCCTTCCCTTTGTCTTTCTTCCATCTTCCAACCTGTTTTGCCCTTACTCTCAGCAGTCAAGGCTAAGAACCTAAGAACCTAGCCTTGCCTTCCAAGCAAGAAAGGAAAGGAATCAGCTGCACAGATCAGGAGAGAAGGTTTGGATATCAGCTGTCATCACCGACAGGTCACTGGGACTCAACATTTCCTGACACACACCAATTTCCAAAACACATCTGCACAACCATCACCAACAGTGCCGACGGCGGTGCTACTGCCCCCTCCTTTATCCCAGCAGCAGCGTCTCCTTCATGAGTTGCTTTCTAACCCCCTCCCATAGCAGAGCTACTTGAATAGCATGAAGAGGATTTTCTTAAGTTCAGATGACGTGAGTCCCGCTCCTTCTCCCCGAAATGCAGATGGTCAAGTCAGGAGCTGGTGGGTGACAGAGTAGGTGCTCTGCTATGGGAGAAGCAGGCTGGGGCTTGAAGCCCACATCCTTAGATGCTGTTTCATCCAGGACCTTGGAGGAGAAAGGCATAGGCAGGTGCAGGGATACAAGCACCTCTTGGGATTTGAGGACAGAGGGGGCCTCTCTCCTTGACTCCAAAGGCCAGCCTGGGTCAGCCAATGATTGGGGAGGCAGCTTATCTCCTAAAAGGAGCATGGGCTTTGTGCCTTGAGTTCAAATCCAGCTCTAGATACATATTAAGCTAAATAATTTTTTAGAAAATTACTTAATTTCTCTGAGCCTTGGTTTCCTCATTTAAAAAATGGGAATACTAATATTAATAATACTAGCAATTCTCCCACAGTTGTTTTAAATAATCTTTAGTGTCTAGCATATATGCTACGTGCTCAATGAAGTGTGACTTTTATTTTTTCCTAGTAAACTTTGAAAAGAGAAAGTGCTGGTTCTGTTGCGTCTTTAGCCTTGGGGACGTGACCATTTTTTCAATTCAACAGGCACAAAAAACCCGAAAACAAAATCAAAACAAGACAAGTACAACCTAGCCTGTTGCCCTAAAACGAGCTTTTTTTTTTCTTTTTCTGAGATGGGGTTTTGGAGTTTCACTAGTCGCCCAGGCTGGAGTGCAATGGTGTGATCTCAGCTCACTGCAACCTCTGCCTCCAGGTTCAAGTGATTCTCCTGCCTCAGCCTCTTGAGTAAGTGGGATTACAGCTGCTTGCTACCACGCCCTGCTAATTTTTAAAATATTTTTAGTAGAGATGGGGTTTCATCATGTTGGCCAGGCTGGTTTCGAACTCCTGACCTCAAGTGATCCACCAGCCTCGGCCTCCCAAAGTGCTGGGATTACAGGCATGAGCCGCCATGCCTGGCCTAAAACCAGCTTTACACCTACCCTTTATGCTCATTAAATCCTGCTTAGTGGTAGCCCAGGGAGCCCTGGTGCTTGCGGATTCTGGAACTAGCGGCCTCCAAGTACATCTGGACAAGAAGACAAAGTGAAGTGGCAAGAGTGGGAGTGTATTCTGGCTTCTCAGCAGGTTCATTCAAGGGAAGGGGTGGAGGAGGGATAGTGAAAAGTCACATTTATTTTTGAGCTTAGAGAACAGACTCTATTTCCACTGGCAAAGAGATGGGTGGGTTCACAGAAGAAAAACACACAGACCACTGCAGACATGCTCAGGGAAGCCTCCTGTGCTTTATGGATAGGCAAGACAGGTGGGAACATGAGGATTAGTTGAAGAGGTTGGAGAAAGGTCCTGTAGATCTCCTGAACTGCTGCTGCTACAAATTACATAAGCCCTGAAGACCACAAGTATGCAGTCTGGAGGGTTCCTACATATTCCCTCTGTCTGCAGAAGGCAGAGCTCAGATCACTGGGTGGAAGTTGGAGGGATCAGTTGGCTCTGTGTAACAACTTGGGTTTCTTTGCCCTGGGAGGTAGTGCGCAGTGTAAGGTAAAGAGAAATGACATTTTTTTTTTTTTTTTTTTTTGAGACGAGGTTTTGCTCTGTCATCCAGGCTGGAGTACAGTGGCATGATCATGGCTCACTGCAGCTTCAGCCTCCCGGGCTCAAGCAGTCCTCTCACCTCAGCCTCCTGGGTAGCTGGGACTACAGGCACGGGCAACCATGCCTGGCTATATATATTTTTATTTTTATTTTTGTACATATGGTGTGGGGGGGGTCTCACTATGTTGTCTAGGCTGGTCTCAAACTCCTGGGCTCAAGCAGTCCTCCTGCCTCGGCTTCCCAAAGTGTTGGGATTACAGGTGTGACCCACTGTGCCTGGCCAGGAGATGACAATTTAGTGTTCCGTGGGCAGGGTTCCTATATGGCACGGGTGAGTTGGGATTACTGACCCACAGTACCCTTTTCAGGGCTGAGAAATGATTTTTTTTTTAAACTCTAGGCTTGGATTCTTGTTAAGACACAAATTCAGCTGAGACGAGCAATACTGAGAGCATCAGGTGTTTTCCGCTCAGAGCGACTCACTGCAGGTCCTTTTGTGGAATCAGGTTGAGAATCTCTGGGGTGCTATTAAAAATGCACCTACCTGTGCTGCACCCTGTGAGTTTCTGATTCAGTAGATGGAGAATAGAACTTGGGTGCCTGTAACTGAAGCTTGCTCAGCAATTCTAAAGTGCATTCCAGCTGAGAAGCCCTGGGTTAGGGGTTGGAGGAGAGATGAAGACACCATTGGATTGGGAGGTGGGGAAGATTCCATCATAACAGAGCAGTTATTTAATATTTCACCTCCTTCCAAAATGTGTCCCCACACGATTCACAGTGTTCTCCAGTTGAAAAGGAAGCCAGACGTGTGAAGCTGTCTGGCTGTTGGAAGCTGGGCAATGATGTCAATGTCAGCTTCTCCAGCAGGGTGGGTGGCTTCCAAGGAGAGCAGCTGCATTCCCAGGAGAAGCCGAGAAGCTGCTAAGCTGTCATCCACAAGACTAGAGTTTCATGGACTATCAACCGAAGGGGCTCCTAGTGCCGTCTCCTCTAATCCCCTCAATATGCACATGAGGGAAGTTGCTTCAGATGGTCCCTGTGTGTAAGGGAAAGTTACGGGCAGAATCTCAACTACATCCAGGGGAGCCCAGTGTTCTTTCCTGTGCAAAGGGGTCAGGGGAGGTCCACAGATGGGCAGAGCTGGCCTTAAATGAATTTGGTAGAATAAAAATTTTGCAATACATCAGTGGAAACAGCTAGAATTTCTAGAACCTAGAAATTCACAGGAATAACAGGTGGATGTGAGGTATACACACCTGTAGTAGAATCTCTGAATAATAAGATGAGAAAAATGCAAAAATGAAAAGGTATAATGAGATACACATAACTGAAGGGAATTGTCTTAAATGGCTGATTGTAATGAGATGTACATAAATTGTAAGGCTTGTAATGAAATGAAAAGAAATCATATTCTTGCCTGATAATACTGGGTGTAATGTCTATACCAGAAATAAGTTGTCTCAGTGCATTGAGTGTAATGAGATGCACATAATTTTAAAGAGCGTAATGAGATGAAAAATAAATCAAACACTTGTCTTAAAATGAAAGATGTACTAAGATGCACACACCTGAAGGGCATTGTCCTAAATGGGTTCGATTTAATGAGATGCATTTAATTTGCAAAGGGGCTAAATGAGATTGGCCCAGAGAGAGGCTGAGAAAAAGTATAAGATACGCTGGAAAGTGGTATAATAAAACCTGCCTCATCTGTGGGATGGAAATAAGATGCCAAAGTGGAAATGGAGCGTGTGAGGTGACCACCATTCTGTCAGTCCTCGGTGCTCGGTCCCTTGGTCTGTGATGCTCTGCAAAATTCATCATCCTTTGTCCCTCATAGGTTACCAGGCACATAGTGGGCACCCGGGAATTTGTACTGAATGAATCACTGGCTTGAGGGTGGTAGTGTATCTGGCTAAAGGAAGTTAAAGGAGCAGCTATAAAGCAAGGAGCTTCAAAAGATGATTGAAAATTATTTTCTTTTTTTTTTAAATTTTTATTTTTGAGACAGAGTCTCACTCTGTTGCCCAGGCTGGAGTGCAGTGGCGCTATCTCGGCTCACTGCAACCTCCACCTCCCAAGTTCAAGCGATTCTCATGCCCCAACCTCCCAAGTAGCTGGGACTACAGGTGCATGCCACCACATTTGAGTAATTTTTATATTTTTAGTAGAGACAGGGTTTCACCATGTTGGCCAGGCTGGTCTCAAACTCCTGACCTCAAGTGATCTGCCTGCCTCAGCCTCCCAAAGTGCTGGGCATGAGCCACCATGCCCGGCCAACAATTGAAAACTATTTTCTGAGAGCAATGCTCCTCCAAGTCTTTGGGCATCTTGCCTAGCTATCTGGGGCAAACACCGGTTGTGGAACCTACATTGTATCTATAACAAGCAACCCTGGTGATTTTTATGCCTCTAGCCTCATTGTTGCCTGGGGAGGCAAGGTAGGCAGAAAATGTATGAGTGAAGATATCTGGATACGAGACACAGGTATACTTTGCAATGAAAGGTAGGAGTACTTTTATGCCCACAAACAAATACATTCTCTCCAATATTTTGTACCAAAGGCAGGGCCCTCCCTCTTGGACTATCTTGTTTTCTTACTCTTTTTTTTTTTTTTTTTTTTTTGAGATGGAGTCTTGCCCTGTCACCCAGGCTGGAGTGCAATGGCATGATCTCGGCTCACTGCAAATTCCGTCTCCCAGGTTCAAGTGATTCTCCTGCCTCAGCCTCCCGAGTAGCTGGGATTACAGGCATGCACCTCTATGCCCAGGTAATTTTTGTATTTTTAGTACAGACGGGGTTTCACCATGTTGGCCAGGCTGGTCTCGAACTCCTGACCTCATGATCCACCCGCCTTGACCTCCCAATTGGTCAAACTCAATTGACCTCAGGCCTCCCAGTTGGCCTCCCAAGAGGCCAAGCAATCCTCTTGATGGATTAATGAGTAGAGATAAATATTTCCCTTCTTAAAAACAACCACTTAGCTATTACAGCAAAAGGGGGTTTAAAAAAAAGGACATGGGGGAAGCTTAACTAAGCCACCAGCCACCCAAATAGTGACAGCCAATAGTAAATAAGCAATGAACCCTCAGCCTCCGTGTTGGGGAGACCACAGGGGCTGCGAATGTCCTGATGACACAGAGAACGTGCCTTAGGGGGCAGCAGTTAATTCAACTACACTCAATCATGGCCAAGTGGGATTATATAGGTCCCAAGTCGCCTGATTGCCTGATTTTTCAGGAGAAGCCAGGAATCTGATTTTTTAATGTGTAACCTTCTAACTTTTAAAAGTTGGCACACAATTTTTAGACAATATATGGCTCAAAACAGGTCTGAAAATTGAGCTTAACCTGAACCTCACAGTGGAGCTGAAAGCTTCCTGCTTTGCAACTCTGAATGAAGAAGTTTGAGTTCTCTGTGGTAAGGATGAGATCATAGTTATAGCCATTACAAGGATGCTACGAGCACTCTTTCAGTCTCAATCTTTTTCTTTTTTCTCATGCATATTCATTTTAAAATAGTAGAGATGCGGGCAGGTGGGGGCGGGTCTCACTATGTTTCCCAGACTGGTCTTAAAATCCTGGGCTCAGTGATCCTTCCACCTTGGACAACCAAAGGGTTGGGATTACAGGTGTGAGCCACCGTACCTGGCCCAGTCTCAGTTGTTTCTAGTAGAATGTAAACTCCCTGAAGTAAAGAACGCTGTCCTTGTTAGCCACAGGTGTATTCTTGTAAAACAGTGCCTGGGACAGAGTCGGGGCTTGATAAATGCATGCTGAGATAATGAATGACTCATCAGGAATGAATTGGAGCAGGCTGCAGTGTGGTGGTCATTGCCCTCCTGGGGCCCCATGCAAGGCAGGAGAGGGGATCCTCGGTCAAGGAAGTTGAGCTCTGGCCACCAACTCCCATGAGCAGGATCTCTGAGCTTGAAAAGTCTTTCCTGATGGGTCGGGGGGTGGGGGGCAGAAGTCAGTCTGAGAGTTGCCAGAGCCCTGATATCAGAGTTCGGTTTTGGGTAAAGGAAACCTTCCCCTACCCCTCGCCCTGTCATCCATCTCTTGAATTTCCACAGGGATTATGGCGTGTCTTTTCCTTGGGTTGGGCAGCATTTGGGTCATGCACAGAGAGAGGTTGTTGGCTCCTAAAAATACAACTACCTACATCTCAAGTGATTTCAGAAACCCCTTTTCAGCCGGGAGTGGTAGCTCACGCCTGTAACCTCAGCACTTCGGGTTGCCGAGGCAGGCAGATCTCTTGAGCTCAGGAGTTGGAGACCAGCCTGGGCAACATGACAAAACCCCATCTCTGCAAACACAAAACAAAACAAAAAAATTAGCTGGGCCTTGTGGTGCATGCCTGTAGTCTCAGCTACTCAGGAGGCCAAGGCAGGATAATCACTTGAACCTGGGAGGCGGAGGTTGCAGTAAGCCGAAATTGTGCCATGGTACTCCGGCCTGAGTGATGGGAGTGAAACCCTGTCTCAAAAATAAATAAATAAATAAATAATAATAATTTTAAAAGGCCGGGCGCAGTGGCTCACACCTGTAATCCCAGCACTTTCGGAGGCCAAGGCAGGTGGGTCACCTGAGGTCCGGAGTTCAAGACCAGCTTGACCAACATGGAGAAACCCCATCTCTACTAAAAATACAAAATTAGCAGGGTGTGTTGATTCATGCCTGTAATCCCAGCTACTTGGAAGGCTGAGGCAGGAGAATCGCTTGAACCCGGGAGGCAGAGGTTGCGGTGAGCCGAGATCGTGCCATTGCACTCCAGCCCTCCAGCCTGGGCAACAAGAGCAAAACTCCATCTCAAAAAAAAAAAGAAAAGAAAAAAGAAACCCACTTTCAGTTGGCAGCGTGGTTGAAAAGATGGCTGGCAGAACTTGATAGAAAAACTTGGCGGGGAGAGTGTAGGACAGGCTACTCTGCAATTTCTTTAGAATAGTGTTCCCTAAAGTGTGTTTTGTGGAATATTGGTATAACTTGAATAGATATTACTTGAAAAAAAGGGAGGTGGAGCAAATCTCGGAACAATTGAAACAAAGTTCAACAGGTTTCTTTCCTGTAGGACTTTTTAGAGCCTTTAGTATAATAATGTGCATGATGAAACTCTACTAACAAAACAGAATATGCAGTTAATCTTAGGCTAATTTGGGCATGGATTTTTTTTTTTTTTTTTGGTAGCATATCTTTCAACAGTGTGTTCCTTAGAAACCACTGTCTTAAAGGACTGTTGTCTTCCCAGCTCTGGAGGTGAGGTTCCAATCATCGTGCAGTTCTTAAGATTTTCTTCCTCTACCTAGAGAGGCGGGGTTTCTGTAGGGTTTGCAGAACTCTCTCCAGGTGTGAGGAGGGGGAGAGATGTTGGGCTCCCTGAGGGCAGTGATGCAGGGAACTCCACCAGAGCTGGTCAGAGCCCACTTCGCCTGTGTAACCAACCACTGGCTTCCCTATCTTCCACCTGGCCATGGGGTGATCTGCCAGTACGTGCAAACTCTCCAGCATTCCTGAACATGAACAAGGCACTCCCTTCCTGCTTCTAAACAGATGCCCCAGACCTCTCAGCAAGTGTGGCTAAAGAAGGTACCCTCTCGTCTGGAGCTGACAAGAAGGCCTGCCTCTCACTTCTGTGTGGAGATCAGCTGCCTGAGTTTCTTCTTGCCTGGGGGATTATGGTGCTGATCCCTGGGATTCAAGGCCGGGAATGGAGACAGGAAAGCAAAAGCCTTTGAGGGAGGTGGAGTATGGTGGACAAGAGGGACCAGATTCATAGCTTCCGCTGCGGTCGGGGAAGCTGTCAGGAGAGGGCAGTGCAGAGCTTCCTTGCCTTCTCTCCCTAGCTCTGCCTTACAACCGGCCGCACACAAGGTGAGTGTGCTGAAATTGGCTCTTCCTCCCCAGACAGGGCAGCTGAGCTCACGCAGGACGCACATCTACCTTGTCCCCTTCCCTGGGTAGTCAGGTGTATACTGAGGCCTCCAAATTTTGTCTGGCCTCTGGTCCCATGAAAAGAGCAAAGGATTGCCACAGCAACCACAGAAAGAGAATTGTGCACCAGGGTTACGGTAGGTAATAAGATTTACTGAAAACGTCTCGGCCACATTCAGTACTGGTTTGGTGGATACATCAGAAGGAGGTTGCATAACATTAGGCAGGTGGAGGGGCTGAGAGGAAGAGATGTGGGCACCTGTGTGCCAGTGTGTCCGTGCTGGGGGACGCCTGTCCAGGTGGTGAGTGGAACGGTGTGTGTGTGTGTCTGTGTGCGCGTGTTAACAAGAAAAACGAACCAGAAAAGGAAATGCATTTTATCCCACTGCACATTGCAAAAGTCTCACGCCAAAAAAGCTAGACTTTCCTCTATGTATGGCATCAAAAGGGAGTAAAAAATGATTGGATCACCCAGATTATAAATAAGGTTATTTGTTTCTCAAAAATCCTTATTAAAACATTAAATATCAGCTCTTTTGGGGGAGAAATACATTCATTTCAGGGAGACCTCGGAAGAGTGACCATCCTTTTGCTCTACCCCAACCAGGTGGGGGAGGGGAAGCCCCAGAGGGCCCAAGGGGTCCCCTCCAGTTGAGCCAGGTAGCCACTCACATCCTGCCACTGAAGGAGGTGGCCAATGCACAATTTACAAATGAAACTGCACGTCCATTAAATTAAACCCAATGGAAAACACACGTGTGACCTGTCCTGTCATTCACAGCCATGGGGTGAGAGGGAACCGGAGGAGAGGGTGCCAACCAAGGGGGTCTGGAAGGTGGGTGGGAGGGTATGTGTTAGGGTGGACAGTGGAGAGCCTCCTCCTCCTTCCAGGAGCCCCAGTTCCTCCAGGGCTGTGGATAGCAGGGTTAGAACAGCTGGGTGGGGTGTGTGGGATGGGCATCCCCGCAGGCTCTTGGGTGCCATTCTCTGGGCCCTCCCCCACATTTAGGATATTGATGGGAAGAGGGATGTAGCACCTTCTCCAACCCCTGGCTTCCCACTGGACTAGATGCTTTCCAATGTTTCTTCTGCCTTCCCTGAAGGACAGAATGAAGAAAGGAAGCTGGAGGCTGATGGAGCCAGGCTGGGAGCAAAGGGATGGCCGTGGCGACCTGCGGGCTGGAAAGATTCCCAGATAACCTGGTTTCACCTTCTCTGAAGGTCTATGGAGGGCGTGGAGCACTGAAGGTGGGAACATCTAGGGTAAAAAACCATTGTCCTGTTGTTAAAGGAGCTAAGTTCTGTGATCACCTAGGGACAGCTGTGGCCTCAAAGTCACCTCCATATGGTTCCTAGCCCAGGGTCTGCCATCTCCTTGGCTCTTGGAGTCAACCCAGAAGGGACTCCTCTTAACCTCCCACAGGTTGAGCCCACCAGCTTACAGTTGGTTTCCAGGAGAGAGTGAAGGGCACTGTGGCTCCCATCCCTTTCTCCCATGTCCATGGTTGCTGTGCGCAGAGACAGGGCCTTGGAGGGATGAGCTGGAGCCTGGTGGATTCCATCCCATTCTGATCTGCAAGATGTGATGCCTCAGGCCCTCCCACTCCTCTGGCCACTGGTTATGCTTTGGGGCTCCCTCCTGCCCTTGAATGTCTGTCAAAGGAGCTGAGAAACTTCTGGGGATGAAACTCAGTCCCCCTTTGTCTCTCCCCTTCCTTCTAAGTCTGCCCCCGGGCAAAGGCCTACTCTGCGAACAGCACCAATCTGCCTCAGTGCAGGGCTTGTAAACAACTCAAGTCCTTCCGTGGGTGGGGGCCATGGGTGCCATCTATCCTCAGGGATTTGGTGAGTCCAGATCTCACTCCTGTCTTTCCACACAGGCTGCTCGACTGGCCCCGCCAAACAGAGTCCTCGGCAGTTCCAGGGAAGTGGGGCTGGGGTCCTCATTGAAGCTCGGTGGTTGGGAAGGAACAGGTGTCTCCTTTGCCTTTCTTCAAGCTACTGATTTGGGGAAGCTAGGGCCCAACTCCCTCGGTGCTTCCTGCCCATGTCCCCTTCCCCCCCACCCTGAAGGCCTCCCGGCGACACTCCTCTCCTGCTCAGTGATCAGTGCCATCTGGGCTGCCCGACTACTCCAGGGAGTCACTGTGTTCCAAGCCCAGGTCGCTGACATTTGTCGTCTGCAGCTCGTCGACCTCCTCCTCCAGCTCCTCCTCCTCCTCCTCTTCCATCTCATCCTCATCCTCTTCTTCTGTCCCATCCAATGAGTCATCGTGTGCAGCCATCATAGCCTGCTGCATGGCCATGGTGGCACTGTCTGAGGACAGGGACTGCAGGTTGTCCAAGTTGATGGAACCTGCGAGAGAAAGCAAGGGTCAGGACGAGGCAGGGGCTGCTGGTCAGGGCCAGCACCTCTGTGTTGGACAGGGTTTAATGGACTGGCTCATAGAGCAGTGAACTCCTTGTTTTTAGAGCTGTCCAAGCCTGAGCTGGACAATGCCCTGGTATGAAGTCTCCCATCCATTCACTAGTCAGCTACTCCCTGCCCCATCTCAGGAAGCAGCACTCCCAGCCACCGTTCACTGCACATTTTCTTTATGTGTTGGCCACTTTTGACTTTCTAACAATTCTGTAAGGCAGGTATTATTATCCCCATTCTGTCTCAGACAGTTAAGTCATTAGCTCAAGATGACATTGTCAGCGATGACAGAGTTGGAATTTTCTCCCAGGCTGGTCCAGCCCCCTAAATCTGTTTTTTTTTTTCCCATCATAACCCATAAGATGGCTCATCACAAAGGAACCTGTGCACAACCATACACATACACGTGTGCATGAGGTTATGTGTGCACACACGCACACCTACGCTCCACTCCCCATACAGAGCTATCTTCATATGCCAAGCTATAAAATGCTTGGCTCATTGAATTATTCATTGTGCACTAGGCGACTGGCAATTAGAAAAGTGTATATGGAGGGTGTGATGGAGAGGCTGGGAAAACAGAGCTCTTCCTGGCCCCTGTTCACGAGCCAGCTGCCTGCCTTGATATTTATAGATGGCCTTGGCTCCTGAAGAGCTGTGCAGATACTTACTGGTGCTAAGGAACTCAGATGGGTGCGGACATGGGGGGCTCTGCTGAGCAGTCACTGACTTGCGTGACCACCAACTCCCGCTTTTCTTTATGAGAGTGCATCTGGTCTGTTAAATTATGTACAAAAACATCCCCTTCTTTAGGGCTTTGGGGAGGGATAATCACTGTGGCATGGCAGCGATGGGAGCCCAGGTAAGGAGATAGCCCTTGAATCTTTGCACGGCTTGACCTGAAGAAGCTCCAGGAGCACCCCCAGCCCTTGTCTAGGGTGCACTCAGCCCCAGTTCTTACCATCGGGGTTTGTCCCTGGGGCACCGCCCTGCTGCTGCAGCACCCCCGCAGCGATGGAGTTGGGCCAGAATCTTTGGGTGGGCCGGTGCTGAGACTTGATCTTCTTGGCTTTGGGGGCAGGATCTGGGTTGCTGGCATCAAGCATGGGCTGCAGGATGCGCCTCCGGGCATTGATGAACCTGCCCAGAGGTAAAGTGGAGACCTGGTTAGTCATCACCTGCATGGCCTTGGGGTGGGGGCAGGGAGGGTGAAGCTGCCTTCAGACTCCATTTCACAGAGCAGACCGGGGTTCCCATCCCGGATGTAAAAGCCCAGCAAGGAGGAGGGCCCTGGGTGCTGAGAAGTTCATGAAATTTCCTGGGGCTTGGTAACTGCAAAGTCATATGGGAAGAATGCATGGGGGGTCAGAAATCCCTGCTCAAGACCTTCCAGGTTGAACGGAGGAGGAGAGCATGGTAGTCATAGGCACTAACCTCTGACTTCTCTCCAGAGAGCCAAGGGCTCGGATCAGGGCCCTCAGCTCTGGGGTCTACTTCCATCCAGCCAGACCTTGCTCTCTGAGCTCCCCTGACAGCCCAGCCAGGCACAGAGACTGGGAAAGCTGAGATCCCTGTGGGGTCAGAATGGCTACTCCTCCTCCCTCTCCCCACTCCCAGCTTTGCAGCTAGTTTTAGTCTCAGTTCACATGGGGGTGGGGAAGACCAGATGACCACTGGCCTCCGGTGCACAGCTGCGGGCAATCCTGTCTGTCTCTGAAGTGCAGGTGGGCTGGGTGCTCAGGTGGGCGTGGGTTTTCTCTTCCTCAAGAAGCTTCCAGGGATGTGCCTGACACAATGTCCCAGCAGAGGGCGCTGAGAAGCTGCAGATGAAGCCACAGGTGCCAGTGTTGATTCTTGCTTTCTGCTTCTAGCCTAAATGGGGGGACTGGCATGGTAGCTGGGCTGAGATTGAGGCAGATCCTGGCATTCGAGTCTCTTTTCCCTGCTACGCATTCCCCTGCCCAGAAGGTGGCCCCTGGATCTGGGAGCCTGCATGCAGGTGATGCAAACTCACCAGTTGTTTACTTGCAGGAGGGTGAGGTTGGTCTGGGCTGCGATCTGCCTCTTCTCATCCTCCGTGGGGTAGGGGTGCTGAAACGAGAGGTGGAGACTAGTGAGGGCTGGGCATATGCTGATCTGGCCCCCCCAAGGGACTGTGCCCACGCCATGGGCACTATCCTGAGCCAGGCAGCCCGAGTGGTTTGGGAACCAAAATTGGGGAAGTGTCATGTTTGCTCCCCACAGAGAATGGACCTAGGGCTTGGAGGAAGGTTGCCCCATGCCCGAGACTCCACATCCCGGGCTGGCCAGTCCTCAGCCAAGCCCCCACAATGGGGAGCCAGGGAGGTTTCCCAAGACCAAGATGGTTCAGTACTGACAGCTTCCAAGGCACATCCTTCTCACTTGATCCTCACTGCCGCCCCCAGCAGGCAGGGCAGGCATTGTCAGTGTTAGGGTTTCCAATGGCCTCAAACGCCCATAGAAGGTGGTAGGCGGGGTGAATGGATCAATTTAAGTTAACTGCTATTTACTGAATATCTACTATGTGCCCAGATTTATGCTAGGCATGGCTAGGAGACAGAAGAGTACTACTTGTATAGTGCTTTATAACCTGTAAAATGCTTTCATGCATTTTATTCATTAAAAAATCATCATTTTATTTAATAAAGCACATCATTGAAACTCTGAAAGGCAGGCAGGTTAGGTATTGTTATTCCCACTTTGCAGATGAAGAGATGGAATGACTCCTCCAGTGTCCCCCAGATGGTAGCACCAGCTCAGGTCTTCCGATTTGGGTCCAGTCTTTCTTCCATTGCTTCATGATGCCACTTTATAGGACTGAGTGGAGGTGAGAAAGAGAGCAGGGCAGGTGTCTCTCTCAGTCCCCCACATGCTGCAGCCCGTGCACTGACTACGCATCTGTCTCCCTCTCTCAGACTGTGCTTCATGACGGCACTGGGATACTGAATGTATCCCCAGTGCCTTCCACATACAAATGACATACAAATGCCTGCTGAGTGAAGGAAAGCAAAAGCACAGCACTCAATGCTGTGGTTTGGGTGATGAGCCCTGTAGAGGCTAAGAAGGAGAGAAATGCAGTGGTGGGGAAGACTGAACAGGTCACATTAAAGAATGAGAAGGCTCTGGGTGGCAGTGGGAAGAGAGTCGTGACCCCATTGGGAGGGAGGCCACAGGATGGCTGAGTCTATGCATCCCTAGGACTTGTTCAGGCCACAGCCCTGTGCCTGGCACCCAGCATGCAATTAAGGTGTGGCGAACGTCTGAATAAGTCAGAGTTTTGTCCTGGAAGCTAGGGGAGGTTTGGGGGCTCTTATGGCAGAAGATCAAGCCATCCAGCATCCTCAGGCTAAAATCATTCCTTTTGATTGGAGTGGTATTAGAAAGTGGTGCTTGAGCTGTCTAAGGTCCCCGAGATGGGAGGTCTCAAAATCTGGCTCTATTATGACTAGCTATGAAATCTCAGGCACGTCACCTAACTACACATCAGCAAGTCATCTGACAAATAAATGAAATTATACTTGTAAAATGCTCAATAAAAGGTACGAATACTCTTATTATCAGGGGGTGTTACAAGGTGCTTAGAACTTTCTGAGGGAAAAGGCTGCGGTCAGCAGCCTTGGTGGTACTCGCATTATCGGTGGAAAAGGAGGAGCAGCCTCTCCCCTACCTCAGCATCCCCCAGATGAAGCCATCAGGACCATGTGTTGCTTTAATTCAAACCTCTGACCCTGACCACCATGCCAAGGCAGCTGGGACTTGTGATTCATACGGTATTAAGATTCTAACAAGAAAGTAGGCACATCAGCATTACAGGAGCCAATTTTCATTCTAATTGGGAAGGAGCGGAGGCAGGATGGGAGGAGAGGGTGCAGATGGCCCCAGGGGGCAGAGAGGCAAGGACTCTGGGAGCTCTGACACCTTCTGGGGTCAAGCCCTAGTGCCTGGCTCCAACCTCCCTATTTGTG
Organism: Homo sapiens; assembly: GCF_000001405.40. Lineage (NCBI taxonomy): Eukaryota > Metazoa > Chordata > Mammalia > Primates > Hominidae > Homo > Homo sapiens. Next base: position 125,427,116 of record NC_000011.10, on the reverse strand, counting down.
GGAAAGAGCCAAGCAGCCTCCCTGTCCATAGCCAGCTGGTCTGTAGACAAAAAGCAGCAAAAATATGGTGATTTTTTGGCCTTCCCAGGTGCAAGGGCCTTTCATGCCTCCATGCCTTCGCACGTGCTGGCCCTCCTCTGGAGCGCGCTTCCTCCTGCCTGTCCTCGCGTGCCTTTCTGAGCTTCTGTGAGGGCCTGCCACAGATCACAGCCTCTGCAAGGCCCTTCCCGACTCCCTGAGGCAAAGCTGGTCACCGTGGCCTCTGAATGATTGCTTTTCGCCCACTAGATGGCAAGACATGTGTCCCCCACTAGGCCATGAGCTTCTCTCAGGCAGGGACCCCATCTCATTAGACATTGTTTATTTCCAGTGTGCAGACCAGGCACAGTGTGCAGACAGGCAAAGAGGCCAACGTTGAAGGATTGTGTAGTGAACTGAGGAATGAACTAGCACAATAAGGAGACGCAGACTTGTTTCTTGAGCAGAGCTAGTGGCCGTGCTGACCAGGCACAGTGTGCAGACAGGCAAAGAGGCCAACGTTGAAGGATTGTGTAGTGAACTGAGGAATGAACTAGCACAATAAGGAGACGCAGACTTGTTTCTTGAGCAGAGCTAGTGGCCGTGCTGGCTGTGCTGGTTCACCAGCCCACAACTGTTGGGCATCTGCCGCATCCTGGGTGCTGGCAAGTGAAAGATATCTGAAGTTAAGAACTCACAGACTAGATGGGAAGAAAAAAAGGAGGAAAAAGCCTCTCTATTAATGGGAAGTCTGTGCTAAGTACCCCTCTGGTGACAAAAGAAGGAAGTCCTTAGGGAAGGGGATTTCAGTTGGACTTTGAAGAATGGCAAAGCCAATCTAGTAGAGGAGAGGATGATGTTCCAGGCAGGAGCCTTGCACTGGGACTTATATTTAAGCCAGTAGGATGAAAAGTTCTTCCACTATTAACGGCCTCCAGAGAAGGAAATCCTCCAGCCTTCCTTGGAAGAATAATGTTTGCTGTCTCTAAGGAGCCTTCTGTTGTCGGGCCCCCATTCTGAGTGAATGTCACAAATACACAGATTAACATGCTCCAGTCCAGTGGGGAGCTATGAGAAGCAATGCCACCCAAAACTGGCTGGTTGCTCTCTTATGAATGAGGATAGAAAGCCCCTAACCACCGCCTGGTGCAAGTCCTCACCACCTATCCCTCCTGGACGTCCAGTATCTCAGGACGCACGCTGTGGGGCTGTGGGGTAAGTAGCAGCGTTTAGCAGCTCTGGGGACAGGTGTGTCAGCCAGAACATTCCTGGCACCACATCTGAGTGGTCATGGGAGCAGTCCAGCTCGTACACGCCTCAGACCACATGATTCCTGAGGACAGAGTCAAAATAGTCCTGGCCTCTGGACAGACCATGATTGGGTCAGCGCTACTTTTAGCACAACTGGCCAGGCTTGGGGCCAAGGAGGGGAAGAAGAATCAAATGAGATCACGCAAACCATCAAGGCACAGTGGCTGCTCTCTGATCATTATTGGATCACGGCAAACCATCAAGGCACAGTGGCTGCTCTCTGATCGTTATTGGATCACGGCAAACCATCAAGGCACAGTGGCTGCTCTCTGATCGTTATTGGAGGGAACTCCCTGGATTTGGAAGAGAAGGGCCCAGACAGTAGCTCTCTGGAAGTAGATAATCCTTCCTTGAAAAAGAAGTAGATACAGTTCATGAAAAGCAAGGAAAAGAAAAAGAAAAAGAAAAAGAGGTACAGAACAGACTAGAAGATGACAGAGCCTTCTCAGGGACAGCTGGAGCCTCACACGACTGGGCAGTGCTGCCAGGGAGTAAAGGACCTTCAGAGATGGGATCAAGTCCTGACCCACCCCTTAACATTGTGTGACCTTGACACACGCAAGTGACCTTTGTTTGTTTTATGTCTTCCATCCTTAGATGGAAGTAGCAAAACAGTGACTAACTCTTGGACATGGGGATGATTTAATGAGATAGTGCAGGGTAAGCCTGTGTGCTCCATTGACTCACTCTGTGCGATGCACTGAAGCCTCCCGGCATCATCTAGTTGAATACTCAAGGACTCTAGAGAAGGGAATTATGGTATTTACACCAAGTAGGTGTCTCAGGGCACTGTAGTTGCCACCAGGAAGTTCCGCTGAAATCTGACCTCAACTCTTTCCCATCTCTCTCTGATACCTCCCTTTATAGCCCCATAACGCAACTCTCCTCTGGACTAAACTGATACTAAAAGCATCTTTCAATTGAAAGAGTGAGTTCTGCCCAGGGGCTGGTTCAGAAGGAAGCTAAGCCAGTTCTGGTTCACAGGTCCTGGATATTTCTTTCATGCACAGCCCATTGGCAATTGTCCTTCCACCTCCTAGCCATGTAGATCTCACCATGAGGTGAGCCAGTTCACCAAGGGACACAGCAGATGGGAAGCCGCAGCCTGTCAGTGTCAATAGACACTGAGGTGCTGGTGGAGCGGGGCATGGAGGCTGATTCAGATCAGCGAGCTTCCATTAGGTTTCCTGCCATCAGCAGCGCTGCACCAGAGTCCACTACACGCTTTTCCCCTCCTCTCCCTCTTGACAGCTGTGGGGCCATGGGCTGCTGCCAGCCACCACTCTGGGGTGGTTCCACTCTAGGAGGGCCAGAGACCCAGAGGAAGGCAGCCAGGATGGTGGGGGCCCCAAAACGACCACATTCCATCACATCTAAGAGGCCACTGATGGTGGGATGTACCCAATTTCAGAGATGTTAAAATGGAAGAAAAAAAAAGTCTTTTAGAATAAAGAGAAGCACAATAAGTCACCCGAGAAACTTCTCTTTCTGTAGTCATTGCCCTTGTTCATGCTTTCCATTCTTTTATTTTTGCTCTCATTTTTATCCCTGCTCCCCTTAAAACTGAACACTCAGAAAAGTACGAAGAAAAGCAAACACCCATGTAACCACCCCCAGGTCAAAAAAATAGGATACTACCAGCACCCCACAAACCCCCTTCTGTCCCCCCAAACACCTCTCCAAAGATCTCCTGACTTTTGCAGTAACCACTTTCTTGCTTTTCTTTATAGTTTTGCTATCTGTGTTACATCCTAAACATGATGACCTAGTTGACATCAGGTTTTTGAACCTGATGTAAATGGAATCATTCATCCATGCTGGCTCTGTTTAACTGTAATTGTTCCTTTTAATCGCTGTGTAGTTTTCCACTGTGAAGACACACTGCTGTCCCATTCTTCACCTTCCTGCAATCTCAAAACTATTCTCTTTCCCTCTGGTTTCTGTGTCAATCTATGCTTCACAATGCCAGCAAGATGGGTCCTTCTTAACCTCCTCCCCATCCCCATCCCTGATAAGTGAAGCCCTCTCAGATGCCCCTTCTATGAGCTCTGAGCACTTGCCCTATCTAGGATTCTTCCTACTACAGGGGCTTTGGGTCTGTGTAGCTACCTGTCACCCCAAGGGGCAGGCTGCAAGTGTTTTGAGAAAAGGGACCATGTCTTTCTTTTCAACCCTACCTCACTAGCACCAAGGAAAAATGTGTGGCATGTAGTAAGTGTTCAGTATGCATCTGTTGAATGAACGAACACGGGGCCTTCGGAGTAACTGGTACTTCTCACCATTTCCTGTGGGCATCTGCAGGTTAAAGGTGAGTGGGGAAAGCATCAGTGATCGGACCTCCCAGGAGCTCCACCTAGAGGCAGGTTGCTCTACTCACTAATAATGCTGCTTTTTCAATTATTGTTGAACGTATATTCAGGGAGGATGTGGAAGAGAAAAAGGGGGTACTTAAGAGTCCATTAAGGCACACCGGTCACCTCTCTAAAGAAGACGTGGAGGCAGTACTGTTAGAAGTACGTGAGAACACGGACTCTAGAGTCAGACTGCCCAGGTTTGAATCCTTGTCTTGTCTCTAACCGGCGTGAGACCTTGGGCAAATTACTTAGTTTCTTCTTCTGTAAAATGGGAGAGATAATTCCACCTGCTTCAAGGTTGCTATAAGAATTAAATGAGTATATATGTATATATGTGTATATACATACGTATATATGTATGTGTATACATATGTGTGTGTGTGTGTGTGTAGCTAAACTGATCAGTATCAGTAAATGAGTTAATATACGAAAGCTATTTAGAACGGTGCTTAGTGTACTCTGTGTTTGTTAAATAAATAACAAATAAGTCTGTAGCTTGACGCATGTGGCTGTGTCTCTGAAGAAGCCACAGGTTGTTTCCTGGCAGATGGCAGGAGCCTCCCAGCAGCCCCTTCTGTGAGCATACAAATACGCTCATTTTTTCAAATGGGTTTTATTTCCTGCATGTACTATGATGGGGACATTTTATCCTAACCTGAGTCTTAAGCTTCTTGGGGAATGCTGTGAGGTTGTAAATCTCCTGCAGCCATTTTTCAGGTGGACTTTCTTAGAGCTGCAGCCCTCTGGGGTGTCCTGGGGCTCAGTGCAACCCAGGGGTCTCTTGCACACCTTCCCTTTTCAGCGCCTCCATGCAACCCTGCAGCTGACTTGCCTGTTGTCGACAAGGCTCAGTCTTGGATGGAGAAGCATCAATCCAATTCTTCCTTCCCTGGGGACACATTGCCAGCAGGGCACACACCCTGGGACAGCGCTACACCAGGGGATGCCTCCGACAGTCAAACATCACTCCTGGGGAGTTGGAGGGCAGCTTCTCTCTAGATCCCTACAGCGAAGGATGGGTGGAGAAAACACTCTCACCCCACAGGCAGGAGTCTGAGGTCTAAGATTTCTCTGGGACAAAGAGAGAAATGTAACCAAGAACCCAGCTGGCCTGACCTCCTTCCTCCTGGTAGCCGTACACTAAAGGCCTTCAGGCACAGATGCCTGAACAGCGTCTAGAATGAAGACAGTCGTGGCTGGGGTAAGGGGCCACAGTGTTCCCAGGTTTCAAGAGTGAGAATAAGGGGTGAAGAGGGTTTGAGGACCACAACAACTTGGAGCGAGGGGTCACTCCCTGTGGCCAATACGAATCATAGGGGCATTGATGATTATCTAAGAGATAATTGTCATCCAAAATGACCCCTCCTTTTTCTCTTCCTACCCAATCCTAAATCCTAGCCATCCTTCATAAGGCCCAGCCCAAATGCCAGCTTCTCCAACCAAACCCTGTTAACCAACATCTCAAGATTACACAGAGCTCTCAGGGTCTCTGTGTCCAGCTTCTCCCACAGGGCAGGAGCCCTCTACACCAGCGCTTTCCAGCCAGCATACCCCAAGAAGGTGTAAGTGTGCAGACAGCGGTGTCCTTGGCCCCGGATGTGGTTTGCAGAGTCTGGAGCAGCAAGGGCTCCCCGGCTGGTCTCCGGGCGTAAGCAGCCTGGTGGCTTGACTATCATTTTCTATGTGTGCTGACATAAAAAATGTGACATGCCGGCCTGCAAGGCCACCATCGTTCAGTGCATAGCCCTTTGCTCTGACGGGTAGGAAGGTGTTTCTGCTGAACACGTGGCCACCCTTCAGGCACTGTGTTTTCTAACATATTGTCAATCCTATTCATCATAGGTAGCATTTCTATCTCCATTTTATAAAGAGGAAAGCAATATCAGAGAAGTTCATTAACCTGTTCCAGATCACACAGTAAGTAAAATTAGAGCTTGGACCAACTCAAGCCTATCTGCCTCCAAAGCCCTTGCTCCTTGCGCTACACCATGCTGCCATAAAGGAACAGGCTGCCCGAGTCTTCTTTTCTGCAGGCAAGATATCCCCAGACCCCTCAGCCGCTCCTCACATGACATGCTTCCTGTTAGGGTCACTGGAAGAAACATCTCCCCATCCTGCCTGCCCCCTCTGAAGATGATTGTCAAAGAACCTTTTGCAACCTGATTCTAGTGCCTGGACACACTCTTCTGGCTCTTGAGCCACTCGAGTGTCCGTGCTTGTATAATAGCACTTGATTACGTCGTGGGTTGACCTCTCCTGGCTTATGTCTATCATTTATTTCCCCAATTACATGATCAACCCCCTTAGTGCTGAAATCACATCTCATACCTGAAATTTGGGTGTTCGTGAAGAGATATGTTATTTGGAACTTAGATCATGTTTTTTTTTCATAGACAGAAGTTATTCTAAAAACAGGCAGTTTTCCTGGCCAGTCCTAAAAGCCACTTTGGTTAAAGATCTGTGTTCAAGTCGGGAGGGGTCCATGGGCTTCAGGAAGGACAGGCGAGAGACTGCTCTCTGCTTTCAGGGTCAGAACTAGGCTGGGGAAGACTCCATGATTGATGCAAGTGAACCTTCAGCGTCTCCTTTTTGTGCCCTATTGACACGATGCCCCAGTTCCTTTTCTCAGAAGCCCCTGGGTTCTGTGTCACCCTACAGTCAGCATGCTGAATCTCAGGCCTCTGGGACCCCTGACTTCAGGGTCAAATGCCCTGAAACTATGTTCACAATGATCTAAATAAGCTTTCATCAGATTCTCAAAAGATAGAGAGGCTTAGAGAGGTTGAGAACAATTGTTAGAAACTTCTCTGCACCCCATTCTGGCTTGGCTCCTCAAAATGCTGTTAGAAAGTATTTTAACCTTCATCTTCTACCACCAACAAGCACTAGCATTCTTCTTTTTTTTTTTGAGATGGAGTCTTGCTCTGTCACCCAGGCTGGAGTGCAGTGGCGCAATCTCAGCTCACTGCAAGCTCTACCTCCCAGGTTCATGCCATTCTCCTGCCTCAGCCTCCCAAGTAGCTGGGACTATAGGTGCCTGCCACCACCCCTGGCTAATTTTTTGTATTTTTAGTAGAGTGGGGTTTCACCGTGTTAGCCAGGATGGTCTCGATCTCCTGACCTCATGATCTGCCCACCTCGGCCTCCCAAAGTGCTGGGATTAAAGGCGTGAGCCACCGTGCCCGGCCCCCATTTTTTTTTTTTTAAATAAAAAACTCAGCTTTTTTGGGGGAAATGTGGTGGGGAGGGAACAGGGTCTTACTCTGTTGTCCAGGCTGGAGTGCAGTGGCACAATCAGGGCTCACTGCAGCCTTGACCTCCTGGGCTCAAATGATCCTCCTACCTCAGGCCCACAAATAGCTGGGACTACAGGTGCCCACCACCATGCCTGGCTATTTTTTTGTATTTTTAGTAGAGACGGGGTTTTGCCATGTTGCCCAGGCTGGTCTCGAATTCTTAGACTCAGGCTATCCACTCACCTCAGCCTCCCAAAGTGCTGGCATGATTACAGGTGTGAGCCACTGCACTCGGCCTTTTTTTTTTTTTTTTTAATTTTTTCTTTTTTTAAACAGATGAGGTCTCGCTATGTTGCTCAGGCTGGTCTCGAACTCTCAGGCTCAAGCAATCCTCCCGCCTTGGCCTCCTAAAGTGCTGGGATTATCACTGTGCCTGGCCCCATTCTTCCCATGAAGCTGATCTTAGCTGAGTGGGAATAGTAAAGCAAGCTTTTGAACTAATTCGTACTAATCTGTGAGTAAATGATGGCCTCACAGCCTTTCATAGTCATTGCTTTGTACAGGGATTGGATAGTTTAAAATGGGTCTCTAATAGTGGAATTTCATTAAAAAGTTAATCCTTAATACGTATGCAAGTGGAATTTCAGACAGTATGAGGAAGTTAAAGGAAAAGGTAGCAGACAAAATATTCTGGAACAAAAATGGGCCAGTCTCCCTAAGCCATTTTCTTGTTTTTTTTTTTTTTCTTTTTTTTTCAGGGGTTCTTGCTTTCCTCCATAGGTTCCCCAAAAGTTTTGTGGTTTCTCTCAGCATTTTCCAAGGCAAGGCCAATTATGGGAACTCTCAATGAGACTGGAGGCATTTGTAGCAGTAGCGGTGCCTGTATCGGGACAAAGAACCTTCACGCCCATCCGCTTATTCTATTCTCACAACAACCTATGAGCTGGATATTGCAGCTCCTGTTTTACAGCAGGGGAAAGAGAGGCTTCACAAGGGCAAACAATCACCCAAGCTCGCCAAGCTAGGTAGAGGGGGTGGTGAAAACTCAACCCAGGTCCTGCCCCAGGAACCATGTCCTTTCCATAGGCTATGTGGTTTCTAAGAAACATTGCCATTCCTATGTCAGCCATGTGGATGGGTCCTGTAGGTGGGCCTTTGACAGAGATACAGCTAGAGAGAGTCAACCTCCAGTGTCCGTGGGGGACCAAAATTCATGGATGCTCAAGTCCCTGATATAACATGATGTAGTATTTGCATATAACCTACAAACATCCTCCCGTACATTTTAAAACATTTCCAGATTACTTACAGTAATGAATACAATGTAAATGCTATATAAATAGTTATTATACTGTGTTGTTTAGGGAATAATGACAAGAAAAAAGGCGATACATGTTCAGGACAGATGCAACCATCCACTTAAAGATATATTTTCAATCCAAGGTTGGTCGGATCCAGGGATTCAGAACCCATAGACACAGAGGGCTGACTGTCATCCCTTCAAGACTTAACACAATGCTCTGCGCAGGGGAGGTAGCGAGGCATGCAAAGAATGTGGAGTGACCAAAGGCAACACCGAGGCACAGAGGCAACTGGCTGGGCTTCACCTCCACGTGCCCTCCTTGGCCAGGAGCTCTGTGCAGTGCACCCGCTGTTCCTGGGGTACAGCCGCTCTGCCTCCCCCCAGCCAGAAGGAGCCCGGCATGTGAGGTTCTCAGGCTGGGGGAAGGATAGCTGGGCATCTGACAGAGTCTAAGAGAACAACAGGCACAGAATCATGCAGAGTATACCCGTCATGGCAGCAGGACTTATGAGCCAAGAAGTGAAAGCAACCCCAAAGTCCATCAACTGATAAATGAATAAACAAAATGTGCTACATCTGTACCATGGAATATGCTTCAACCACAACGTGGAATGAAGTACTGATACATTGTCCTAAGTAAAAGAAGCTAGACATGAGAATCCCACAATTCCATTTAGGTGAAATGTCCAGAATAGGCAAACCCATAGAGGCAGAAAGTGAATTCATGGTTGCCAGGGGCTGGGGAGTGATGGCTAATGGGTACAACCTTTCTTTTTGGGGTGATGAAAATATTCTGGAATTAGATGGTGGTGATGATTGCACAACTCTGTAAAGATACTAAAAGCCACTGAATTCCACAGTTTAAAACGGTAAATTTTATGGTACGTGAATTATGTTTCTATCTAAAAAGTCACACAGAGAAGGCCCTGGGTGTTTTTTGTGCACTCAGCTTTTGTGACCACAGCAGAGTTCATAGAAGGGCCCTGGAGTGAGCCCTCAGCTCCTTGTGGCTGAATGGAAGATGGGGTGGTGGATGGCAGAGTGCAGCTGGATGCCAGGCCAGGCTTCTGAATGTGATGAGTGGGGTGGGGGAGACATCAAAGGCAGCATCGCTGTGAGGTCTGAAGACCGGGACTGGACATGTAAAATCTCTACACCTCTCCCAGGACGGGGCTCCACGCCTCTGCTGGGCGTTGGGGTTCCCCTTTGCTTTACCCAGACTTTGCATGGGAGCCAAGAGATGTCTGTGGTTTCTTGGGTCAAAGTGGTGGGTAAGAGATTAGAGCCTCCCGTTGCATAGGTCCGGGTTCAAATCCTGTGCCACCTGTCATCCATGTGACCTTGAGAAATGTGTTGCCTTCTTCGAGTGTCAGTTTTGTCACTGGTAAAATGAGGCGAATTGTATTACCTCCTCCTAGGGTGGTTGTGTGGGTTAAATGAGATGATGCGTTACAGTGTTTAGTGCAGAACCCGGCACGCTGCAGTGGCTAATGCAGAAGCGGCTCCTCTGGTGGATGGCAGGGCCTGCTGGGGCCTGGTCTCCAGGATCTCCCCGCACACAGAGCATATTCTGAAAAGCTGCTCATGTGCTTGGCTGGCAGCAGCACAGACAGATGTCATATTTGGGATGGAAAGGAGCAGAATCACGTGGCAGGTCAGGAAGACTCCAAGATCTGGAGCAGAAGGGGTGGAGTAGAAGCTGGGGATGGGGAACAGTGCCTACCTCTCCACCCTCCAAGAGGAGGACTCTCTGCCATGGGCTCTCGGCCGACCTGAGTCTGCTATGGAATGATTGCTTCCAGCAGGAGTGTGGCCTCTTTCAGCCAAATGCAAGAGCAAGAAAATGTCACTGGATTCTTCAGGGACTCAGAGGCGAGCAGCTAACGTATGAAACGATCCCAATCTCACTGCAGCCTAACAGCAAAAAGGCTCTGGGATTTCACCTCCATCTCAGGAGCCTTCTATCATCTGAATACTTTCCTGTAGCTGCCAGGGCTGCAGAACAGTAGAAATGACAAGAAGCCCCAGACATAGGACAAAGGGAACCAAAGAATACAAACTTATGCCCCAGGGAAAGAAGACAACAGGAACCAGTATTTACTACAGACATTCTCACAACCAATCCCTATTTAGCAAAGTTTGTGGATTAATCAATGCTGTTTCCACTTCTTCTGTAAATCATTAGAACTGCTGTCTGCAGCACTCTGAATGCTTGAGATGAGTAGGCTGTTTTGTAGAATGTCTGTTAGCCACACTACCTGCTTATCTGAAAGTCAGCAGTGCTCGTATGCAGACTGGTTTATGCCAATTCTATGTATTATTAATAAAGTATGTACGTTTCTGTAATTTAACAAACTCTTCTGTAAACCAATGAAATATGAGTGCAAAAAGAGTCGCTGTTGATAAGTAGAAAGCTTTCAAAAGTCTTGAGGCCCAAATTTGCTTACAAATGCTGAATAGTTAGGATCAGATGAGACAAACATAAAGGATTGGAATACATAATAAAAATCTGGAAAGATCTCGTGGACAGATTAGTTCCCAAACGTCAAAGTTGTAATTCCACTTTCTTTTTTTTTTTTTTTTTTTTTTTTTGAGACGGCGTCTCGCTCTGTCGCCCAGGCTGGAGTGCAGTGGCGGGATCTCGGCTCACTGCAAGCTCCGCCTCCCGGGTTCACGCCATTCTCCTGCCTCAGCCTCCCAAGTAGCTGGGACTACAGGCGCCCGCCACCACGCCCGGCTAATTTTTTGTATTTTTAGTAGAGACGGGGTTTCACCGTTTTAGCCGGGATGGTCTCGATCTCCTGACCTCGTGATCCGCCCGCCTCGGCCTCCCAAAGTGCTGGGATTACAGGCGTGAGCCACCGCACCCGGCCTGTAATTCCACTTTCTATTGAGGTGGAATTTATAGATGTTACAGTATAGGAGAGGTTTATGCAAGGAAGATGACTAACAATTAGAAAAAGACCTTAGTCCTGTATCAAAAGATTAGCAAATGAATGTATACGGTATGTCCATCTTTTAAATTAAAGTATCTCTTTTGAATGGTTGTTTCTTTTTTAAACTAATTTTTTCAATCAACAACAAATTAGTTGTCCCAGCTGCACTGGATGTGAGAACATCGATGGCATATTTAGGTCTGTCCTTACTTCATACCCTTTCCGCTCTTCTTTCCTAAAGCTGAGCAGCTCTTATTGGCCTGACACAGTGTCTCCCTAGAGTTGCATTTTTCAAGAATTACAGTCTCAGAGTTGTTCCTCAGAGCAACAGTGAAAACACCAAGGGGGATGTAAAGTGTTCACATAAGTTTGGGAGAAGCTTCGAACCTTACCCCTCTTGCAAATTCACCATGCCCCTTCGTCCTGTAAGAATAAAAAAAAATACACTATGGCAGGCCAAGGTGGGTAGATCACTTGAGGTTGAGTTCAAGACCAGACTGGGCAACATGGTAAAACCCCACCTCTACTAAAAATATAAAAATTAGCCAAGCATGGTGGTAGACGCCTGTAATCCCAGTTACATGGGAAGCTGAGGCAGGAGAATCGCTTGAACTTGAACCTGGGAGGTGGGGATTGCAGTGAGCCAAGATCGTGCCATTGCATTCCAGCCTGGGCAACAGAGTGAGACTGTACCCCGCCACCAAAAAAAAAAAAAAAAAAAAAAGCTAAACTTTATATAACTCAGATTGGCCCAAACTTATTTCACCATGGAACCTCTTTTGGGGTGCAAGACCTCATAAATCCTATAAAGCTCCGTACCTTGGGAATTAATGCTGTAGGGCTCCTAGAGGAATATAATGTATGATCCTTATTTCTGAGAAATTTACAACAGAGTCAGAGATGCAAGAGAGGCACACACATCTACCCAAAGAATGAGTAAGTCACAGTACTGTCCGTTACTCTTACGGTCAAATGATAGTAAAATCAGTAGGTGTTATAGATGAAAACAACAAATCAGCTATCTACCTCTGATTAATATTCACAAATTTTGGGTCTTCAGCCTCCAAAACTTGCTCTTGGTCCATTGTTCTAAAAAATTCAAAGGGAACTTATTTCTTAAGTGCTATGTGCTAGGCCTGGCTCTTTATATACATTTTCTCATTGAATTTTCACAACCATGGGAAATAAGTATTAGCTTCTTTTTTTTTTTTTCAAAGAAATAGAATCAGGGTAATCACACTGCTAGTGGGAGAGCCTCAATTCATGCCTCGATCTGTCTGGCTTCAAATCCTGTCTTCTTTCTACCGTGCCTAGTTATGAAGAGCCTTTATAGCCTCTTTCCTGAAGCAGCTGAGGATTGGGGAGGGTGTGTCCACATGTGCATGGCTGTGTGGCCCAGGTGTGGCCTGCCAAGGACAGCTGGGTCTGCTTGTTTCCCTAGAGCAGCCTGGACTTCTCATTTTCTTCCTTCCCTTCAGTCCCAAAGTTCTGAGCTCTGCCTTTAGAGGCCCAGTGGCCACTCCCCTTGCCTCTCTAGAGGCCACTGTGATGAACTGGGGGAGGACTCTGCCAATGTTAAGCGCGTCATGAATGGCACCTGCACCTGTGCCCACTGCCAGGCTGGAGAGGGCAACAGGGGTGGGTGGGAAAGTGTGGGCAGAAAGCCCCTCCTCATGCGTTTCGGCAAGTCCTCTACCCTATCCCTGGTGCTTTCTGTAGATGCCAGCCTGGGTCCTGCCTCACTCTGTGCTCAGCTACTACTTCCTCTCTTCTCCACCTCCCCTTCCTCTGCCTTCCCAAGTCTGGGTGGAAGTGACCATGGAGTGGAAAGACAGGACCCTGAGCTCTGCAGGGAGGCTCACAAGGAAGGAGATGAGAGGGTGGGGCATGAACCGAGGTCCCAGGTGAGAGGCCAGGCATGACCAGGAGGGACAGAGATGGGTGACCCTCCAGTCTCAGGCTAACGATTCCCAGGGGTAAGTTGCAAGTGGGGAGTGGAAAGTAGTGAAGGGGAAGGCCACAGATAGGGTGAGGAGAGTCAGTGAGCAGGTGCTGGCCTGGACACCTGGGCTCCTGGGCAGGGGAATCTGCCTTGCAGCTTCCTCTCTCTCCTCTTGCCTTTCTCCCCCTTCAGAAGTGAGGTTGTAGGTATGTTCACAACAGTCTTCAAAAACGCATGGGGGTGGGAGGTGGGGAAGGAAAGGGAGCATTTATTAAGCAATTCAGTGGGCCAGGGTCCTGGCAATCTTTCATTACTTCATCACAGTCTTCCTAAGAGGCGAGTGTGACCAAGTTGCCGGGTAAAAGGTAACACTGACCTCTGAACCCAGGTTCAGCTGCCTCAAAAGCCCATGAGCTTTCTAGCACCCCTGTGACCCTGCATCGTATGTCACCCACCACAATGAGCGCAGCCAGACTTAGCTCCACGAGCAGTTGGGAGCGGGTGGTGCTTTCATTTTGGTTGTGCCAGGTCAGTGCACAGAAGATGCATCCTTCCTCCCACAGGTAGGCTGGGAGCTGTGGCATGGACGCTGGACCCACAGGTCACTGAGTCCATCTGAGCCCCCTGGCTCTCAGGCAATTTGGAAAACCTGAAAGGCAGGAGACCTGGGCGTTCCCCCTGTGCACTCCAGCCACTGAATCAGAGCTGCTCCTTAGAGGCCTGAGGCTGGACCTGCTGCGGGGCCTCTGGCCTCATCACCTAGGCACAGGGTTCCCTCCAGCCTCCTTTCCTCACCTTAACTCCAGCATTCCAGCCCCTCCTCTCCAAATTAGCTTTCTCATCTGGAAACTGTAGGTGTTCAGACTAGTCAGTGCTTTCAAAATGTACTCACTCAGCAAACCACTGGGGCAGCCCCACGCCCCCAGAGGCGAGGGAACACTTTTGGGGAGATGCCGAGCTCCGGCTCTCATCTCTTTCTAGGAGGTAATCCTTCCAGTCTCTTGGGTGCACAGGAAGGTCCAGCACTTCCCAATCAGAGCCCCCAAGACCCAGTCAGTCTTCTGCTGCCACTAAAGTCTGAGAACCACTGAGGCCTGGTCTCCATGGCTTCTGAAGGCTCTCCCAGTTCAGATACAACGGCTGTTGATGGACTAATTAGTTTCCATGGCCCATTCGATTTTTCTCCTCCCTGAAGAAGGATTTCCTCTTCCTCCTGATTCTTCCCACAGTTCTCCAGCCAATGGATCCTCAGTCCCTTGGAATTTGTCTTGTATCTGTGTCTGTCTGTCCTGACATGCCAGGGCAGGAGCTCGCAGACTAATGGAAGCCCGCCCGTGGTCACAGCATCTACCTCCCCACCCCAGAACACACACACACCAGCGCATACACACTCAGCACAGTCACTGGCCTTTATTTACTGCCACAGCCCTTGAAAGTGGTGTTGGGAGATTGCAATTTTGAAGTCTTTCCTGACATTCCACCAAAGGCTCGTCTTTTGCAACTAATGCTGCACACAAACACATAGCAACCTTCACACAGTATGCACTTCAGTAACACTCCACTGCAACCCGAGGTAGTGTGCCATTTTATAAAAGGAGCTGCTGCAGCTTATGAAAGAAATAGTGCTGTGTCCTGGAGCTGAGCTGTGACATGAGGAGCCAGGATTCCAGCCTTGGCGCCCATCTCCACCACACAGCGCTTGGCTCACCCAGTGGGGAGGACTCAGGAGTCCTGGCAGAGTCAACACATTCTTCCATGGGAGAGGGGCACGGTGAGCGTGGCTGCGGCAGGGGGAGGGCTCTGGACCAGAAACCACCCACTCCCCGCAGTGACCCTCTCTCTGTTCATGAAACAGTGTGACACACCTGCCCAGCACTTGACTCTTGAGCATGCACTTGTCCCCATTACCCCATGTGTTGCCACATTTTTTCCAGATAGCAACAGCAGCAGGTACTGGAGAAGGTCTCCAGCTTTAGGCCCCACCTGAGCCCCCCTGGCCTGGACTCCAGATGTCATTCCTATCAGAGAGCTCTCCCCGAGGCCGCGCCCTCTGTCTGTGGGTTTGGAGCCGACAGCAGAGTCTGGTACCCACACGGTGGGTTATTCATACCCCATGCCGGGACTCCACACCCCCAAGACACACACACTCACCATGAGATGCTGGAAGAGCCAAGAACGCATTATATTGGTGGCATGCTTGGGCAAGACTCCTCGTTTGTTCTTGGACTTCTTATCCTCATTGTCCAGGAGGGAGGTGAGGTCAAGGTTAACCTTCAGGGCACGTGGAGAGAAAATCAGCATCAGCAGCCTGTGAGGGCAGCGGCTGGGGACCTGTTGCCATAGCGACGGCAGGCTTGGCTGCCAGCCCCTTTCCCGGCTCATTCCTAGGGCCCTGGGGAGGTCACCTTTCCCTCTCAGCCCATGCCAGCCCCTCAGAGAGTGGAGGTGAGGCTTGGGTGATGGGAGAAGGGAAGAAGGACAAGGAGGAAGAGATGGGGAAGGGGGGGAGAGAGAGAGAGAGAGAGAGAGAGAGAGAGAGAGAGAGAGAGAGAGAAAGACAGAGGAAACAGGGCCATGCAGAGAGAACAGGAGAAGATATGAATTTGCCATAAGCTGTCAAGTAGTTATCAGCATTTCTGTGGTACTTTACAGTTTGCAAAGCACTTTCCTATCCATCGCTGTGGTTCATTCTCACAGCAGCCCTGTAGGTTGGCTAGGCTGTGTGCAGTTGCTATTAATCCCCCTTTTATCAATAAGAAGTCTGAGGCTCAGAGAGGTTAGGTGACTTATCAGAGATCCCAGAGTTAATGTCAGATCCCAGACTCTGACTTCCGATCTTTCTACTCTTCCTTTGTGTGTGCACTCTCTACCACTGAGGGACACAGCGGCTCAGTCTGCAGACAGGAATAGGAAGTGCAGGATCCTTTGATGTAACCCCAGGAGGGAGGCAGCAAAATCCCAGGAGTTGATAAAACCTTTCCAAGACCCAGCTTCTTATCTGTAAAGTAGGGGTAATGATACCTCTTAGAGGATGATGAGGATTCAATGAGTCACCCGTGTAAAGTGCCTGGCAGATAAGAAGCGATTACAGGTGCCCTAGCCCACACCATGCACATGTGCACACACCTACACACACTCACCTGTGTGTTCTGGATCTGGATGGCTCCCTGGGGGATTGCTTGGGTGACCACCTGACCCTGGGAGGTTACCATGGTAACCGGTTGGTATAAGGCTCCACCTGAGGAGACAACCAGTTTTGGGGTCCCCTGCCATGGGAGTGGGTAGGAGCGAGGGCAAGCAGGGTTCCCAGTTCATTTGGCACTCATGTGTAAAGACCCTCTACTTGGAGCCCTTGGGTAGCGAGCTATGGCTTTCTGCTTTATGGGTGGGTGGGGGATGGTGTCTAGAGCCTAGGACAGAGCCTCTGGTGGGAGGTGCTTCGGGGAAGGGACAACAGCCTTACTTGGTCCTCTCAGGGGCTCATGAGATTTTGACCCAAATTTGTTCTAAACCATCACAATTGGGTCTTGGCGCTAACCGTCTATAAACTTACAGAAAACTTTAGTCAAGAAACTGAGCTGGGAGCCCCTCCCTCGGTGGAGGACAACCCCCACCCCTGGAACCGCCTCGGGGCCACCCTTTCTCCTCCCAGGGAATTCCCACAATCACCCTTCCCAGTCTTTGCACCGACCTGACACAACTTGTGAGTTGACGGTTGTCATGGCGATGTTGCCCTGCTGGAGCGCTGAGGCTGGGACCACAATCCCCTGGGGGTTATTGGAGACTCCGGACATGGAATTGGGGGAATTCTGCAGGAGGTCCTGGCAGTGAGGGAGGCGTGGTTTGTGACAATGACACTGAGAGCTTAGACCCTACAGCCCCAGAGTCCTCTTCCGTCCTTTCCCCTTCCTGCCTGCCCCCCTCCCTCCTTCTAGCTCCTCCCCAGACCCAGGTCCAGAAGGCAACTCTCTTGGTTTCCTAGAAAGGGTGAATAAGAAGGCTCAATTAAAAAAAACAAAAACAAAAAGAGTCACCCATTTAACCATTCCATTGCCCTGAAAACCTAAGGCACAAATTATCTGATAACCCCCATGGTCTCCTCCTTGGCTGTACTTTGAAATCTCCAGTAATGATGCTTGGGTTCCAATCTCAGAGAGTCTCATTTAATTGTTCAGGAGTGTGTCCTGGGCTCTGGATTTTTTCTTGATCAGATCCATCATATTCAATGGGCTCCGGGTTATTAAAAGCTCCCCAGGTGATTCCACTGTCAGCCGGGTCTGAGAAAATGGCTTCACCTGGTCGGCACCTGCTCATCCTTCAGCGACGCTTGTCTCCTGATGCTTTCCCGTCCCCCGGCTGCTCTCCACACACCTCCATCACAGGCCTGTCACACTAGGCTGCACACACAGAGCAGCCTCCAGCTCTCACCTTTGTATCCTTAGCACCTAGCTCAGGATACTAAAATACATGTTAAATAAGCAAATGAAAGCCGCCCTAGCCTTCCCATAACCTGTCTTCTAAGGGTGTCTCATATGAGCCTCAGCCACCTTCGGCACATGGCATCGATCCTGTTCTCTTCCTCAGGCTGCCCACAGGATTCCACTGGAAACAGACTCTCCTCTCCCCACACTGCCGACCAGCACGGAACCTTTGCCGCTTTTCTTTGCGTTAGCCCAGGCAGGTAAGACATGTTTTCCTGGCCCTCTGCTCTCCTCACCATTCCTAGTTAACAGCTGGGTAAAGAAGTCCTTGGACTTGCTGTGGAGCCCTCCCTGCTTTCTGGGGAGCCTGCACTGGGAGGCTGGGTGCTTGGAGAGAATTTGTGAGGAAGGAATAGGATGTGGGAGAGGTTAGGGTCTCTAGGTTCGGAGAAGAAAAAAGGCAGCGAGTGAAGTGTGGGAGCCTCAGGAGGCCTGCCTGAGTCTCTTAGCTCCTCCTAGCCACGGTTCCTCATCTGAAGACGGGGCTTGAACCAGTTAACAGGTCCAATGGCCATTTCGGCGACATTCCCATGCTCAAATGCTGGAATCGTAAGGCGTGAACTGCAAGGATTTAGAGACAGGTAAATGGTCAAGGAAATAGACAAAATGGGGCAAAAAAGAAGGCCCCAGCTTCCCGGTTTTTGTTTTAGGACTTGAAGAAGCTTGGGTCTTCAGCCTCCAGGGCAAGTCTAGGGTTTTGAGCCCGGAAATCTGTGTTTGGAGGAAACCTCGAGCCAGTGACTGCCTACCTGTAGCAACGAAGGGAAAGTGTTACAGCCCGGGGGACAGCCATGGCGAATCTCCTCCCAGACCCTGACAACACAGAACCTGGCAGAGCCTGTCAGGAAGTGGAAGTCGGCACTGATTTATACATCTCACTCGATTCAGCTGATTAAATCCCCCTTGGCGTCTCCTCCAGAGCTGCCTTTTTTTACTCTCCTGGGTTGTCTCTGGCCCAAGAGCTGGAGGAGTATTTCCTATAAATAAGCAGCGCCAGGAGGAGAGGAGCCAAGCACGCCCTCCTCCCACCCACCTGCCGCACGGGCCTCCTGGTGTGGCTCCTCCGGGTGGGTGGGGCGATGGAGGCCTTGCTTCTATTCTGAGCTCACCTCTGCTGCTGTGACCTTGGGGAACAGAGGGGGCAGCTCTTGCCTTGGCTTCCCCTTCCTGGGGCCCCGTGGGAGCCGCCTAGCCCGTGAAGCTTATACTTTGAGCAGAGCTCTTGGCCTTTCTGTTCCTGCAGTCGCAGTCTAAAATGGAGTCTGCCATGCAGAAGCCTAGAAACTGGAAGAGCCCCTGGAAGCCACACATTTCCCCTCCCTGAAGTACAAATAAGGCACTGAGGTTTAGAGATGCCTGGGACTTCCCAAGGCCACACAGCCCGTTAGCAGCCAGAGGACTAGAACACAGATCTCCTTCACCCACAAATGCCCCCTACACCGGTTCTGGGCTGCAAATGCTCCTTGAATCCTGCAGGTCAACCAATCATCATTGCAGGCAAGGTGAACAGATAAAAACAACTAAAACTCAGAAGTCCAGAAGCAGCGTGGGCACTGGAGGAAAGGCAATCTCGTCACCACCCTTCTGTGGGCCTCATCTCCTTATGTATACAGTGCATGTGACACCGGGACCCTCAACGCCTGAGTTTTCAGCGATGAGACTGCTCTGAGTTTGAGTTCTCCTTGTTCCAACATCCCAGCCTACCATTCTCATGGTGTGTAAACCGTGCTGATATTATATTTGAAGCTGAAGCAAACTCGGAAGGTAAATTTACTTTTTTTTTTGTTTGTTTTTTGAGACAGGGTAGAGAGTCTTGCTCTGTTGCCCAGGCTTGTCTCAAACTTCTGGGGTCATGTAATCCTCCCACCTGAGCCTCCTGAGTCATGGGATTACAGGCGTGAGCCACCACACCAGGCTTGAAGGTAAATTTAATGGGGGAGTGGGTACCTCCATGCCATTCACCTTAAAACCAGTGGAAGTGACTTCTCAATCCCTTGTTTGGAATCATCCATGCTAGCCTGTGCCTCTTCTGGTAGGGATATTTGAGAATTTCAAACATAAAAGGTTGTCCTAGACTTTCTTCACCCCCAAAAAAGTACCCAACAAGGTTAGAAAAATACAAGCAAAGTCAGTAAAATAAATACAAGATGTGTCCCTTGGGATTCAACCAACACACATTGTTTCCTAGCCAAAGGCAGAGGGTGAGCCACCACCTGGATGCTTCGTCTGCTTACTCAGACCCTGGCTGCTTCTCCACCTTGTGGCTTGGATACCCTCCATGCCAATTTACCCAATTTGGGTAACTAAGGGCAATTTATGCATTGGATCAGAGCCTTCTCTTTCCTACCCTTCTCTCCCTTCCCTGGGTCTTTGGCTGGAAGGTGCTGAGAGGCAGCCAGATTCTATCAGTGAAGGAATAAAATAAAAACCTTCAGAGATAGAGTCCAAGGGCAGGGCTGGGACTGGCAACGTTTTAGGTGGGGCAGGGAAGAGGAAGCAAAATTTTGGCATCCCGGAGGTCTGGGGAAATGATATTCATCCCTTACATCTGTAAACATGAGCTGCTTCACAAACCTGCCTTGAGTGTGCTTTTTTTTTTTTTTTTTTTTTTTTTTTTTAGACATAGATTCTCAGGGCCACTGGGTCAAGACCCTCACCCATCATCTAGCAATCTATATTTCTAAAAACTTCCTTGTGATGGTCCCAAAGATCGTACACGCTGAGTATGAGAGAGCTTTCACCACGCTGTTCCATTTTAATGTCACCATCACCCCATGGGGTCAGCAGGACTGTCCTATTTGCCTGAAGAGAGATTGAGGTCCAGAGAGGATGGAAGTGACTTCCCAGAGTCAAATAACTGTGCCTCCAGCCTAAGGCCTCTGGCTCTGAGTGTAGGACGAGTGCTCACAGAGAGAGGATATGTGCTTCGGGGTCAGACAGGCTCCAATGCAAGCACAGTGCCTGGCACATTTAGCCATCCAATAATTTATTTCCCACTTCCCTTGGCTAAGGTCACTCAACTAGGGAGTCGTACAGTTGGGATTTAAAAACCTGTCCTAGAAGCCTTCAAGCCACTTGAGTTCTTTACGTAGCAATGGAAGGGGTTCAGCTGGGGTTGCGCACGCAGGCAGAGTTGTGCAAACCTGGCTACATGTCTCCCTGTCTGAGATGTTCCTGGGCAATGGTCGAGTCCCAGGATCCTAAGCATCGTCTCTGACTAGCCCCACAACTCCACTTGGCTGCGATTTCCAGTCCAGGCTTAGTCTCTAGAGCCGTGGAATGGAGACAAGGAGGGTCTGACTCTCTTTTCTGAGGAAGGAACTTCCAGAGCAGCGGTGGAAACCCCGTGGGGAGCACATGTTGGCTAAGCACACAGTATTATTAGCTTTTTGACAGCTTCCCCTCAGGGCTTATCAGACTCCAAACCCAGGTAGATGCCACTGTGTCTAGACACAGAGTTGCTCCCCTCTAGGCTCCTTAGCACCCAGATGGAAGTGAGAAGAGTGTTTGGTACGGTTCTAGTTACTTTTTTCAGCACCCAGAGCCTCACATCCCTGCTGGAATTATCCAGGAACCTGGGGATGACAGCTGGTTATCCAGCCCAAGAATTCTGTTCGTTTTGTTCCACTAGGAAGACAGCCGTGGTGTCCCCAAGCCTCTGGAAACTGCCTGAGGCCTGGGAATCAGATGAAAACCAACACGCCGGGCTCCATGGGCACCCCTGGAAGCGGCCCCACTCCTGTTCCTTGTGTGCTGTTGATTGAGACTCAGAAGCAGGAGCCTCTCAGGAGGGGCAGAGCAAGGCAGGGCTTTGGGTTTGGAATGGCAGAGAACTGGTGCCTCCCGAGCACCATCCTCTGGGCCAGCTGCAACACCCTGGAACTGCGACTGCCACTCATTCTTCACAGACCTCAGTGGTCCCCAGGGGAGTTTTACTCCAAATTGCATTTGGAACAGCAGAAAGATGACTTGTTCCAAAGGAAGGCCTTACTAAGAAACGATGAGAAGCTGTGGAATGACTTTTGGAAGTGGGGGGTGCAGGGGCCCACATGAATGCACAGCGGTCTCACGTCAGCCCAGGAAGAGCTGTCTGTCCCTGTGAGCCACCGTGCTTCATTTTTAATAGGGAAAGGGCTTGAACTGCCCTGGGAAACTCAAGGAAGACTTCATTTCCACTCAAGGAAGGAATTCCTGGAAGAAACCAGAATGGGACAAAGACATGAAGGAGTGAAGGAGATAAATGACAGAAAAGTTTCTGTTTAAGCTGTTTTGAAATAGGTGGAATTTTTATCTTACTTGGATGCCTGTGAAACAGGGGAATGAACGGGATGGCCTGGCAAAGATCCTTCCAGCTGAGGACTGTAAAAGAGCCCATGCCATTTCCTAAGGATTGTGTGGGAGGGTGGGTGACGGTGAGTCGGTGGCCGGAGTGGGGTGCAGTGCGGAGCCAGCCCCAGCCACCTGCCATCCTCCCCCCGGCCACTAGAGGTCTCTGCTGATCCACCGGCTCAGACCACACTCACCAAAGCCTCCCAGAAGGCGCGTGCTGGCGGCTCCCCTGCCTGGGCTCGGGGCGGGTGGGGGTCGGTTCTGAATGTCTCCTTTCTGCTGGAAAGCTTGTCCTGACCTCTCCAGGGCACAGCCGCGGCCCGTCCTCTGGACTCTTCAAAGCCTCCCATCTGCCTTACATACTGGACACAACAGAATGGTTCTCTCTAATGCAGGCGTCGTCTTTCCCTAGCTTGGTGGCAGGCTTTTTGAGGGAAAGAGGGGTCTTTCTCTGAATTCCCCGAAACTGCTTAGCGCAATGTTAAGTGCATGGTACATGCGAGATACATGTGTGGTCTGACTTTGGCCTAAGGCTGTGGGTGTATTCCTGTGTGTGGTGGTGTGTGTGTGTTTGTGTGTGTGTGATGTGTGTGTTTGTGTGTGTGCCCGCGCAAATGTGCCTTAGGAGGGTGGAGAGGTTGTCCCTGTCCCCAGACACCCCTTCCCGGCAGCATCCCTCCGTTCTGGCAGAGCCAGGGCCCTGTCTTAGACCAAGAAAAGCCAGATTCCCAAACTCGGGAAAGCCAAGCACATGTAAACAAGCCACCTAATCCTGTTCTTGTTCCACTCCTGTTGGGGGCCTTGGTCTCAAGGGAAAGGCAGTTCTGGCCTGTGGGGACAAGCAGCAGCTGCTGCTCTTAAGGAACATTCCTTCTCAGGCGGGAGAAGCGCTCAGGTTTCACTAGCCTGGCGGCAAAGGCCACCCTC
The DNA here is from genome assembly GCF_000001405.40 of Homo sapiens. Classification (NCBI taxonomy): domain Eukaryota; kingdom Metazoa; phylum Chordata; class Mammalia; order Primates; family Hominidae; genus Homo; species Homo sapiens. The sequence goes on along the minus strand of NC_000011.10, from coordinate 125,404,279 downwards.
TGGTCTCTGGGCTCCACGGCTGCAGGGCTGGGGGTGAGGAACCGGCAGAAGAGACAGCTTTAATGCCTGTGACAGGCAGTGTGGCTCATTTTATTCCACTTCAGTCTAGGGATGCCCCCTGTCCATCTAAGTAGTGATCTTTCCAGGGTAGATTGCCCCCTACCCCAGCCCCATCCAGTCTTCTCCCTGGTCCTGTCCTCAGGATGCTTAGCCACTGGGCAGAACCTCTAGGGTCCTGGCTGAGGTGATGGCCCCCTACCCCTTCCGCCCCCTGCCAATCTGGAAAATCCAAAATTCCTTAGAGGTCAATAGGCAAGTGCCACCCTTCTCAGGTGGGGATGCATTGATTAGCCCCCTTCCTATTCTGCTGGGGAGGCGCAGAGCTGCAGAGTCGCATCTGGCAGCTGGGCCTAGCATCTCAGAATGTCCTCAACTTTGTACCTCTCATTTCCCTACTTCCAGTCTACTAGCAAATCCAAATTCTTGCTTCGTAGCAATTGGCTTCTTCCTCTGTAGTCCCTACCCCACTGACCAATAGCTAGGTAGGGTCATCACTCTCCACCCAGGTCCCAGGACCCCTGATTCTTCTCCCCATGTGTCACAAAAACATATCCCCATGTAGCAAGAAGAACATGGGCTCTGGAGTAGCCCATCCCGGACTCCAGCACTTGCTAGGTGTGTGACTTTGAGCCAGGGTCTTCACTTCTCTCAGCTTCTCTTTTCTTGGATGTAAAATGGAGAAAATCATGTGTACCTTGCAGCCTGTCATGAAGAGTAAATTAGATAATCTGTGGAAAGCACCTAGTACACACCATGTTTGAGACAGAGGGGAGCTCAATAAATGTTCACCGTCTCCCCTCCTTCTGCCAGCTCTTCTTGGACCAATACAAGATGTGGCTGCTCAATTGATTTGTCTCCAGCGTGTCTCCAGCCCTGACCCTGTTGCCTACATTCTCCACTACCTTTAAAGTCTTTAGCAGTCGGCCACCACTATTAGCCCCAAAACAGAACTCCCACACATTTGGCTTCAAGGTACTCCATCATTACACTTGGAGACCTGGGACTGTGTCGCATCCATTTTTTATATCCCCAGAACTCAGTAGGCTCCAGAGGTGCCTGAATGGATGCAGGATGCGTGAATGAATGAGCCCCCTTCACCCCATCTCCTCTCTAGGGATTCTGATTGGCTCTCTCTGTTTCTCGCCTTCTTTCAGACTTCTTGCTACATTGGAAACACTCACCTTTATAAAGGTTGCCAAATAGGCTACCAACTCTCACCAAGCCTGCCTGAAATGCCACCTCCCAGAGGAAGCCCTCCCAAGGCCAATGAATCTGTAACTTCTCCAATCACAATGGGCAAAATCCTCCTGTTGTCCTCTCCACTCTGTACTGAGGTTTGTTTATCCTATTGTGGAGCAGGAACAAACTGGCCATGAAGGTGTGAGGGCTGGGTCTGGGACTTGGTCCCCCTCTGAGGAAGGATGAAGGATGCTGAGTTGAGACTGGGGCAACCTCAAGCCACACATGTGGATCACCCAATCCAGAATCCCTGCCTGCAGCTCCTCTCCCCATCTCTTTGGCTGCTCCTTTCCTCTGTACTCTTGACCCTGAGCATTTCACGGCTGACATGATTTATCTAGATCCTCATTGTGACTCATGGCTCTCTCTCCCTGAGACTGGGAGCTCCTCTTGGACAATGGCTTGTGTCTGTTCTCACAGGACCTAGCACAGAACATACAGTGAGTGCCCCCCAAACGCTTGGCAATTGAATGAGAACCATGATTCAATCCAATTTGCCTGGAATAGAGCTGAGGCTTAAATCTCCACAGAGAAAAAAGGATGAATTTCAGGTCAAACTAATACTTGAGTGAGGTGTCTCTCTAGTGGAATGGTTCCATTTGCGCCCTCTAGGAAGGACAGGAGAACCCAGAGTAGGGTCTAGAACCAGTCTCCTTACAGAGGATCCTGCCCCCACAAGAAGCCTGGGCTCTGAGGAGTAGGAAGCCTGGGTGTCATTGGGTGCCTGCAGCACAGGATGGGTTCCTAGGGAGGGGGAAAATCTAGCTGTGGCCCAGGTCTTTGAAAGTCTGCTTTAGTCCCCTGCTTGGTAGAACAGTCTCCCTTACTTCCCATCTCCACTTTGCCCAGCAGAGAAGACTCACACAGAGAAATCGAAGGCCGAGCAGGAAAACGCTCAACCCATCGATCTGGATGGAGGACACGGCATAGCATCTGGGAGTGGGGATACCAAGTTGAAAACAAAAATGTCTCCCGCTTTGCAACACAAGGCTGGATGATTAGCACACAGGGAAAACCATGAGCCAGCAGTTTGCAACAAAGCTGGCAGGCGGCTGGAATGTTGATCCAGAGGATCATGTTCCAGAGGGGAGACACCCCTCCCCAGGCCAGGCTGGTGCTCAGGCTATTTCAGGCCGGGGGGATTAAGGGTGAACCATGACGAATGCATGTGCCCGCGTGTGCACACACATACACACACACACACACACACACACTCACAAGCTCCTTTTCTCTCTCTCATACAGGCTCCTGTGTCTTGAACCCAAGACCTGCCTCCTGCACTGAAAGTCTCGGTCCCCGATTCTTAGCAGCCCTGGGCCTCTCCTTCCTGGGAGAGCCCATGCAAGCCCGGCCCCTACCTTAGTGCAATAATGACAGGGGCCTGTCCTGGGAAGGCTTAAGAGACGTGTGAGTGTGCAAGTGGGCCGAGGGATGGCCAGAGAAGGCAGGAGAGCAGGTTAGGAAGCTCCTGCCATAGCCTATGTGTAATTACCGTATTTACCCCTGAAGCCTGAGCAAAGCAGGCAGTGGCAGTCAGAGAAAATGCAGGGGCAAGTTTGAGTAATACAACAGGAGCAGCACATAGCACATCCTCCTGACTTTCCCGCCTCCTCGTACCCTGGCTGCGCACTGAGCCACATGCATTGTCCTTTCACTTGCTGTCACTCTTGCTGCCGTTCCTCTCTCCGTCTGTCCTTCTGCCCCGTCGTTCTCAGTATCGTCTCCCTTTTCCTGGGTTTGTGTGCCTCCCTGTCTCTCTCTCTTGCTCTTTTCCTCCAATTCTTCAGCCTGTCTCTGCTTCCCTCCTGAATGTTGACCCTGCATATTTGGCTTTCTTTCCCTTTATTTTTCTTCCTATTTCTCCTTTCCTCCTTTGGCTTCCCCTTGCCCCTGCCCCCCACCCAACTTTCTTTCTCTCATTCCATTATTTCTTTCAATAAATACTTCCCGGCCATCTTTCTTGCACAAGACCTTGTGGTAGCCACTGCTGGGGTCACAGGGAGAGTACACTAGGACTCTGAAGGGATGAGTCTATTTCAAGAGACTATCAGCAGGCAGAGGCTGGAAATGGCTGTTTTTGGCCTATAATAAGGTGATTTGGTGATTTCAAACATGTAAAATACTGTCTCTGCTCAAAAAGTGTTATCTAGGATAGGAAAATGAGATGAACACAGGGATCTATAATATAAAGTCACAGTGACTTTTGCCATATCGATGGCTCAGCAAGCTCCACCAGTTAGTGGAGTGCAGGAAGCGTCCATTCTGGATGGGGCATCAGGGAGTCCTCCTGGGTGAGCAGCCTTGTTCCTACCCTTGGGGAAGAAGCTGGGTTTGGTTGTGCAGAGATGATGGGGTTGTGGGGGAGGTGTCACCCGAACAGACAGGCATGGAGTGATGGTTACAGCACCTTGAACAGTCAGATTGGCCCACCCAGGAAGGCTGAAGCCAGACCTAGGAGGGCCTTGAATGTCAGGTGGGCAGATGTGAAAGCCCTCCCTTCCACCCCCAGGGGCATGGCAAGCAGGGTTTCTGAGCAGGCGAATGACATGAACAAAGTTAGAAAGATGAATCCAGCAGCAGAAGCTTAAGAGATGCATGGGTGTGCAGGTGGGCTGAGGGATGGCCAGGAGAGCAGGTTAGGAAGCTCCTGTCATAGCCTATGTGTAATCACCGTATTTACCCCCGAAGCCAGAACAAAGCAGGTGGTGGCAGTCAGAGAAAATGCAGGGACAAGTTTGAGTAATACCAAGTAGGAATACCTCACTAGTGTCTTTTCTCTTTCTCAGTGCCTCGCTTGCATCACCCCCTCCCCCACACCCACCACGCAATTGTCTGATTCCTCTTTCCCAGCTGATCAATGGCCTTTCTGCCGTGGGTACCCCAGGGCCAGCCTCACTTCCAGGCAGAGATCTGATGCTTCCAGTGATAGGAATCAAAATTCTTCTGTCTTTCCTCAAAGCTCAGAAGGCTGAGTGCCGGGATTCTCCAGGGGGACTGATTTTTGCAGGTGGCAGCATCTCTGAGAACTTAACCATCCAGAGTCCGCGTTATCCTTTTCTGCAAACCCCACTTCTCCAGTGACCGACTGGTTTCTGCAGACCAACTTGTCAGTCTCAGACCTCCAACCCTGAGGGGGCTGAGGTGGCTGCTAAGCCCTCTGCCCCTCCTTCCTTCCCCCACTACCCTGGTGCACCCCCAGCTCCAGAGCTCGAGGTGGAGTTGGAGGGCCCAGGAGGGGAAATCCAGTGCCTCTCCAAGGACCTGATTATTTCCAAAGACTTGTGCTAATTTTCTGATATGATCCTCACATCTCTGTGAGGCACTAAATCCTCATTACTTTTCCTGACCGATGCATTCTAATTAGATCAACACTTAAAAAAAATTCACAATAGCCACAGGATGGCTTTCCATCTCATTAACTCCTCACTTATTATTTTCATGAAAATTACTGATAAAAATGTGCATCTCCATTTGGCGAGGCCTCACAGCCTCCTCAGCTCCTATCTTGCATCTCTCCCATCACCGGGACTGCGCAGCGTCACCATGGTAACCCACAATAATAGAAACTAATAAATTACAAACGAGATGCTCGTTGAGCAATTATTGTCCTCTTTTATGCAAGTTTCTTGCTAATTTTGATCATAAGGGAAAGTACAATAAGACTCTGAAGGAATGAGTCTATTTCAAGAGAATATTAGCAGGCAGAAGCCCGGGCGGGTGTTTTTAGATCTGTAATAAAGTGACTTGGTGATTTCAAGCGAGAGGAAGAGGAAGTAAACTTCTTGCCCTATGTCCTGGGCAGTACTCACTACGGAGTCTCACAAAGAGCCCACTGGGGTGGGTTGGATGTGATACCGAGTGTATCTTTTGTGCTTGTTGTCAAAATGTGCAAAGCAAGGCTGGCCTTCTAGAAGTCAGCCTGTCCCCTCCCCTGACTCCACCAATCTGGGGAGATAGAGTACATGGGTGGTTCCTTAGGGGTCTAGGGACAAAAACGGCACAGCCTTTCTTTGGCACTACTTCCAGCACCTCTCGGCACTCACTCCTAGAAAGTTTACCTGCATCCCCATGCCTGATTGTTTAATGAGAAGAGGCTACAGAGGACTCCTTGGGGACCCTCCAGGTGTCTTCCAGGACTCAGGAGCTCAGTGGAAGGGGAACAAAGTCTCAAGCCTGTGGCTTATGCAGATGTCTGTGAGTTGGGCGGGAAGGTATTGCCAGGCAGCTTTCTCGGTTTGTAGGTTTGGGGAAAATATCCTGCCCTGGAGGGGAAACCCCATCTTGCCCAAAGCGTGTAGTCAGCATTTCTGCATTTCCCAGGTCTCAGGAAGGAGGTGGCAGGGGAACCTGGGAACAGGGTGGTTTGAGGTGACCTTGACCATGGCCCTGAACCTTAGGGGGACAGAGATGCCAGAGTAGCGTGAGTGCCTGGAGAATGATTAGGGAGCAGCAGGCCCATGGGAAGCTGGCTTCACCCATTAGGTGGGCAGGATTCAGGGAATGACTGCTTTCCCCAAATGCCCTTTCCCAGAAATGCAGATGGCTCAGCAAGCCGCAGCCTCTTAAGAAGCCTGTCCCAGCTCATCCTCCAGGAGAGCTTTCCTTCTCCTTAGCTCTGGTGCTCATTCTGGGGGATACCTTGGGCCAGGAAGCCAGGAATGATTTTGGACATTGTCCCTCTCCGATCTGGTCATTTTCAAGGGAATACTAATGCCCTGGCAGGGCAGACTGTGTGTAAAAAAGGGATGGGATGGCCTAATGGATATGAAGAAGAGTGCATCAGAGGAGGGCCCTCATGGCAAAGGAACCCAGTGGGTCTAACCCAGTGAAGGTCACCAGGGGACCTTCCTCCACGCGTGGCTCCAGAGCTGGGCTTAGGAGCCTGGCTTAAGAGATGGGACCCAGCTCTGGGTGTTACCTGTGAGTGAAGGTTGATGGAGGGCTGGTTGGGGGAGTAGGGCCCCCCTAGATCATTCCTGAGCAGGTTGTCGCTGTGCATCTTGGTTTTGAGGCAGGTGATGTAACGGTTACAAAAGTCCTTGCAGAGTTCATTGACTTTCTCCAGCTCCAGCAGGTGGATTCTCAGGACCTGGATTGCCTTCACCATCTGTGGAGAGGGAGGAGAGGTGAGCCCAGGTGTTTGCATCCCATTTCCCTCACTGCCTGGACCCCCAGCCCCCACCACCCCAGGGGAGGGGAGCCCACCCCCTGCCGTAGCTCATGCTTCCTACACTTGATCTTGGCCAAAAGGCCCAGAAGTGGTAGGCGGTGCCTTCTCATCCCCATGACTTCAGTTCTAATGATGGCTCTCTGCTAATTATTCCTTTGCTCTGAGCCCTCTGTTATCACAGCTGTTCTTGAGGCAGTTGTGGTATTCTGAGAACAGCATTGGCCTTAGCGATGGGAGGCCAGGTCCAAGCCCCCGGCCTGTCATTTACTATCTGTGTGAGCTTGGGCAAGTTGCTCAAGCTCTCTGTGCCTTAGTGGCTAACAAATGGGGATAATTAGATTCTCCCTGACAACTTTACAGGTTTGTTGTGAGTATTGTATGAGGGCGTATACATGGTAGCACATTGTGAGGTGTGAAGGACCAGGCAAGCCTGAGGAAGATGGAGATCAGAATTTCTTATAAGTGCCTCTAGAGCTCAGGGACTGTCTATTCTTAAACAAGCATTCTGAGTGCCTCATGGGATACCGGTTACCTTGTGGACGCTCTGTGGATACTTGCTGATGGACTGAATAATCCAGCATGACTTAGCTGGGCACCAGCTACCTCACTGTCTGCTGTGGCCTTTTCCATGCCCTTTGGATTGCTGTACGGGAGCCTGCTGCCTCTTCAAATGGACATTCCTAACCTTTTCGTGGCAAGAAGCTATTTTGCAATTGAAGCTTTGCTCTTTACTGCTGTTATTATCATAAAAAGAAAATACTATGGAAGGTATGGAAAGCAGGGTGAAAAAAACCTGTCTTCGATCCAATCGCCTTAAAGAATGATTTTTTCCTACACCCATATATTTTAACATAGTTTCAATAACCTTGTGCATGCAATTTTGTTTTCTGTTTTTTCCCTCTAGTTTAGCAAATCTATTTTTCTAAGTGCCAGAATTGTTTTCTCTATCCTCTCTTCTAGACTATGAGCTTTGAGAAGGCAGGGATGATGTCTAATTTGCTCACCATGTTATCTTCAGCACGAACACATATGGATATGGAGTAAACATTTGCTGAATGGGTGAAAGTTATTGAGTAAACATATTTTTAAATGTTGCATATTATTTCATGTGTGTGCCATACTTAACCAGTCTCCTATTGTTAGGTATTTAGATTACTTCCAATTTTTCAATTTTATAAAAAATGTTACAGTGAATATTTTCTAAGCTTATAGCTTTTTTTTTTTTTTTTTAAAAGTTTCTGCATTATTCTTTAGGATGAATTCCCAGAAGTGACAGGAAAAAAAGCTATGAACGTTCTTGTGGATTATGATAAATATTGCCAAATTGCTTTTCAACAGGGGGTTGTTCAAATGGTGCTAGAATAATTAGACATCCACATGCAAAAAAACTGAATCTTGATTTAAACCTCATACCTTAGATGAGATTAACTCAAAATGGATCAAAGACATAAATGTAAGACAGAAAACTATAAACCTCTTAAAAAAAAACAGGAAAAAATCTTCAGGATCTAGGGTGAGGCAAAGAGATCTTAGAGTTGACACCAAAAGCATGATCCAGGCTGGGCACAGTGGCTCACGCCTGTAATCCCAGCACTTTGGGACATCGAGGCAGGAGGATCACTTGAGGTCAGGAGTTTGAGACCAGCCTGGCCAACATGGTGAAACCCCATATCTACTAAAATTACAAAAATTAGCCAGTGGTGGTTGTGCATGCCTGAAGTCCCAGCTACTTGGGAGGCTGAGGCAGGAGAATCGCTTGAACCCAGGAGGTGGACGTTACAGTGAGCCGAGATGGAGCCACTGCACTCCAGCTTGGGCGACAGAGCGCAACTCCATCTAAAAAAAAAAAAAAAAAAAGATGATCCAGTGAGGAACTGGACGCTGTCAAAATTAAAAATGTTTACTCTTCAAAAGACCCTGTGAAGAAGAGGAAAAGACTACATACTGGAGGAGAATATTTGCAAACCAAGTACCTGACAAAGGACTTGTATCTAGGATATATAAAGAACTCTCAAAACAAAACAGTAAAATAACAAGCAACCCAATTAGAACATGGTCATAAGACATGATTAGACATTTCACTGAAGAGGATATACAGATGGCAAATAAGCACAAGAGAAGATATTCAATGTCATTAGTCACTAGGGAAATGCAAATTAAAACCACAATGAGATATCACTACACACCTATTGGTATGGTTAAAATAAAAGAAATAAATATGACAACACCAAATGCTGGTGAGGAACTGGAGACTAGAACACTCAGACATTGCTGTTAAGAGTGTAAAATGGTACAGCCACTCTGGAAAACAGTATGACAATTTCTTACAAAACTAAATATGTGCGTACCATATGACCCAGCAATTGTACTCTTGGGCATTTATCCCAGAGAAATAAAAACATATGTTCTTACAAAAACCTGTATACAAATTGTTCAAAGCAGCTTTACTTCTAATAGTCAAAAATCGGAAACAACCCAAATGTACTTCAATGGGTGAATGGATAAAGAAACTGTAATTCATCCATATCATGGAATATAACTCAGCAATAAAAAAGAATGAGCTATTGATATGCCCAACAATGTGGATAGATTGCAAGGGAATTTTCCTGAGAGACAAAAGCCAGTCTCAAAGGATTATATACTATATGATGCCATTTACAAAACGTTTTTGAAATGACAAAATTATAGAGATGGAAGACAGAAAGACAGATTAGTGGTTGACAGCGGTAGAGTGGAGGAGGGAGGGAGGAACTGTTCTGTACTTTGCTATAACAATGTTTATGTGGATCTAAGTATATGATAAAATTGCACAGAACTAATTACATGTACACACACACACACACACACACACGAGGGCACGTAAAACTGGTGAAATCTGAATACAGTTGGTGGATTGTTCCTGGCTGTGAAATTGTGCTATGGTTATACAAGATGTGAATCAGGAGCTCTCTGTATGAGTTCTTATAACTGCATGTGAATCTACATTTATATCAAAATTAAATGTAACCGCTAGGAGCGGGTGATGCTTATTGCTTTTCCAGATCCATTTATGTTGACGCAAGCAATATATGGGATCTCTTTTTAGTCCCACCCTCCTAGCTTTTGGCTAGCTCCTGGATGCCTAGAGGAGAGTTTGGACAATATAAAAAGGGATGGAAACAAGGAAGGAAATCTCTCCCAGAGAATTGTGACTGTGAGGTGTGTGTAGAGAAGTGTGGCTTGAAGCCAGCATTACACCCTTCTCTGAGCCTCATTGGCATTTCAAGTGGGGAGCCCACATTCCCTGGGCTGGGCTTGTGGCTTGTCTGATGAGCAGGGATTGTGCTCAACTAATTAAGGGTTTTTGGAGTACTAAATTAGACCAAGTGTCACTCAAAGACAGAAAGCAGCGATTGTGTGTCGTCATGCAGGGCTCAGTCACAAGGTCTCCTCCTAAGAAGTACCACCTCTGTGGGGCTGAGACTGAGGGAGACTGAGCCATCCTAAGCAAAGAGGAAAATTGTGACTTTAGAATGGATCATTTGGACCCCAAAGTGGAGTTAAGTACTTAATAAAGATTTGTTCTTGCCTAATGTTCTACTTGACTTTGGCCACGAACATCTTGGTCTATGTCTCTCAGTGTAATGAGCACAGGATAAGGTACTTAACACATATGCGTTGCTGGATTGTTAATAATACCCAAACGTTTCTTATTCAGACTGTGTCTCAGGCACTGTGTTAAGCCCATTCCAGGCCTTATTTATTCCACACAACCATCTCATTAAGTAGGTACCATTATTGCTCATATTTTGCATTTGAAGAAAATAAAATCCAAAAATATTACGTTTCCTTGCTTAGAGTCACACAACTGGTGAGCGATATGAAGCCAGGTTGCCCCACCCCCCACCCGTGTGCCTTGTCTTTCAATATGGACTCTCAGGATTATGTAGGTAGAGGAAGTGGTAGTATAAAGGGTGCGTGGTTTGGGAGAAAGTGGCTCAGTGACAGCAAGTACGGGGTTCTAGGAAGCCAAGTAGCTTTTGAGACATCAAAGTTTAGGATTTCCAGAACCCTTCCTGGTAATGTGCCTTTTCTCAGCTGCTCTGATCTCCCATCTCTCACTCCTGGCACAGCCCCCCGGGGTCCAAACACCTCACCAACACAGGTGCCTGCTTCTCCATGTGCACACGGAGAGGGCTGGACTGTCAGGTCCCTTACGTTTTCTGACTCTCTGAACATTACCAGGACTTCTGCCCTCAATTCACGCCTGATGGTGTTAGAATGAACCCCACACGGTGACCTGGACCAGCCTCTAGGTGGCTGCACAGTCCAAACTCATCAGGACACAGGCTGCATCTTCTCCTCCAGCCTCTCCCGGTCACTGGGCGATGACCTTGTTGCCTCGGACCTTCTCCATATTCTCTCAGTCTGCTGATTAGAAGCTTTTCCTTATATTCAATCAAAATCTCTCCCGCCTTAATGTAAAGTGCCTTCTGTAGGCACCAAGAACATCGAGGAACTTCTAGGACCTCTATCAACACAACTTCTTTTTAATTTAATTTTATTCATTCAACAAGTATTGAGTCTTACTATATGCCACATATTGGACCAGGCATCTGACTTGAACAAGTTGTTCAATTAACTTTCTCTTCTCTCTTTTTTTTTTTTTTTTTGAGACGAGTCTTGCTCTGTCGCCCAGGCTGGAGTGCAGTGGCGCGATCTCGACTCACTGCAAGCTCCACCTCCTGGTTCACGCCATTCTCCTGCCTCAGCCTCCCAAGCAGCTGGGACCACGCCCGCCACCACGCCGGGCTAATTTTTTTTTTTATGTATTTTTAGTAGAGACAGGGTTTCACTGTGTTTCCCAGGATAGTCTCGATCTCCTGACCTCATGATCCGCCCACCTTGGCCTCCCAAAGTGCTGGGATTACAGGCGTGAGCCACCGCGCCCGGCCAAACTTTCTCTTTTCTAGACAAAAACGATCGTCATTCCTTAAACCTTTCTTCTCTTTCCCTTCCCCGTTCCTTCTTTCCTCCCTCCTTTCTTTCCTTTTTTCCTTCTTTCTCACACACATACATATATTCACACATACACAGAGAAAAGTGCACTTACCTATTCATTTATTTTAAATATATAACCAATTTATACTTACTTTATAAAATCAGAAAATACAGGTAAGTAAAACAAAAGTAAAATATACTCAGAAGAGCTTTGCTCAAATAAAATACACGCACAGCATGTTTAAACCAGGTCTGGTGCACAGTGACCAAAAGTGGACTTATCCTTTGGTCTAATAAAGTGCAGCTGAAGGATTACTTTTTTATGGGCTAATGGAATTGGTTGAAAGATTTAAGGAGGTAGAGTAAATCATAATGGTATTCTGAGGCAATGAATATGTAGGACCTGTTCAATATTAGAAAGGTAGGCAACACTATCAATGTTAGAGGGCTGCCTGGCAGGGCAGGAACACTGTGGGTTCATTGTCAGGCAGCCTGGATTTGAGTCCGAGCCCGCTCTCTGTTAATTGGGTGCCGTTGGGCAAATTCCATGATTTCTCTGAGCCTCAGTCTCTTTACGTGTAAAATGGGGATAATGTTCATCTCTAACTCACAAGATTTGAAAGGGGCTAAAGGAGATAATGATGTAAACATGCTTTATAAACCACAGTAAACCAAATGCATGCAAGTTGTAAAAATAATCTCTTCTAATAATGTCTGATATCCCATTGGCTTTTCTACTGCTATTCTACGTCCAGCCAGTGAAAAAATAGTAACTCCAAGGGTCTTTTTTGCTCCCATATTTGTGTTTAGTAAATCATCCTCTATCCTGTGTTTACAATTTTGGATTTTTGTCTCCAAGTTAGAAAATTCTGATTTATTAAACTATTTTTCTAAATGATCGGGGTCATGTGAAAATTTATTCCAAATCTTCTAGGGCAATAACAATGCCACTTAATTCAACATCACCGCCAAATGTGGTGAATGCATCCTTAATTCCTCTCCCCAGGTGTTGCTCCATCTTTCAGCTTCTTTCCCTCCCTTCTCTTTCAAAATAATGATTCAGCCCTCTTTTTCTAAGAAGTCTGCATCAAAAAAGCAAAACAAATGCAACCTCACATTTTAGTCTCCTACCACTGTACACAAGTCTCACAGTCCCAGGAAAGTACACAAAAATGGGGTTTCTTATTTTCTATAAAGCCATGTCGTCTGATGTCCCACACTGATTATTTTCTGCCTTGATATTTTGAACAAGTAGTTTGAACTTTATCTGCAAAATTTAGGATGACAATAATACCTACACTTCAGAGTTGTTGTGAAAACTGAATAAGATCATGTATGCAAATGTGTTGGGCATATAGTAGCCATTCAGGAAATGTCAATTCCTCATACCACTGTGGTATTATGGTCCTCCCTCCACCATCAAATGCCTCTCTCAGTGTGCCTCTCTTGTAGGATCGTGGCCTTTCCACTTGATAATAATAATTTCTTGCCTTTCAAAACGTTTGTATACACAGCACTTTACAATTTACAAAGTGCTTTCTCTCCATTATCTCATTTGAGTCTCGTCACCACAGGGACACAGGCAATATTATCTCTCCTAGAGATAAGGAAATTGAGGCTCAGAGATTACGGAACCCATTCAGCTCCATGCAGGAATTAGGGAGGCATCTTTGTTTTGCAGGCACATTCCTTTCACCCTCTCCTTCCTTTTTGCAAATTGGGAAGCTGGAACTATTCTCCCTCACGGACAGAAGAAGGAATTTATAAACACACATTCCTTAACGTGCTATGATATTTCCTGTGGGTCACTGTGCCTGCCAATGCTCAAATCTAATCAGGAATTTTTCCAGACCAGGCCAGCTTGGCCTGACCATTTGGAAGTGTGGGGTCACTAGAACAAAAAATGGGACATGAAAAAAAGGTGAATACCAGTGATTGGAGAACTGCCTGATGATTCGGGGACAAAACAAATATTTTGTGGAAACCATCACGCAAGACAAGTCAAATCATTTTGGAGTCAATAACCTGGCACTCTCCTTCTGATGGCCTCAGAATTTGGGAAAGAAGTGGTACCGAGGAAGGAGGGTGGGCTTCAGGAGTTAGAGCCACTTGGTTCAAATCCCAGCTATGTAATTTATTGGCTATAGGGTTCTTAGTCCTTGATTTCTTCCTCTGTCAAATGGGGATAATAACAACTACTTCATAGGGGTCTTGTGAGAATTAAACAGCAAAGAAGACACTCGGGGCTTTAGGTCTTGGGTGTCTTGGGTCTTCCACCTACGGTGAGACACTGAAGAATTTACATAATCTCTAAGCTGTAATTTCCTCACCTGGAAAATAAGATAATAATAGTGACTCCTCAGAGTTGCACTGTGGGTTAAATAAGATGTAGCTAGAAGAAAATGAGAAACAAGACCTGGCCCAGAGAAAGATGGAAGAAGATATTAGCTCCAGAGCTGCTTTGGGTGTGGTCACTGGAGCGCGAGTCTTGCACTGTATTTGATTCCTGCCTGGGCCATGGACCAGCTGCATGATGGTGACTGCATCTCTTGCCTCAATTGCCTCCTCTTAAAATGGGGATAATAGTAACATGTGCCTTGTGGGTTTAGAAAGAGGATTAAATAAGATAATATATGTAAAACAGTTGGAACGGTACCCGGCACCTGGTAAGTGCTCTATAAATGTTCATTATTACTAGCGTTGAGGATTCCCATTTCCTTTCCCTTTCCTGGTGTCTGTGGGATTTTCTGCTCCTGTCTAGGCAAAGAGAGCCCGGACTGAAGGCCAAAGTGGCTAAGTCTCTGAATGCCGCTGGCCTGAGGCCTCTGGGCCCAGAGCTCTGGCCTGATTCCTTCAGGTGCCTCCTTATCCACAGCCTCCGCCTCTGGCCCTGCCTCTTCAGAGTGGGCCCAGGGGCCTGGGGGTCCCTATTTTAGAGCTGGCTTTGCGGTCAGGCAGCCGTAATCTGTCCCTCGAGCCACACCAGAGTCTCATTAAAATGTACCCCATAAATGTTAAAAAATTTACACATAAAAAAATTCCATGCATGAAACTGAAACCGTACGTTTTACAGCCACGGTTTGAAATCTTGCATAATATATAAAACCTTGGCCCTGCACCGGGGGCCCGTAAATCAGATTTTATAAAACAAAAAGCTTTTACCTTTCAAAGGGTTTTGGGGAACTTGCAAATTTTACAAACTTTACCAACTGCCAGTCAGAGGCTGGTGGGCCCAAGGAGGGGATCTGTGGGCCCAGCTTAGGAATCGTCCTGGTGAGCCCCTGCGGCTATGGGAATTGGAGTGGAGGGAGTGAAGGATGAAGCCGGCCTTTCCCAGGGGAGCCAGCCAGGGGCATTGCAGCTTGACCACCATGAGGGTGGAAAGCCACCCGCGTCCCCTGGAAATGGGGAGGTAGAGTGTGGGTGTACGGAAAGAGATATCGGGGGCACTTTTATTTGCAAGTGAAGGAGGAGTGGTGGTGTGATGTTGTGGGCAGAGCGGAGGATCAGGAGTCAGCTGACCTGGGTTCTGGTCCTGGCAAGTCACTTCCTTCTGTGAACTTATATCCCAGGCTATAAAAGGAGATAGGGCGTGCTTCTCCCTAGGGTTTTTTGTTTGTTTGTTTGTTTGTTTTTGAAATGGAGTCTTACTTTGCTGCCCAGGCTGGAGTGCAGTGGCATGATCTCGGCTCACTGCAACCTCTGCCTACTGGGCTTAAGCAATTCTCATGCCTCAGCCTCCTGAGGAGTTGTGATTACAGACATGTACCACCACACCTGGCTAATTTTTGTATCTTTAGTAGAGACGAGGTTTCGCCATGTTGGCCAGGCTGGTCTCGAACTCCTAGCCTCATGTGATCTGCCCGCCTTGGACTCCCAAAGTGCTGGGATTACAGGCATGAGCCACGGTTCCCGGCCCTCCCTAGGGCTTTTACCTCTAATGGTTGATGAATCTGTTTCTTCTCTGGTAGGGGTGCTGTGGGAGCAGGTGGCTAATGGAGGGAGGGAGGTTCCCACTGAAATCTACAATCTGGGAACCTCTCTGATCTTCGGATCAGCCCTGGGTGATTGTGGGACACAGGGGAGTGTGGTACAGGGCAACTTGCTTGGGGGACAGGGGGGCGGCCAGCTGGGGATGGGGAGGATTTGAGTTCAAATGCGGGGCTTGTTGGGGCTGGAGACCACAGGCTTACAGGGCCTGGGAGAAAGCAGGGCCCAGCTGGGGCTTGAGGACCCTGGGGGAGAGAGGAACTTCCAAGGGACAAAGTTTTTGGGGACCCAAGTGCCCTCCTGACAATCCCTATGAAAGTCAATATTCAAGGGCAAAGGAAAGCTGCCCTGACACACATATATATAAGAAATAAATCTCTCAATTATCTCAGCTCATTTGCTTGGGGTCTCTCATTTTATGTCCCTGCTCGGCTGCGCAGTATATCTGTCCGGATAAAGAGTTACAGTCCGTTGGGCTACGTGTGCGGGGTTGTAAAAAATACAGATGCCAAATTAACTGGCTGTGGCACTTGGCAGCTGATTGAGCTGATAATGACGCGATCTGACCTTTTTCTAATTTCTAATTATGTGCATCTTGGCTGTGCTGGCTACATGATTCTTGTTCTAATGATGGCTCCGGTGGTTGGCCTCTTTACCTCCCACTTCCTGACACAGGACCAGGGGTGGGGGTGGCAAGGGGCACTGCTTGACTCCCCACATCAAGTTTCATGGTCCCGGCCGCACGGTCTCTTTGGTGGCCAGGATATGAAGTTGAGGAACTGGAGCACCTTGACGGAGGGGCCCTGCACTTGAGATTAACCTTCCAGATGACAGGCATTTTTAAAGGCCATTTCCCAGTGCCATCTCATTAATTTTGTATTACCATCACACGAGATAGGTGTGTTAGATCTACAGATGAGGAAACCGAGCTTCAAAGGAGTTAAGTCATCCAAATCACACAGACAGTAGTGGTGAGGCTCAGATAGCACTCTTTCAAATATCTCCATTTACATAATCAGCCAGTCAATCAACCAGTCATTGACCATGGCTAACTCAACTAGATAAATCAGGTGCACCCAAGTAGATGGAATGTCCAAGGATTGCTCCACTGGCTGGACACTCCCAGCCCAGTGCCTGAGATGGAAGACCAGGGAACGCTGGCAGTATGGGGCCACCAGGGCAGCTTCCACAGCAACCACATCCCTGGGTCAGGCCTGGCATGGGGCAGACACTCAACCAAGTTCTGTTAGATTGATTCTAAATATGATTCTTTGAGTGAACAGAACCCTGGGGAACCTACCTCATGTTGGCCAGGAGAGAGCATGGAAGTGGCCACCTGGGCGTTTTCCAGGCTGAGCTAGGATGGGAGGCCGTTCTTGGTGGGTCTCCAGAGCTCACCTGGCAGGTGGTGGTGGGCAGGGCATGAGAAATTTGTTCCCCCAGAACTCCTCCCTCTTAAGAAGGTATAAGTTATTTCACATTAGCTACCCAGTTTACTTTTTGATATTTCCTTACCAACTTAGGCCTCAGTTTCTTTTTGTGTCAAATGAAGGGAGTGGGCCCCACCCCCCAGGTCCATCCCAGCTCCTACAGAAATGGCTGCGGCATCTCCTGGCCCCCTGGCTGCCATGGGTCTAGGTTGTAAGGATCTGCTCCCCGACTGCAGTCTATGGTTCTGATCAGCCGGAGCACAGGGCAGAGCAAAACCAGCCTGCAACTGGAGCACCTGCACAGGGCAGCTTTCCCATGGGACCTGAGAGACAATGGCCTGCCTCCTGGGAAGGGGGCTGCCAATCCCAGCCAGGGAAACGGATGCCCCAGGATGAAAAAAGGTGGCTTTGGGGCTCTCGGATGCCTTCACTGACCCTCCCGACAGCAAGCGAGCCCTTATCCTCTGGCAGGGCCTCCTCTGCTCTTCAAACACTCCACCCATCATGACACTTCACAAAGCTTCTGGCTAGGGTGGGCTCTCCTGGCAGCTCTTCTGGACTCCATACAGTCACATATTCAGCTCTTGAGAGAAGCGGTGGTGTGGATAATTCACAGCACAGAATACCAAAGCCAGTTACACCGGTTCTGCAGATGCAGTGTGTGTGTGTGTGTGTGTGTGTGTGTGTGTGTGTGTGTTCTTTTTCTTCCTTTCTGGAACCACATTTTCTTTTCTAATTCTGTTTCCCTTTTGGAAGTAGGTACCAGTTAAACTCTAAATGCAAGAGGATAGCACTATCATTAATCAATTTGTGGGGGAGAATTTTTACAGAGTTTCTAAATTCACTGTGCATAACCTCGGTAATCCACCCACAAAAATAAAGAATTGTGGTTAATAATTCCAAGATGACTAGTTAGAGTAATGGACAAACAGAGAAACCTCTCTACTGCTCTCTCCACAGAATTTCCAGAACTAGATGAGAATTCAGATGTCATCCAACTCAGTGGTTACCAAACCTAATGACAATTGCAACTGCCCAGGAAACTTTTTAAAATGCAGATTCACAGGCTCCCACCAAACTCACTGAATCACAATTCCCAGGCGGTGTGGCCTAGAAATATGTATTTTTATAAAACTGTAGTTATGCTCTAGTTGACAAATTAGGTTTGGGAAGCTGATCTACCCTGTCCCCAGAATGAACAGGTCCTCCACTGGTCTCCTCAGCACATCGATGTCAGGTCTTTCTCTCGATTAATGTGCTCCAACACATTAATACCTTCATCCTCCATACAGTGGCACATCAACTATTAGCTCCTCTCTGGACAGCCCAAGACAGATTTGCTAACATGCCAGGACTCCAGGACTCAGAACAGCTACCCCAGATGTTCTGGCTGTTATGACCCTTCTTTCCTCCTGTCTGCACTGTAAAAGGGTGGGTGCTAAGATGCTAGTGCCACCCTGGGCATAGATGGGCAGAACTTTGGCAGCAAAGCCTGTGCATGGAACTCTTGGTTTAAGGCACTTAGAAATGGTTGTTGGCTGCAAGACTGGTGCATCTAGTGCATGACTCATGGTGGGCACTCAAAACCTTTTGTTGGTAAATTAATGAAAGGATCATTTCTAGGGCATTTTGAAGGGGGTCAGAGGGTAGGAAGACTCTAGCCAGGGTAGAGGGTGGAGGGTCTTTACCAGATTGTCCAGTTCTGGGTCATCGCTGAAGAAGGGTTTGTGCTCCTGTTCCTGCTGGTGGACAAAGTTCTCGATGTCCACATCAAAGCTGGCGGAGGTGATGCACTCAGAGCCCTGGGTGGCCTGTTCACATTTCTCAAACAGCAGCGTCAGGAGCGGGAAAAGAGGGTGCCTGCAGGGACATCAAGAGCTCACACATGCGCACACACAGAGACCGTGCTGCTACCTGTGCTCAGAAGCCACCAGGCTCCCCTGCCCACGTTCCCCTCACTTCTCCCAAGGTCCCACTCCTTGATAACATCCCCAGTCCCTATGGTCAATCTAGATGGCAGCACTTTGTGCCTTGGCAAGGAGGGTCCACTCTTCCAGCTTCTGGGCTTAAGAGGCTTCTGTCCCTACCCACTGGTCGCCTACCTTTTCTCTTTGGTCAGATAAACTGCATGAATATTTGGGGAGGGATGATGGATTATAAACCTTCCAAGAAGTAGGTGTCCATTTCTGGCTCAGAGTCAACCTAGGAAGGAAATGTGGGGAGTGTCCAGAGAAGTCCTGGATGTGAACATTCGTGGTAGGTCATAGATCCATTCTTGGCTTTCTGGAGCCAGCTAAGGGTGGCAGATGTGCACAAACACTTGTGTGCTTGCAAGTGCATGCAGGAGACATACGTGAGCCTGAAGACTCATCCACACGTGGTGGGCAGATGTGTCCACCTGTCCTGAGTCTTGGTAGACTCAGTTTAGGTCAGATACCCCAGTGTGTTAGGTCATCACACAATGATGCAACGATTATTTACATCACTATGTGATGCAAATCATTTGCTCACTGTTTCCCTCTGAGACTCTACCTGACTTAGTGATCCTGATATCCCTAAGACCTTGGCATGCATGCTCATAGCAGACACTTAATAAATATTCGGTGAATGAAGGAATCAATGAGTGAAGAGGGTATGTGTGGTGGTCGGGGCGGGGGGTTCTATGACATCTAGATGTGAGCCAAAGTGTTTACCTAAATGGCTCTATGGATCTTTTTGTTTTTTTTGAGACGGAGTCTCGCTCTGTCACCCAGGCTGGAGTGCAGTGGCTTGAACTCGGCTCACTGCAAGCTCTCCCTCCCTGGGTTCACGCCATTCTCCTGTCTCAGCCTCCTGAGTATCTGGGACTACAGGCCTCCGCCACCACGCCTGGCTTATTTTTGTATTTTTAGTAGAGATGGGGTTTCACCATGTTAGCCAGGATGGTCTCGATCTCCTGACCTCGTGATCCGCCCGTCTCAGCCTCCCAAAGTGCTGAGATTACAGGCGTGAGCCACCACCCGGCCTGGCTCTATGGATTTTATCTTGGAGATCAGCAACTCTTGAAAGCTTTTCTGACTCCTGACCCCCATTCCCCCACCGCCAAACCTACACTCATAGTCCCTGAGTTGTTTGTTTTATTGTCTGCCTTCCTCACTAGACTGTGAGCTACATGAGGGAAGGAATCTAGCTCACCTTATTTATCACTATATGTCCAAAGTCTAGTCAGATGTATGCGGATCTCAAAAAGTATTTGGGAAATATATATGTTTTATGTGTGTAGGTGTATTTGCATGTATAAGTCCACAGCACCTTTATTTCTACAGTATGTGTGCATGCGAGTGCATGGGTTGTTGACACTGGACTCCAGAGAGTCCCATTCCCTTCCACTGCAGTTCCAAAAATGCATCTCACAGCCCTCTCTGGTCTGTCTCCCCAGGCTCCTGGAACTATGCAATGTAGGTTTTTGTTTTGTTTTGTTTTGTTTTTTTTGTTTTTTGATGTAGTCCCATTTGCTGGGCAAGGAGGAGGAATGTGTGTTGGACTTGGACCTGGCCCCCATGCTTCTGCTCAAGGGGATGGTCTAGCCAGTGCTGTGCAACAGAACTTTCTGCAATGGTGGGAATGTTCTGCAATCTCCACTGCCCCATATGGCAGCCACTAACCCCATGAGGCCAATGGATACTTGAAATATGGCTGCTGTAACTAGGACTCTGAACTTTTAATTTTACTTCATTTTAGTTACTTTAAATTTAAGAGGTTACATGTGGCTAGTGACTACCATACTGAAACAGTAAGTCTTTGTTTGTTTGTTTTTTTGACAGTCTTGCTGTGTCATCCAGGCTGGAGTGCAGTGGCATGATCTTGGCTCACTGCAACCTCTGCCTCCAGGGTTCAAGTGATCCTCTTGCCTCAGCCTCCCAAGTAGCTGGGATTATAGGTTCCCGCCATCATGCCTGACTAATTTTTTTTTTTTTTTTTTTTTTAGCAGAGAGGGGATTTCACCACTTTAGCCAGGCTGGTCTAAACTGTGACCTCAAGTGATCTGCCTGCCTTGGCCTCCCAAAGTGCTGGGATTACAGGTGTGAGCCACCACGTCCTACCGAGAACACAACAAGTAAGGCAAACAGGCAATGGTCTCCCCTCCAGCACACCGTGACGGAGCACACAGAGAAGGACTGAATATCTAGCTTACATGGTATTTGTAAGTGGGTGGGGGAACCCCTAGGAGCCTGTCCATCTTGGAATTCTAACAATTTTGGACAAAAAGACAAAGTGCGTACCCCCATCCACACTCACACTCGCATTTTATGAGTCTTTCTACTCAGACTCAGGGGTGGTGGGGGAGGAAAAGAGAAATTCCTGCTCCAGAGGAGCTGCTGGGCTTGGCAGAGCCTGTCCCTGCACACTCTCTCCCCGACCCTGGTTTTGGAAGCCGATGCCTAAACTGCTGGGCCCCAGGGCTGCAGACTCGGTGTGCAGTCTGCAGAAAAAAAGGGTCAATATTTAAGGGTGGCCTATTTGCTGCCCCAAACTGCCAGGAGATCCATTGAGAAAGATCTACCGGGAAGCTGGTAGGGAAAACAATGCGTTAGCTTAGCCATTCGGCTGAAGACAAAGAGAAAACCAGGTGAAGGGGTTAAACTCCAGTATAAGTCTTCATTTGCAGCCACTAATACTGCAGCATATTATAGTCTAATCTAACCTGATCCCAGTTTAATGCAAGATTCTCCTGGCCCTGAGTGGAATACCAAAGAAAGCCTCAGTGGCTGTAATTTAAGCAGAGCCCTGCAGTGGTTTAGCTGAGGGACATGAAAGGCAAATTCCAGACGGTGTTATGAATTATTGCGCCTTATGAACCTCCCTACTCTCAACAGATGCCTGCTGCCATTTAAACAGCCACTAGATCAATTAGGAATGAAAGGCACAAATCGACTCTGTACAAGGGCACTAAATTACCAGGAACTAATAATCCGCAGCATCGTGCCAGGTGGTGGGGGTGCGGCCCCCGCTGCAACCCCGTGGCAGCTGCGGTCACCGCACATTCCTTTCTCACTGGTTAGTTGGAGGGAGGGGACAAAGTGTGTGTGTGCTTGTGTGTGTGTGCGCGTGCATATGCATGTGTGTGCACCAAGGTTATATGCAGGCTGTCAATGAGAACAAGTGTTGTGTGGGGTCCTGTGTGTTTTCATTGTGTGCACACGCAGTGTTGTGCTAATGCTGTATATAAGCACAGATGGGTAGTGTATGTAACTGGGGTGCTGATTTTGTGTGCTGTGAGCACAGTGTGCATGTTCTCTGTGCTGTTTGTATGCAATATGTGTGTATGTGTACAGGGATGGTGTGTTCTGTGTACACAGTGTGAGTGGCATGTGGGGTAAGGACGGGACATCTGCCACGACTGTGTCCCCCAGCTACTAGCACTAGGCTTTGGGTAGGGAGAGGAGGGTGATCTCCTCTGCTTCTGTCCTTGCTTCTGCAGGGAGGAGCAGCTTTTCTTAGAGTGGTCAGGGAGAGCCTCTCTGCGGAGGTGACATTTAAGTTAAGCCTCGGATGATGAGACGTAGTCACGCAAGGAGCTAAGGGACTGGCGTTCCAGCAGGAGAAAAAGCAAAGCATTTGAGACAGGAATGAGCTTGCATGTTTCTGGAACAAGATGTAGCTGAGTGTGGCTGAAGCCAGGTAGGCAGGTGGGGAGTGGAGGGAGAGGAAGTTGAAAAGGCAGCAGGAGTCAGATCATGAGGTGCCTCGTGACAGAGCTGGGCTTGCAGGGATGGGGTGGGAGGCATTGTCACATACAGCAGGGAACATGCACCTCCTCTGCAGAACCACAGCCAGGGTCTGTCTTCTAAACCTCCTTCACTTCCAGGTGTCAGATCTCCCCAGAATGGCTATGTGTATGTATGTGGGGGCATATCTGGGGGTGTCTTCTGTGGCTCCTGCTGTCTCAGAAGAAAGGAACATGCTGCCCATCCTTCCCTCCAAGTTAACTAAGAGTCTATGGAGCATAGGGCAGACTTTACAGGTACTGGCCTGGCACCCTCTCTCCAGCTGCTCTGCAACCTGAGGACTGAGCAGTCAGGGTTGGAGGGCAGGGTACTGTCAGCCCCCAGATCCTCTCTTCTCCTACCCCAGCCTCCCCATGCTCCAGCGTCTGGCTCCTCCCATCCCATCCCAGAGCCCTGTTGCTCTCTCAGAGCTCAGACAGCATCTGAGATCACCCACAGCTTTTCCTGTGATCCATGGTCATGGTCAGCGGGGCGCCTGTGGCTCCCATGCTCCATCCACCTGGCCCACTTGATAAACCCAGACACTACCTTCTACCTCATGCATGGGGATACCTGAGACACTGCACTGCCCACTGAGAGACACGCTCCATTTCTCAGCGACTCCGTGGGTTTTGTGGCTGCAGCGTGGTCCTGGGCTTCTCGCAAGCTGTTCCCAACACAGTTATGGGAGAGTCACCTCCCCTTCCCCAGGTGCCCAGCCTGTACCTGCCTAAAGGCTGACTTATATTGTCTAAGCTACCCTCCAACATCACCCCCTAAAGCATGAGAGGAGGCTGGCAGCCACTTTGGAAAAGTTCTTCCCAGCAGTCTCGGCTGCAGGCTTGGGGGTCTACCCTGAGGGCAGAGCCCATGAGAGCTGCCATCAAAGCCACCTGTAATACAAATGGCCCTGTGTGAGCCAGGGATGGGTGGGGAGAAGGATTCCCAGTTAGAGGAGAGACTTTGGCCTTCCCTGAGCCTCAGTTTGTCCCACTACAAAATGGTTTTTCAGGAGTGCTTCTTCCTGCTGTCCAGATATCTTCCACTGTGGGTCCACATCCTCCATGGGCTAGAAGCAGAGATGTGGACACTTGGTGTCCAGTGCCGAGTGTCGATGATGATGAGTGGGATGTGAGGAATGGTCATTAGACTTTATATCCAAAGAGCTGAGGACATGTGACCTCCATAAGAGCTCACCTCCTCCCTCCCAAACCCCTTCTTCGCTCTTCTCTCCCCATGTCGCCTCCCTCCCGACCGCCCCCTCCACCCCAATCTCTCTTAAGCCGTTCAAAATTTGGAGGAAATAAATCTCTCTGCACTAATTCAGTGAGCGTTTGAGCCTCGTCAGTGCAGAACAAATAAAAGGAGTGAACTGGCATGACATTTTACTGCAGAAGAGAGGTCGTTTCCAGCCACTAATAAAAAGGATTTGACACAGACTAATAAAGAGAAATGAATTTCTCTAATGGCCTAATTTAGCACATTCAGCTCTGCGCCTCCGCCTGGGTGCCGGGAGGGCGGGCGCCTTCCCCAGGAGCGCGGACACAGGCAGGCAGGAGGGAGACGCAGCTCAGCTCAGGGAGAGGGGAAGAAGAGATGATCGCGAATAACATTTTATTATTTCTTTTCTCCTTTCTGAGTCCCCCATCCCACCCTCCACCCCCTACCCTCATCACCTCTCCCCAGGAGCATCTGAACTAAAATCAAACTTAAGATATGCAGTTCTTGTTAACGATCCAAAGAAATAAAGAACCCCTCTCCACAGAATTGCAGTCTTGTGCTAGCTTAAGAAGGTGATTAAACCAGATGTGTTGATTTCTACAGGGGTTTAAGCCATCGTTGGGTTTAATTACTTCTGACATTTCTGCCTTCGTGTTTTTTACATCACCCAAATTTGCTGGTCTGGAATGCCCAGTTTGGGGCCAAGGTGTGTGCAGCTGTCCCCGGGAGAGGCGATTAGAGACAGGGCAGTATGTTGGCTGCAGCCCTGTGCAGAGGTTAGCACCACCCTCTCTCTTAGTAACAGAGAGGCTGAGACCCCTCAATCAACACCAAAGCCTTGGAGAGCATCATGGGGCAGGCAAGATTCAGCAAAGCCCACATATTCCTCCCCACCTCAAGACAGATATTCTTAACATAAATCGGGCTGACAGATTGCCCTAACATTTTTAAAGGCCTTCAGGAATGGACCCCGCAACTTCCTTGGTAACTCTTATGCTCATATATAACTTAAACTTCCCCTATGTGGCTGTGGCTAATTTCTTTTTATTAAAAGACTCAAAAAAAGATGGCTGGGTCCTTGGCTGGGCATGGTGGCTCACGCCTGTAATCCCCAGCGCTTTGGGAGGCTGAGGCGGGTGGATTACCTTAGGTCAGGATTTTGAGACCAGCCTGGTCAACATGGTGAAACCCTGTCTCTACTAAAAATACAAAAAATTAGCCAGACATGGTGGCACGTGCCTTTAATCCCAGCTACTCGGGAGGCTGAGGCAGGAGAATTGCTTGAACCCAGGAGGTGGAGGTCGCAGTGAGCCGACATCTCGCCACTGAACTCCAGCCTGGGCGACAGATTGAGACTCTGTCTCAAAAAATAAAAAAAAAAAAAAAAGAGAAAGAAAAAAAAGGTAGTTGGATCCTTTTTCATTTCTCTTTCTTTCTTTTTGGACCACCTGGGTTTAAAAAAAAAAAACAAACATTTCTTCCTTCTTAGGGGAGGAGTAGAAACAGAAGCAGAGACAGAAAAGAAGTTAGAAAGAATGCAAAAATACAGAGCTTCAGAGAGGCGAAGATGCAAAACACAAGGGAGCCAGAGAGTGGATATGCAGACAGAAACAGCACCAGCCATGAGCGGGGGCGAGGGTGGTCACCGGCAAGGGGAGATGTGAATGCTGAGTTCTCTTTCTGGGTGATAAACTTTGTGATTCACAGTCATGCCACTCTGTCCCTTCTAAGCCTCTCAGCCATCCCTTCCCTTGTGACCTTGGCCAGGACTGCAGACCTCAATTATGGGTCCAGCCAAGTGTGTGGCTGCCTGCCTGGGCCATCCACCTCCTTTCCTGTGACTGACCTTGGAGCCCCCCGGCTCCTTCCGCACCTTCCTTACAGCCATTCTCACCCTCTTGGGGGTGGGAAGAGGGAAGCCCAGGGTCAGTGCCCACCCCATCCCTGAACCCCTGCTGCTTCTTCCAATGGGGACAGGGGAGACAGAGCCTCTGTCTCTTCCTGTTGGGCCAAGGATGGATGATCCAGAGGTGGAAGGCATGGGAGAACAAGATTTTTTGGTGGACATCTTCAGGCATGGGCCAGCAGGACCAGAGGCCTGGTCAGGGTCCCACTGCTCAGAGGACACAAGGCTGTTGGCCGGTGGGGTGGGGTGAGGTGGGGCACGCAGGGATCGGTGGCGCTCTGGCTACCAACCTATGCCCTACCGGCACACAGTGAGTGGTTGTCAAGTAGCTAAAAGTTCGCCTTTCCAGAAACTCTGCCTGAGGACTGGCGTTCTGAGCCTTTATTTCTTAGTGCCCAGGCCAGACACCACTGGGATCTCAGAACCAGAGAATAGCCTAGAAACTACTTTCCCAAACAGACCCCTAACCCCTTCCTGGGGCATCTGTTTACCGCAGATGGTCCACAACAAGTGCCCTTTCAGAGGAGGGCAGTAAATTTTCTCCTGGATGATGGTGAAATGAAGCCAGCGCTCGCAGATGGGCGCTCCAGGCTCTTCATCATGTGGCCTCAGACCCTTTTCAGTATCTCTCCTAGATCAAGCTTGTCCAGCCCGCGGCCCATGGGTGGCATGGAGCCTAGAACGGCTTTAAATGTGACCCAACGCAAATTCGTAAACTTTCTTAAAACATTATGAGATTTTTTCTTTTGCGTTTTTGTTGTTGTTTTGTTGTTTTGTTTGTTTGTTTTTGCTCATCAGCTATTGTTAGTATTAGTGTATTTTATGTGTGGCTCAAGCCAATTCTTCTTCCAATGTGGCTCAAGGAAGCCAAAAGATTGGACAACCCTGTAAAAGGACTCAGCAGAGAAAGGTGGTGGCTGGAAGGAGAGGGCAGGCGGACCCTGGTCCCTGGAATGGTCACTACTGTCCTTCAGCAGCCCGTGGAAAGCAAACTTCTGTGCCTTCCTGTGCCCATCTTTGCCCTTTGCTCTCGTGTGCCCATGACTTTCTTCCTGCTGCTCCTTCCACCTGAATTCCCTGCTCCTGTGTCTCTTCATGTCCCCTCCAACGACCTCAGCATCCAGGCCAACATGCCTTCTGTGCAGGCTCCCCTCATGGGTCTCTCCAGCAAGAGAAACCATCGCCTCCTCCGAGCCCTCACAGCAAATGCTAGGGGTTTCTTCCTTGACCTCACTCACAATTTAGGGTGGGAAGCTGGGTGGTCTGAAATAAGCTACACTTTGGGTAAGTTACTGAATTTTTGGAGCCTCAGTGTCCTCTTTCATTAAGGACAACACCTCCCATGCAGGTTCCTGTAAGAATTAAATGAAGAAACATGGAGAGTGTCTGGCACTTAGTAAACTATCAATTAATGCCTGCTCCATTTCCCTGGAACGGTGCGTGGGCACTTTTTAAATTCAGGGCAACACTGACACCATCTACTCCAATAAATTTATATTCCCATCTCCACTGACTCATTTGGCTGGGAAAACAAACCCACATGCCAATTCAAATAGAGGCCCAGAAAGAGGAGGGAGAGGCATCTTACAATTTATCAGAACTTCGAACCTCGTTTTCTTTTAACCGAAAAAGGACTGCCAATAGAAATTTATTTTTATTTATTTTATGACACTTCTTAAACTCTACTAAGCACAGTCGTTTGTGCACAGGACTGTCTTCCTCATGGCATGGTGGGCTCCTCCAGTCGGTGACCACATTTTCTCTCTCTCTGAACTCCCAAGGGTTAGGCACAGTATATGGCACACAGCAGAGGATCAATACATTTTTGACGAATCAGTGAATGGGAATCAGTGAATGAATGAGTGGAGTAAGCAATGACTATTGGAATGAAGGTTTTGAGACACAATCCTCAAGTTCTTTCAGGCTCAGAATCCATCCATACTAGGGGGACTTGGAACAGATTTTGCCATCTGGCAGCTTCTAGTCACAGTTGCTACGAAAGGACCTGCCTTCTTTGGGGCTCTGCTGGGGGCTGCCTGCAGAGAGGGTGGTGAGGTCTTAGAGGGAGGGGAGGGAGTAGGGAGGAAGGTGCTTGTCCAGCCCTCTGCTTCTCCTCCCCTTGAAAGCACCAGATGGAGAGAACAGAGGGGGGTGGGAGCGAGCCAGCGGCCCCTGGTTGGATGTATTTTTACTTCAGGTGTGACGTTGAAACCATGCGGGTGTATTTTTAGTCCTGCCCAGTGGGCGGTGTGTTCGCCTGGGTTGCCTTGGAGAGGACTTCTTCGAGTTGCTAAATTGGAGCTGCATCTGTCAGAGCTCCTGGGCTCCAGCCCAGCTCTCCTCCCCCAGGTGGGTGGACAGGTCCATTCCCGGCAAGTGTGGGGCCCAGGGCAGGTCGCAGTCTACTCAGCCCTCCTCCCTTCAGACACATGCACGCACACACTCCTCCCGGCACATTAAACGCATCTATGTGAAATCTCAACACAGTGAAAGTTAAAACTGCTCTGCGAGGGCAAAAATACAAAGAGCCTGATACATGAGACCTGGTGGGGATGTCGCGTCCAGCCCCTTCAGAACAAGGCGAGGTGACTCTGGCAGTGAAAAGAGAAGTGCGACAGACCCCATGACACGAGTTTACCTATATAACAAACCTGCTCCTGCACCCCGAACTGAAAATAAAAGTTATAAACAAAAGAGAAAAGACAAGTGTCCTTCCTGAAATTAGGCAGCTAGTGAAAGGCGATCAGTGATTCCAGCCAAGTCACCAGAAATTCAGCCAGTCCCCCTAGAGAAAGAACTTCAAGGGGAAGAGATGCTGTGAGGAGGTGAGCCCTAACCACGTTGTCTTGGTCACAGTCAAGGACTAAACACACACCCACACACACTCAGTGGCACTTTGTAAAGTGCTCTTATATGTGCTTATTGCATTTTGATACCCCAACGGGCTTCTCATTCTCATTTCACTCATTAGCAAACAGATGTGCTGTGTGGTTAAATGACCGCATCAGGCTATGCAGTAACTGAGTTGAGATTTAAAATCCAGGTATTCAAACTCCAAATCGTGTGCTCTCCCCTCTCTCCCATGTACTACTTGTGAGCAGTTACTGAACTCACTTCATCTGCCTTCCCCCTTTTCTCTACTGTTCTTGAGTCATACACATCCTGGGGTCCAAGCACTGAGCTGCCAGGATTACCCTGGGAGCCACGAGACTGTTGCTGTATGAGAGAATCTCTGCTTTATCCGGTGAGTTTCCAAAAGAACCTCCTCTTGTAATAATACTTGTGTGTGTTTGGAGAGGCCTTAACATTTTTACAGATCTCTCCTCTCCTCGTTTGATGCCTACCCTGTGGGGTAGGAAAGCTTATCTAAAGAAGTTAAAGATTTGCCCGATGATAGAGTCAGAATGCAGACTAAATTTTCAGTTCAGGTTCTTCCCACTCAACCATGAAATGGATCAGTGCCTGGGAAAAGCAGAAAGTGGCACTATGGTTAAAAGACAGGGAAGCTGGCTTAGCTCAGGCCCGGTGAGAAGCCACTGGCCATATGAACCTTCATGGCCCCAGCTTTCTGTTCTCCTCCCACCCCACCCCACCCCACCCCATGTCATTTGCACTAGCAGGAGGCCCAATTGCTGGTTGTCTTCCTTCTTGTAAGGGGGACAGACCCGGTGCAGTCCTTCTTCATGAATGTAGATACCATTCACCAAGAGCCTTCTGTGTGCCAAGCACTGCCAGCTGTTAGCATTGGTTATCTCATTGAATCCTAACATAACCTTGTGAGGATAAAAGTCATCAGATTTCAGGACTCCTGGATCTTTGGTCTTGGCGGGGACCCTGGATGATGGAGCTCTACCTAGGTCAGGGAGGTGAGCCGTGGAAGCAGCACGACCAACCACTCCTGAGCACACCTGCTCCCTGAGCAAGACAGCTGCAGCCTCTGGGCCTGTCAGCATCAGTTGCAAGGCTGGGCTTGGTGCGGGAGGCCTTATGATGCCATAGAAAGGGCAGGGAATAGGCTTTGCCTGGTACAGAGGAAATCTGAGCATGGTTTCACTTTTCAGATTATAGCTCCAGCAGGATCACCCCCCTGACTATAGTCAGCAGCTGAGATGTTACCTCAGGTGCCAGTGAACCCAGCTGCTTCAAAAAGCAGGGACTATCCACCAGAAGAACCCCCATCCCACAAAGCCCAGCCAAGGACACAGCCTGGAACATCTGCCCACAGCACCTAGTAGTCCAGAGGCCCTGGCACGAAGCATCCGGTCCTAACTTCTCTGCTTGGAATGGCTGCATGTCTCCCACACCATTCTCAGGCCACCTCACCCAGCACATTCCAGGAATGACCAAGCCTAATGCCAGGGAAGGCAGAGGGTTAAGCCCCAGGGTCAACTTCACTGGAGCCAGAACACTCTTTGGTCACAGGGTGGAAGAGTTCTCTCAAAGACACTTCATTAGGAAGTTCCAGTTCCCAGGGTCCTGACCAGGCGGCTGCTACAGAGGACAGTCACACAGGACCCAGCCTATCTGTCTAGCCTCAAACCTGGAGAGATTCCTCCCACCCCATCCACCAGCCCAGCCCCAGGATTGGTAGCGTGGCTGTCATTCTCTCGGGGCTCACCTCCCTTGGGAAAAGCAGTGCAACTCTCCCACGCTACACTGCAGGCCTGAAGCTCTGCGGTCAAATCCACAAACACTTTTTTGAGCCCATGCTGTGTGCCAAGTTTATGTCACAGCTACTTTCTACGCCTATCTTTCCCTCTGTCCCTGCACAGGACCCCTTTCCGAATTTACCACAATGCCTTACGCATGCTGGAGCTCAGTTCATAATTAATTGAATTGTAGAGTGAAGACCACTTGACTGGAAACCTTTGGCAGCCCTGCCTCTTGCTGCGCCGCCTCTCAGCATTTACCTCCTGGCTCACAAGCTCCTGCCTGACACCAATACATCCAACAGCGGCTGACACCCACAGAATGTGGACCACCTGCCAGGTTCTTTACCAAGCACATTACCTGTGTTATCTCACTTAAACCTCATGACAATCTAGATGAGGAGATGGTACTATTTTTAGCCCCATTTTACAGATGAGGAAACTGAGTCACAGAAAGTTTTAGTGTCCAGTGATGGAGCTAGAGTGTGAACCAGGCTGTGCTCGTGACCCCGATCCTGTCCCCCCGAATGTACCAGACTTCACATCCTGAATGGGCCAAAGCAGCATATGCTGGCTCCTCTGTTTAAAATACCCCAGTCTACTGAACACTGATCTGTATGCCATTTATTATCTTATTGTATTCTAGCTATTATCATTTTTCTTTTTGATAGTTGAGAAAACAGAGTCCCAGAGAGATGAGCTAGCCGATGGTGACAAAGCCAGTTCTCACCAAGTCTATTTCTAGAGCATGATTCTATTTCCCACTGCCCAACACAGGGCCATGGCTGCATTTGCACCTCTGGCTATAGGGCTGTCAGGATCATGCCGGGAACTTCCGTGACCTTTAGGATAGTCTCAAGGGAGTGATCTGAACACTGCCTACTGTCCTGCTCTGTTCCTCCCCACACAACTGTGGATTCTGCCATCCAGTCTGCATGAGACAGAAACAAGTGCATTATAAACAGGGCTCACATTGCTTTTATTGAACTAGAGCTGGACTTGAGCATGAGCTCTCTGGTGGTCCCATGTGGGTAGAAGTTCTGAGCTTGTGATGTGTGGGAGATGAGACTGACAGAATGAACTAGACACATGGTGTGGAAAGTGCAAGATTCTCAGAGCTAAGAAACTAAAGAGGAGGCAGAAGAATGGTTTGAAGCAGGGTTTCTGGAGCTGCGAGGAAGGAGATCATTCGCTGATAGACCAGGAAAGGCTTGAAAGCCACTTGGAAAAGATGGAGAAGTTTGGAGTGAAGATGGGGCTCTGCTGAAGCAGATGGAAAGAGACAGACTGCCTTGGCATTTAGGTGGAAAATCATCACTGAAGACACTTATAAAACACCTATCCACACCAGGTGCTGTTCCAAGAGTTCATTGATTAAGAGAGAACATTTCAAATTTAGAACCCAGGAGTGGACCAGATAGGACAGTGAGGACCAAGAATGTAGGATTGCAGCTAAAAGTATCAGTAACACCATTCTAAAGAACTGGCCTGTAAGATGGGCTTACGCATGTAAATCTAGAGACTGTGCGCCTGGAACCTGGCTCCCTAGGTGGGGTTTGGGCTTTGAGGCAGCGAGAGCCTCACGTCTTCCCTACTGCTCGGTGCCCTCAGGTGGGCGGTTTGGGATGGGCCATGGTATGAGTATTTACATCACGGGGATCAGCAAATGCTACGAATCGGAGCTGCTCCCCTTCCCCGCCTCGAGAGACGTTTGCCGGCACATCAACCTAGAACTATGGTATATTTATGGGGTGCTCCCTAACCATTTAATGAAGCCGTCCAACAAGCTTTGATGCAGTAGCTACTTCGTCTAAGCTGCTGACTCTAAGGTATCATGTAAGGTGCTGGGGATAAAGCAATGAGCAAGACAGACGCAGACCCTGTCCTCTGGAGTTAACAGTATAGCAGGGGAAACAGAAATAAGGTTGACACAAATGCTAACACAGTTAATTCAATTGTGAGTAATGCCACAAAGGAGACAGGCAGAGTCCGGAAGCCACCTCACCCTCTATCCCTGACCTGCAGCTCCACTCTCTGGGTTCTTAATGGAAAGGCAAAGCACCACTGCCCTCACTGTCTTCTCACTGCTCATGCCTCCAGCCCAGCTTTTCCTTATCAGTAATGGGCAACAACTTTAGCACCTCCGCGTCCCTGGTTCTCGGAGAGAATCTTTCAGCCTTAGGGAAGTGAGCCAACACCTTAGCAGAGCAGTCTTCGCAAAGCCAACCTCCTCCCCCACCCGCACCTGGCCAGGCCTAGCTCCTGCCCCTCTTCCGCTCCTCAGGACACCATGGTTTCCATGGGAACCCACTCACTTCAAAGGGGAACGAAGGAGACTGGAGGGGAGGAGGGGGAGGGAAAGCTGGATTAACCTCACCCTCTTGGCCCTGCCTCTGCGCCGCTGGCAACCTAATCCCCTGATTTAGGCAGCCCCTAACATCGGACTCCTCACCAGCATGGGCGGGTGGGGCTTGTGGTTCAAGCTAAGCTTGAACTTCTTTGGGAGAAAACCCCAGGGTTGAGGTGGGGGCTGGGGGAGGAGAGAACTGAGCTGGGTCCAAACCTGTGGTCCCTCACTCCACCGGCCTCCCCTCTTTGGACCCCCTCTCAGTGCTGCTCCTGGGCCACAAACACAATTACCCGCGATGTGCATCCAATCATGGGATCTGCTCGGATTAGACTGCAATCATTAATCTGAGCCGGAGCCCCTGGTTGCTTTGCTGATTAGTCCAGATGACGCTCTGGTATGATCCAATTAAAGACAGACGCTGCCCTCCGTCCCCCACCCCACAGTTTCCACATCAGAAGGGAACCAGTACATTTCATTAACACATCCTCATACACAAATAAAACCTCCCGGGCACTGGCAGGCTCCCTCCCCTTTGTCACACTGCCCCTCTGCCACCGAGCAGTGTCCTAGGCAGGGAGGGGCCACACCCACCCTTCCTTCATCTGTGGTTCTAGCAGGGGCCATGATGGGGGCTCCCAAAAGCCAGTGTGGGGCACTCATCTGAATGGAAAGGGTCTGGTTACACTTATTGACATAAAATGCCGACTCCCTGATGTGCTTTGGAGCAGCCAGGCTGCCCCAGGCAGGCAAATCTAATTAAAATTACCCGACCCTACAGGAGGCTGAGCTCCCTCCCTGGTCATCCCGGGGCAATGGCTGCAGAGAGGGCGGCTGGTACTAATGGGTGAGATGTGGTTGTAGGAGACAACCCTGGGGCTGCCGGGCCAGGAGGCAGCAGCAGGACTAGAGAGATGGGAAGCCAGCATGGTGCTGCTGTCAGCTCGGTGTCCTGAGGTGCTGGGGCAGCCGCGTTTGCCTGGGATTCCCTCTTCCAGGTCAGACAGCTGCAGACATACTTTGGGCAAACACCAAGGGTTGCGGGTGGTTAGCCCGGTGGGAGAAGATAAAGCCCAGGAGGGAAGGGGAGTAGGAAGAAGTGTTAATTGCAGAAAGGTCTAGGCCATTCTTCAAGTGACATCCATGTGGTGGCTCCCATGGGGGCAGTGACCCACCTCTCCTGCAGGTTGGCCTGGGTAGGGTACGAGCCTGGGATTGTGAGAAGGGCTTTGGAACCCATGGTTCCCATTGGTGGGACAGAGTAAACCCTCTGTTTGGTGCTGGACGCAGGGCCAGGTGCCTCCACGGGCCGTCTCATTGATTCTTATCAAGTCTGCTGCTTAGGTTCCATCGGGACATGAAAGCTCAGAGAGGCTAGGACACAGTGGAGGTGGGACTCAAACCTAGGTTTCCAAAAACTATTCGTTACACCACTCATCTGGAGGGCTTTCTAGACCATGATCTATGCTCACTACAGGCCCCTGACCCAGGGGTCTGAGCAGCTGCGAGGTGAGTCTTCAGTATGCATAGGAATCCCCTGGGATCTTGTGAAAATGCAGATTGAGTCCTTAGGCCTGAGTGAGCCTTAAGAGCCTGCATTTCTAATCTGCTCCCAGGTGATACGATGCTGCCAGTCCACAGGCCATACTTTGAGTAGCAATGCTCCAAATAGAGTATGACAAGCATATGTCATCAGGCTGTCGGGCAGTTTTCAGAGGCCACGCTACTCCCTTCCCTCCTTATGCTCCCCACAAAAGCACAAGCCCACTGCACCTTGCCCAGGTTAATTACAGGTGTCTGTGCAGTCTCATCTCCCCATTCCCAGCTTCTCTGGCCACTGGCTGGTCCTGGAAGGTCCTCTCCTACCCCATTTCTCCACCTAGTGGGGTCTGTTACTCAACCTTTAGGACCAAACTCAAATATTGCCTCCTCTGTGAAGCCTTCCCTGTTGCTCTGACCACGTAGCTCTGGTTTCTTGTTTGTACGTCTATCGGTGCCTGGAGAGATGGAGGGAAGAGACTACACATTGACCCTCCTTCTGCTGGAGTCTAGCACAGCCCCCCACATAGGAATAGTAAGGATTCAATAAGAGACTGTAAAGAGGGAAGGGCAGAGGGAAGGAGGTCCATCCCACACTGGGGTGGCTAGCTTGACCTTTCTTAGAGTCTCCCTGAGAGGCACTGTGACCAGGTCCTGGAGTTCTTTGGGGCCCAAGCCAGAGCTCTCCACCAGCAGGCAGCTGGGCCTAGCCTGTGTGTTTCACAGGGCAGGGCACAGGTGCTGTGTTTTGTCCCTCTCCTGGGCCTGGGAGGCCCCTGGTGCCAGGATCCGTGATCAGAGGCCACTGCTCTGGACCCTCAACTGTTGGTATTAGAGGCATTCGGCTTATCTGAGGAACTAAAAATAATGCCGATGAGAATGAGAATAACAGCCCTAATTACCACCATTACCATAAAGGCACCGTCATTGGGGTGGTGGGGAAGGATTCAGAAAGAAATCAATCTTCCTATTCATTAGTCTTGGGTGAATCATTCCACATGTTACTGGCATTCGCACCTGCTGCAGTGTGTGCCCAGCCAGAGGCGAGCCACACTTGCTGATGCATGTGAACATATAAGCTCCCACAAGGGAATATGAGCAAGGGTCAAGCCTCAATACTGAGTGCAGACTTGGGCACCTCTTCTTAGTGGTTAATGATAACTAAAGTCCCTGTAGGAGCCTCATTCAGGCCTGTTCTCAGGTGACAGCATCTTCCTCCCCAACTATGTACAAGAATGGGAGTTCATCAAGGAGACAGGCATTTCCCTGAGCCCCATCCCACCCTCTGCAACATTCAAGACTCAGCCCTGGATGCGTGGGGCAGATGCAGAACAAGAAGAAACAAGCTGCCTGCCCTCAGCAAACTCCCCTTCTTGGGGAAAAGTGCCAGAACCTACAGTCACACACAATACCTATTGTTTAAAAACAGAGACTACCATGAATCCAAGTGTGGTCCAATAACCAGCTGCATCAGATTCACCTGGAATGCTTTAAAAAATGCCTATCCCTCTTCCTATAGCTTGATCTACTGATTTGTCCTCTTTGAGGATGAAGCCCAAAACCATGTGTTTTAACAAGCTCTCCCTGTGACTTTCATGCCTCCTGAAGTTTGTGGACTGCCAAGTTCTAGAGGGTGCGGTCAGAGGTCCAGTGCTCTGGTGGGCTTGATGGAGGGAAAGCAACAACAGGACACAGGGCGAGGAAAGGGTCCTGAGGCAGCTGCCTGTTTGGCTGAGCGGAGGGTTTCTGATACCCATTAGGGGTCATCTCCCTGGTTGAGATAGGAAGTGCTGTCTAGGCCTCCATATCCTTCCCTAGACATTTCCAGAAAGCTAGAGTCACTGTGGACAGCTGAGGGGTTTCTGGATTGAGTAGAGAGGGAAGGAGGCCAAGGGAGAATAGCTATTGGCCGTCATCTCTGCCGAGCCCACCCTTTGGCCTGCATTCTCATCCCTCACAGCTGAGCTGGGCCTGAAGCTGGTTGAGGGCTGTAGACACAGCTGAAGTGTCTCCTACCTGTATACAGCTCGCTTGTCAGCCTCCAGCTGGGCCTGGGGGTCGATGGGGGCACTGGGCACAGGTGTGCTGGCAGCAGCTGAGGGGGCAGAGATGTGGACAGCCTGGGCCTTGGAGGGTGGCTGGGCGGTTGCCGTCATCTGCAGAGAGAAGAAAGGGGAGGTGGTGGGTTAGCATGGCCAGGGTGCTGGTCTCCAGGCTGTAGTGTGAGGTCCGCCTTGGCCTGTGCTGTGCCCGGAGGAGAGCAAGAGGCCAAGAGAACTGTGAGCACACAATGAGCATCCATTCGTACGTGTGCTACAGTGGGAAGAAAAGCAGGCTTTCTTCAAATGAGCATGTTCTAGAAAACAATTTCAGGCCATCCAAAACCAGGAGATGCCCAGCACACTCTGAAAAGAGATGACTCTTAGTGCAAATATGGTAACCCTTGCCCAGAAGTAGAAAAAAACAATAGGATGAATCCTTTAAATTGTGCTTATGAGTCGTTTGGCCCATCATAGCGTTGATTTGATGACTTTGAAAAGCAGGAAAACAGGAGCTGAATCAGCTGTCGTTTGGACACAGGTTTATTTATTCCCTTTAATGGAAGCCACAGGCTATGGTCCCAGTGGTTTTGAAGGATGACTGAATGGCTCTCCAAATTTGGTTTACCTGGCCACTTCAAGATAAGCAGGCTTTAGTGGGCAATGAACAGATTCTTGTTCTTGGCCATAACAAATATTTAGGGCAGGGGATTTCATAATCTGTGACACGTTTTTGAAGGTGTCCCGAGGCCGACAATTTTGTACCAACCAGAGCAACTCCTTTTAATATTATCTATTAGATTTTCTATCTAAGGTTTTGTTTAAAGAAATGGTTCAATGGTTTACATTTTTTTTAAACCATCACTATGGAGTTTCATGCTTTTTTATTTCCTTCAGTCAAAGAAATCTCTAAAAGTGTGAATGATGATAAGCCTCAACTGTTCTCTTACATCACCCTGTCCATAGCACGATGGTAGCTCTCCCCACATGTGGTGTTGGGCTTCATGTACTTATCTGTCTTCTCCTCTGAGGCCTTGGTCACTCCTTCATCACCAGCTTCCAACTAGCACATACTTAGTAAAAAGGTTTGATGCTTAATAAAAATACTTGCGGAGAAAATGAGTGAGTGAATAAATGAATTAATATGCCTTGAAAGAATCAGATATTTTATAGTTGCAAAGTTCATCATATGAATCTAGGTCCCTGCTTTCTGGAAGAAAAAGTGTTATATGTCTGTGAATACAAGCATTGCTGGTACATATATCCCCAAGACATTTGCATGTCTTCATTTAGATCTTCTCTTCATTTAGATCTCCGCTCAGATGCTACCTCTTTGGAGTACCATACAGCCCCTCTGCCTTTTGCTTTATTTTTCTTCATAGCCCTTACCATGATCATATTCTATATTTATGTGCTTATTGATTTTCTCTTCACTCCCAGCTAAAACGTAAGCTCATGGAGTGATTGTAACAGTTGTATTCCTAGGGCCCAGAATAGCCTGGCACTAGTAGGTGTTCAATAAATATTTGTTGAATCAATGAATAGATGAATGATGGGTGGTGAATGAGGTTGAGACTATAAAAGAAATGTACCTGCTTTCCTAGATTGTATCGTTTATTAGGCAGAAATACCCTTGCCACTGTTGGCTGATCTGGGGGAGCCTTTCCAATCTCAGTGGGTAAGAGGCTAGACATAGCATCATGGTGCCTGGAAGCCAGAAGACAATTGCTTGAGTCCTACTGTTTTCCCCTATTAGCCTTTGACCTTGGGCAAATTCTTTAACTTTCCTAAGCTCCTATTTTCTCATCAGTAAGCAAATTGGTGACCTTTTGGAATACATGAGTATTAAGGAGGTGCTGTAAGAAAGAAAGTAGAAGCAAATGCTGTTCCAATTTTCAAAATAGACAAATAAACTGAATTCTGAAAAAAACTAAAACCCAGTAATCTTCACACTTATCTGGGCCAGATTCATTCCTTCATTCACTAATGCAACTGATTATTTCTTCAGATACTTCTTGAGTCCCTGCCATGTACCAGGCACCGTGCTGGGCACTGGGGTCACAAAGATGAGAGATTGCTATCAGAAAGCTCAGTTCGTGGATCTGACATGACCATTAAGCTTGCAGATCAGGAAAACATGGTGTAAGTGACCTCAGCAAGGTATTTTCCATGAGAGCCTGGCAGAAAATGTGGAGAGATGCAGCCTGGTGGACAATTGCATGGATTAGAAAACTACACCCAAGGGATGACAATTAAAGGATAAATGTCAGTTTGGGGCAGGTTTCCAAAAGAGTGTCTCATGCTTCCTCCTTATCCTCTTATTCAGCACTTTAATCAGTGATTTAGAGAACGTCTAAAAAAATGCTCAACAAATTTATGAATGCCGTGAAACAGGGATCCAAAAGATCTTTACAGATTTTGGCAAGGGGCTAAATCTGATAAGATTATTCCTCATCTAATAAGTTAAAATTTAACACTTCTAACATTTGGGCCAAGAAAAATCAATATTGAAGTGCAGGGAAGGAGAGACATGGCTTAGTAGCCGTGTTTTAGTTGACAGCTGGCTCAATATATCAAAAGTGTCTGTCAAAAAAAAAAATCCAACCTAAACTAATGCTAGCTGAGGATGCATTAACAGAGGCATTGCTCACAGCATGCAGAAACTTCTGGTCTTGCACCACTCTGATTAAACAAATACATGAAAGTACATTCAAAGCAGGGTCGGCCAGGATGGTAAAGGGGTTCGGTACTTCATTGTATGAGGAATATTTGAAGGAACGTGGGATATATAGGCAAGATTTGGGGGGTGGGTGAGAAGGGGAAACATGAGAGTACCCTTTGAATATCTGAAGGAGGAGATTTGATTATATCAGTTCTGTATGACTCGAAGGGCCAAACTACAAGCAATGCATTTGATCTATAACAAGGAGACAACCTAAATAATACCTTTCCAATACCCCAACTCTTTAAGGCTGGAATGGGCTGCCTCCCTTTCCAGGTGAATTTCCTGCCATTGCAGACGCCAAGCAGAGTCGGACTGACCAGCTGGGCCACCGTGGAGAAGATGGGAGCTTCAGCTGGGTGGCTGGATTACATGATATCTGAAGCCCCTCCAACTCTGACAGGCTCAGACACCATGAGGGTGTTTTAATAATCACCACCCACCACACAGCGCTGGTGTGAGGCTCGAATTTGACGATGTGTAGTATGTAAAAGTGCTTTGGAAACTCTAGAGCGCTTCACAGATGGAGGAGAGGTTGTTATTATTAAACACGAGATTTCCGGAATGTACTTCTGCCATAAAGCAAGGCATAGCTACATCTGCACAGCTCGTCTGAGGGTGACATATAGGGGGAGCAGTGTGCTCTGCTCTGCCCACTAGGAGTGAGTTTCCTCGTGTCCTTGAAGGAATCCACAAGCGGCTTCTGTTAGCTGAGCTCTTGGGATGAAGAGGGATGAAGGAGGATGAAGTCCCCCTCCTAGGCAGGACTTTGGGGAAAGGTGTGGGGGGAAGGCCCTGGAGGGAAGCTCAGAATAAAATGTAAATCAAAAATGGTCACTTGCCAGTGTTCCAAGAGGCCCCAGCTGAGAGGCTGTGACTGGCAGAAGTATGTAAAGAAGACAGCAGAGCTGGTCTGAGGAGGACGATGACTCAAATTTATATAGCTCATGGGGGCCAAGTCAGCAAACTCTGCATTTCCTGCAGGTTTGACGAATGAGTGTTTATCCCCAAATAGGTTTCTTTTTCTAGCCAGAGACATCCACTTCCCAGGAACTGGAGCTCAAAAGGAGAGGACCTGCAGCTGTCCACAGGGCTTGGGGGCCAGGAGGATGGGGATAGCTTGAAGTAAGTTTTTTTGGGGGAAGTTACTGGGCAGCACAGCCTAAAGAGTAGGCTCAGGTGTGGACCAGGGGCAGGGCGTGGCTATTAAGCAGTGGGCTGAAACTGCCTTGTTCTGGCCTGTGAAAGCCAATTGTTAAATGTTCAGAAATTTTGCAAATTGGCTGACATCACATTGAGAGCTTGAAATTGGCCATGGTGGGAGCATTTACACCATGGAAATTGGCAAATGCTGCAAATCAGGGCTTGCCCCTGCCCTCCCCACCCCCACTCCCAGAGAGCAAGTTGTTAAATATTTACTAGCACACCTCTAATTTCAGTTTTTCCCCAAGTAGCTTTCTTCCATTCTTTTTGGTCTGGCATGGGAAGAAACTCATCTTACCCACTCCAAGAGGCCACTTGGTGCATTCACAGCTGGTCTCAGAACTGGCCACTCCAGATTTGGAGCTTTTCCCCAAGGAGCCCTCAGAGCACTCTGGAGACCCTGCCTTGGCAGCCCGCTAGGGACAGGGACAGGTAGGCCATTAGGGTAGGCATGGAGGACTGTCCCTTTTCAACCAGGGGAAGCTAAGGCACAGAGGAGAGGCAAGGTTGAATGATGTCCTCAGAACTGCCTGGGAGATCAGAAAAGCCTCAGAGAATGGAAAGAGCAGAGGATCCGGCCCTGGGTTTGATGCTCCTCTGCCAATTATTAGCTACGTGTTTTGGGACAAGTTTCCTGATCTCTTTGGATTCCTAATCTGTAAAATGCAGGAGATAATACTCAATCTGCAGGTTGTGCAGATTAATCAAGAGAACCAGACAATGGCTACTGATGGGGCAGGAGGCAGCATTCCCTGGGGAGGCCCCTATGAGATGTGACATTGTGCCAGCACCTGCACCCGTGCTAATAAAATATTTCTGGGGTGGGTGAGTGGCTCACGCCTGTAATCCCAGTGCTTTGAGAGGCTGAAGCGGGTTCTGCGCTTCCCATGTCCTCTCTTGGCCTAGGGTTCTTTCTTGGGGCAAAGACCCTGGGGCCATCACCTCCATGCACGTCCCTCTCGTAGATGCTATAGCCACTGGACTTCTGTCTGCCATCTAGCCAGAACCAGTTCTGCCTTAAGCTCGCAGCTAAGGAAACCCTGCCCAGATTCTTGGTTTGAAGGTTCCTTCTTTTCCCATTCTAAAAAGGAGTGGGAAGAGTCAGGGCTTGTCAGATGTATATGCAGGTGTGTAAAATCTGGGTGGGGCTGAGAGATCCAGCCACGCTGGCAGTCTGGCCTTCTACTCATGAAAATGAGTAGGAGATGCTCCCTGGTGTGTTTTAAGGGGTGCTGGGAAGCATGTAACTTGCCCTCACTGATACCCAAAGCCCCCACAGATGCTTCTTTTCTGTTAAGCACCATCTTTTTCCAATTGTAGGGGAAGAGTGACATGTTTTGTTCTAATAAGCTAATAAAATATTTCTGGGCTGGGTGCAGTGGCTCATGCCGGTAATCTCAGTGCTCTGGGAGGCTGAAGTGGGAGGATTGCTTGAAGCCAGGAGTTCAAGACCAGCCTGGACAACAAAACAAGAACCCATCTCTGCAAAAAGTAAAATAAATTGGCTGGATGCGGTGGTGCCTGTAGTCTCAGCTACTCGAGAGGCTGAGGCAGGAGGATTGCTTGAGTCCAGAAAGTCGAGGCTGCTGTGAACTATGGTCGTACCACTGTGCTCCAGCCTGGGAGATAGAGCAAGACCCTGTCTCTAAAAAACAAAAAAAGAAAAAGAAAAAAACCATGTGGGCCTTCATGTTTCACAATAATCCTGTGCAGTAGGTTATCATCATCTCCATTTCACAGATGAGAAAACAGAAGCCCACAGAGGGCCTTCTGACTAATCGCACTATGTGAATTGGAGCATTTAATTACTTTTCTTTGAAGAGGAGAATGGGAAGATTTTCCCCTCTCTGTGAAAAAAGAGGCAGGAGGTGTAGGGGGGCTCCAATTAGAATGAAACTTCACCCCCCTCTGCATGTGTTCTAAGTCTCCATCTAGTCCACCCCGTCCTCACTGCTGGTCCCAGTTTGTCCCTCTCCCTCAACAAACCTCTCCCCTACGAGTTCAAATCATTCTCCCAACAATGATCGTGCCAGAAACAGTTCTCCCATGTGGAACCCATGTGGGAAGGCACAGCTGGTTTATTAATCGAAGGTGGCTCACTGCTGGGTCAAATTCCCTCCCAGGCTATGAGGAGCCTGGAGGCCGAGAGCCCACAGGAAACCTGCCTGCAGGGGCTTCAAGCCTTCTGGAGCCCGGAGGCCCAAGTTGCATTCAGCTGCTGCCTCCTGCCAACTTCCCTTCAGACTTCCTCCCTTGCTCATGGGAGGTGGGAGCAGATGGTTTAGAAGTGGGGCTGATACCAAGGTCTTTCCAGCACCCATAAAAGATGGGGTGGGATAGCATTAGGAGATATACGTAATGTAAATGATGAGTTAATGGGTGCAGCACACCAACATGGCACATGTATACATATGTAACAAACCTGCACATTGTGCACATGTACCCTAGAACTTAAAGTATAATAAGATAAATAAATAAAGTCAAAAAAATAAATAAAAAAAAGAAGATGGTTGGCATTGGGGAGAGCAGAAGCGTGGGTTTCAGATAGAACTAGTTTTGAATCCCACTCTTACCACTTACAGCCTTAAAGATGGAACTTTACCTTCTGGGGTTTCAGGTTTCTCATCTGAAAAATAGGCGAGGTGCTTCCTACCTCCCACCGCCATGATGGGGATGTCTGTCTCCTCCAGTGGATGGTGGCAGAGCATCCAGAACCAGGCCAGGCTCCTCTGCCCCAGGCCTGCGTGGCCCTCAGCATGCTGCTGTGACCTGTCTGCTCACTCGCCTCCCTCCTCACTAGACTGTAGGATCCTTGAGGGCAGGACCAGGGCTTTTCTGTTTACTGTCGTAGCCTCAGTGTCTGGTAGAGAGAGTATCTGAACTATCTGTTGAATCAGGAATGACTGGTATGGAGTGGGCAGGTCTGATTGAATGCTACCATTTTAGCTGCAGATTTACCTCCTTGACCCTGAATCCTCAGGTCACAAAAGAGAAGTCTACAGTTCCTGACCACATAACTGACTGGGGGGATTTGGGTGTCCAGCCCAGAGCTGGAAACAATGGGACAGAGCACGCTGTGCTGGGATGAATCTCTGCTTTGTATTTGGCTCTCTCCTGCCTGTGTGATTTGGGCAAGTTACTCAACCTTTTTCAACCAGGGTTCTCATCTATAAAATGGGAATAATTATACTCAAGGTACAGGGTGTTCAGAATTAAATGAGACAATTATATGCAAAGTAGCTGGCCCTCAGTAGCTATTCAGCATATGGCGGTTATTGTTAATAAAATCCACACAGCCTACAGCCCACACCCTGAGAGCTGGCTGCTGTTGTTTCTCTCATGTGGGCTGCCCTGGGGGTCCTACCAGTGTGGGTGCCACCCCTGCTGAAGGAACCCATTCTGCATAAATTCCCTGGGAGGTAGGCAAGTGTGAGTTCAAGTGCAGGAACAGGCGGCCCCTGGTGTCACAGAAGGTTACATTATGCGTTACCAGCTTGGAATTGAGTGGCATGCCCAAGGCAAGGACTCAGTTCCTCTGAGCCTCAGTTTCCCCATGAGGTAAAAATGGAGCTATTAATATCTCTTCCCAGGGCTACTGCGAGACCATATGTGAGGGTGCATTGCAAGCAGCAGATGCCCCGCAAACCTTGGTTTCTAAGCAATTCTAATGCTTCCTTTTGCTAGATTTCTCCTCTGAATCAAATCCAAATCCCACCCCCTGTTCAGATCCGGCCCCAGTGCCCCCACTCCTCTGCATACAGTCTTGCTTGTTATGACTATTAAACCCCCACACACCTCCCACAGGGCCTCTTTCTGAAAACGCTGAACACCCAAGCCTTCACCTTCTCAGCACAGACACTCCTTTTTTTCCTTTTTCTTTTTTTTTTTTTTGAGATGGAGTTTCGCTCTTGTTGCCCAGGCTGGAGTGCAATGGCACCATCTCGGCTCACCGC
Organism: Homo sapiens; assembly: GCF_000001405.40. Lineage (NCBI taxonomy): Eukaryota > Metazoa > Chordata > Mammalia > Primates > Hominidae > Homo > Homo sapiens. The sequence continues at coordinate 125,360,084 of NC_000011.10, read as the reverse complement.
AACCTCTGCCTCCTGGATTCAGGCGATTCTCCTGCTTCAGCCTCCCGTATAGCTGGGATTACACCGGGCATGGTGGCTCACGCCTGTAATCCCAGCACTTTGGGAGGCCGAGGCGGGCAGATCACCTGAGGTCGGGAGTTCGAGACCAGCCTGACCAACATGGAGAACCTCCATCTCTACTAAAAATATAAAAAAAGCACAGACACTCCTAAGAGGACATCCCCTCTTCTGAGCCCTCCACCTGACATGGCAGAGTAGGTGCCAGCCAGCCCCAGGAGGGCCCCCTTAGGCTGCCAAAACCTTGTGTTCTGGCCCCCTGGGGCTGCCCAGGCCTAGCCCTCAAGGGGCCACTGAGGCTTCAGGCGGGCCCGGCAGGGCTGGTACTCCCTCCAGTTTGGGGCAAGCCAGGTATGGGATCAGTTTCCTGGCAACCAGGAGAGAAGCCAAGGACCCGGGAAGAGGTCAGGGCTTGAGGTCACTTGGTAAACATCAAGTCTGGCCTTAATAGGTAGGAGGCAACAGGGGACATGAACATTGTTGGGGGGCACAGAGTCCAGGGCGCTCCAGACCTGGGCCTGCTCAGGCGAGTTGGAGTATGGGGATATGTCCAGTTTAAAGACATGGGTGGCTCAAGCAGGCAGAGAGAGCGGTCAAGGTGCACAAAGAGAAGAAAGGCCCAGCAGAAAACAAAAAAGAAAGAGAAGAGTCTGTTTTGATGAGTCAAAGCAAGGGAAGGTGGGTCCCCATATGGTCCCTGGGGTGTTGCCCCTGGGGCAGAGGGACCCTTCGCTAACAGTCACAGAAAAAGCTTAGGGGAACTTTCAAAGCTACTGAAAGCTGCTCACGGATCCGCAGCCTTGTCACCTGCACAGCCCTCCTCCCCTTACCCTATCGCCTCACACCTACCCTTGGTTGCCTGAGCGCACCTGATGGTGTCCACCTTCCTGCCTTTCCGATGGTGTCCACCTTCCTGCCTTTCCGATGGTGTCTACCTTCCTGCCTTTGCTCCCACAGCTGCCTCAGCAGGGACTGTCCTCATCTCCCCTGCAACCTGCCTCCCACCCAGCTGCAGCTTCAACTCTTCCAAGAAGCCTTTCCTGCTTCTCCTCCCTCCCCAGGCCGCAGAAGACTGGACTCCTGCCTCATCTGAACGGACCCCAACACCGGCAACACCAGGCCCTTTGCCTGTCTCATGAGCGGGCTGGTCTCCCAGCTCCCATGCCTGCCCGCAGTGTACTCCCACATGTTAAATGACTGAAGGATGACCAGAAGGAGGCAATGACTGAGTGATGTGTTAAAGGCCTCAGGGATCCCAAATCCTGGGAGAGGCCAAAGAAGGCCCCTCAAAATATTCCCCAACCCAGTTAGCCCAGGGAGAGGAAGGGCCGGCATCAGAGCCGGACAGCCCAGTGTAGCTCAAAGAGGCTCTTGGAACAGCAGGCCTCGGTCACCTCTATTCTGATCCCAGGCCAAGTGGACAGAACAGACCATAGAAGAGTTGCTCAGTGGTGTACAATGGGGGTTTCAGTTAGTTAATTAATTTTAAAAGGGTTTGTAAGTGGTGGTTTACACAATGTGACTCATGGAACATTCACTGCCCCTAACTGCATTTCCTGGGCTGTCACTGACAGGAGGCCAAGAAGAGGAAAGCTGTGGACTCCACTTCCCAGCTTTGTGCATTTTCCCGGGAACTGATGGCCTCCTGCCCATCCCATCGCTTCCCTCTGGAAGATCCTTCCCTTTTGTAATAGTCCAAAACCAGTGATTTCCAATAGGTCCTTCAGAGGGCACACCAGAATCCCTGTGTGTGCACATCTATGTGTGTGCGTGTGTGTAAGGGGGTGTTCATAGCTGGTAAAACCTATTTGACATGCCTATTATGTTCCTAATAAAAAGTAATTAAGGTTAAATCCCATCTGGGCTGCTGGAGATGTGCAGGTGATCGAGTGAAGAATGAAGTTGGGGTGAGGGTGAAAAGGGGCTGAGGAACACCACTGTACTTTTTGTTCCCACACTCTCAACAGCCTCGTGAGACAGGGAGGGCAGAGTTATTCTCATTTTATGAATGCAGAAACTAAGGCCCCACATGGACTCTAAGCTCCAAGAGGACAGGAACTCTGTTGATTTTGCACCCCAGTACACAGCACAATGTCCGCATGGCCCACAGGACACACTCAATGTTTATCGAATGGATAAGTGGATGAAAGAAATAGCTCTGAAATTACTTGCCTAAATTTGTATAATTCATCAGCAGTGGAGCTGATAATTATACAAATTCTTATTACAAGTCCTGATTGCTGAATTTCTACGAGATTGAGTCATTCCATCCTCCTCTTCAGACCACAGACTTCAAGAACAGCAAGCATCCTGGGGCCCTAACTCACCCACCTGCCTCCTGCCAGGCCGCACAGACACCAAAGCTTTCTGAAGACCAACTAAGACCAACGGCGTGCGAAAGGCAGGCAGAGCATGTAAGGTCCTCCCCAGACCCGCTGCTGACTTGGATCACCTGTCCCCTGATTTATTTTAGGCTTTGTATCCCAGGGCCATTAATTATTTTTGTAGCTGTTTAGGGCATTCATTCGTTCTGCTTGGGGACAAGGGAGTAGACAATAAAATCTCTGTTTTTGGTAAATATCAGAATATAGTAAGTTCATCAAATAAAATACCTAGACCAGGCCAGTAGAGTGTTTCTTCCCAAGTTTAAAGCCATGCTGACAGCCCACCATCTCCTACATGGGCATAAAGGCCCCACGGTTGGACCTGGAGGTTGTTTTTGCCTTTTACACAATGAAGAGTCCAGGTCTTGAGTAAGTTGGAGTTCAGGGATATGTTCAGCTTAAAGACATGGGTGGCCCAAGCAGGCAGAGAGAGAGGTCACTGTGCACAAAGAGAAGAAAGGCCCAGCAGAAAAGAAAAAAGAAAGAGAAGAGTCTGTTTTGGTGAGTCGAAGCAAGGGAAGGTGGGCCCTCATATGGTCCCTGGGGTGTTGCCCCCAGGGGCAGAGGGAGCCATCAATCACCATCACAGAAAAGGCTTAGGGGAACTTTCAAAGCTGCTGAATTAACTCTATTGCTGCAAAGCAAATGTGTTTCACAGGCAGCTGAGCAGAGGGCCCTGCAAGGCAGGGGGCTCCAGCCCTTAAAGAGATGAGAGGAATGTAAAGCGAGTGTGAAAACATCTGAACCCACTTCTGCCTGTCACAGCTGTGTGGCCTGGATGGAGGCCATTCACAGCCAGGGGCCCCAGCCACCCCCTTTTGCCTCCAGTTAATTAAACCAGCATGGGGATCCTAATGACTGATCAAAGCCCATCCAGCTTCCCCAGGATATCTGCCTCCCCTGGCCCCACCTGGAGTGGGGATGGTGCTAGGACAGGGAGGGAAAGAAGGTGCCCAGAGAGACAGGTCTGGCTTCCTCAGTGTGGCTGGCCCAGCCTTAGCCTTCCTCTTGCAGGGTAAGTGAGACAATGTTGTCTTGACCCCAGATCTCTGAGTGCCATGTCCTGGAGTCCCAGACACCATTCTCCCCACTCTGAGGGATGCTGGAGGATCGGGGTGAGGGGAATGGGAGGGACACAGCTTTTGCAAAGGGGCCCCAAGCAAACACTTGACTTCCTTCCGAAGTGAGCCTCACAAACCGGACCTCAACTACGAGTTCTAACTGCCTGTCTTTTCTCTCTCTGTTCAAAAATGAGGCTGCATCCTTGGTGAACTTCCCAAACCCTTTCAATGCCACTCATCATCAAGTCATGCTACGTAAGCCCCTAGCTACCTACCCATCAGTTTGTTCCTAAACTATCCATTGAGTTTAGTTCCACATTGACAGGGGCTGTGCCTAGTAGGTCAGACTAGGATCTACCAGGATTTCTGCTTTCTAGTCCAATGCTCATGCAGCTGACATGCCAGGGACACGCAGACTGAAGCATACTAAACATTGAATACATACTCAAATAGACCAGATACAATATTTGTCTTGCTAATAAGCCAAGGGCAAAGATATTTGTGGAACAGTAGGTATGTGTCTGTGTTTGAGGAAAAGTTGTGGGGGGGGGGGTGCTGATAGTGAGAGTGTGTTTTGTGTGGGAAGGTGAGGGGAGTGAAGTGGTTGCCTTTGCTAGTGAACCCGGATGGCTCCCCGGAGTGGCTGATGGAGCTATAGAAGTGAGAACTTCGCTTGGCGGGTGATGTTGCATATGGGTGTTACAGGAAGGTCTCGAGTGACATTTCTGAGAGTACATGAATGAGAGGTATTTGCCTAGAAGGAGTGACGGGGTGGTTGTGTGTTCCCAAGAAAATTCTGGGAGGGAGGCTGGAGTGACACTTGCTGGGATTCTAAGCAAGGCAGGAGAGGACAGAAATAGTAGCAAATGGAAGGGTCAGTGGGGATTCTTGGGGCAGTGGGAGGAGGGGGCTGTGAAAGTCCAGCTGACAGCCAGGCCCACTATGGCAGAGATACAGAACAGAAGTGGGGTGATGTTGGAATCAACACAACGCACTGAACTGAGGCTCACACACCTAGTTCACATCCAGGTCTCTCTAGAGACAGTGTGGTCATTAGGCAATCATTGTAGAATTCCACTACCCCAGTGACTTACCCCTACCTCTTCAGGGCATAAAGTGAGGGGTCTGCATCAAGGACCCAGTTACAGCATGCTGAAATTGGGGTCCTGTAGTTAAGACAGTAGAGGGCGCTGCTACTCTGGCAGAATTTAGCAGGAAGCCACCAGAAAGAGGAAGTAGGTCACAGGGAGGGTTCCACTAGGTTGTTGCTTTTGCACTTTCTTTCTTTCTTTTTTTTTTTTTTTTCTTTTTTTTTTGAGATAGAGTCTCACTCTGTCACTCAGGCTGGAGTGCAGTGGCGCAATCTTGGCTCACTGCAAACTCCGCCTCCCGGGTTCAAGCCATTCCCTTGCCTCAGCCTCCCAAGTAGCTGGGACTACAGGCATGTGCCACCATGTCTGGCTACTTTTTGTACTTTTAGTAGAGACAGAGTTTCACCGTGTTGGCCAAGCTGGTCTTGAACTCCTGACCTCAGGCAATCTGCTCACCTCAGCCTCCCAAAGTGCTGGTATTACAGGCATGAGCCACCATGCCCAGCCCGCTTTTGCACTTTCTAAACATACAGTCATCCTTCAGTGCACAATCAACAGAGAGTGTGGCGGCCTTACAAACAATCACAAAGTTTCTCCGGGATGGACTGCAACAGAACTAAGGGGCTAGAAGCCGCTTAGCCATCGTATCACTTGGCTTGTGCCCAAATAGCACGAGGCCATAACAGTGAATGCTTCTCTACTAAAATGGGAAGAAAAAAAAGCCTCCCTCATTTTTAATAACTTTATTCCCCAAACTTCAAAAATGAAATTGCCAAGTTAAGAACTCGCCTTGAAAAAAAATTCTAATTTATTATAAAGAAGGTCCGGGGCTTGGGAATTTTTTAATGCAGATTCCTAATTTTCCAAAGTGAGATTCTCCTGTGCATTTGAATAGATTATGCTCGGTATTGCTAGCCCTTAGCACAACGGGAACATTATTAAAACGATCGCATGGGTCTCAGAGGAAGGGCTCTGCGTCTCGCTTCCTTTTTCATTTGGGGGACTTCATATCAGAGACTGCCCATTTGTTGCCTGTGGAAGAAACTGGGTTTCTGAAGAGGTGATGGAGAGGTGTGCTCAGCTGCCCAGGTTGTGAGGAAACAAGTCATACGTGGTCCACAAGTAATGAGATTAGACCTAAAGGAATGAGGAGGGAGTGGGCTTTGTTTCCTGAGAGCTCTGTTTTGGACAGGATTCCCTGGTGTGCCTGGCCCATGTTCCCATCAGGTCCTGCTTCCCTGAACATGTG